>NC_000003.12:40616060-40919090 GCF_000001405.40 Homo sapiens | reverse complement strand
TAGCCTGGTGAAGTTGACACAGAACATGAACCATCACAGATGCTGATATAGATCACCTCAAATACATACACATTCCAACAGACACTGTCTCCTTTGGAGAAAATAGTCATCCCAAAGAGAGATATATGGAGATATATGAAGAGAGTAAGAAAGGGAAACATTGTACATTTTAGCAAGGTCTGGGTGTTATTGCCTCATTTTACTTTCTTTCAGTCGAAGTAAGTGCTGACTGGCACTATGAATTGCATGTGTTTTCTCGTGTGCCATGATTGGCAGTACCCCTTGAAGCATTAGAGTCCCCTCCTTCATTGTGTTCCTCGCATCTCCTCGCTCTCGCCTCAGGGACAAACAGGACAGCAGTTGGCCTGCGTTATCTAAGAGGTGCGGTCACCAGAGCATAGGCATCCTCTCTTCTCTCCTATCCATGACAGAGAGCAGGGGCCTACCTTTCTGCATATATAGGTCATGATGTTAAATAAATTGCAAGTTTTCTTTCCCGGGTTATCCTTAGCTTTTCTGCTTAAAAGCAACATATGCAAAGTAATTTAGGATGGCCTGCTGTATTCACCTAGGATCTGAACAAATGAACACTACCATTTCTGACATTTTAAATAAAGCAGTGAGGCTTTAAATAAAGTCCTGACCTATGGGCTGACTCATAATATCCACATACGTTAAATCTGAGGTTCATTTTCATTATTTTATTTTCCTATTTTTGGATGCTTCAATGAAGCCTATTTTCTAAAATGTAATTCATATTAATATTTCACAGATTTGTATTCACTTTTCACTAGAATTAAGGACTTGACTCAACAATGTTAAGAAAAGCAAATAATAGATATTTATATGATAACTGTAATTTGAATAGATTATTATAGTTTTTATTTTACAAGATAATGTTGCAACATATAACATTAAAATTTAAAATATTCAATTGTTATTGCCAAATGCAATCAGTTTTTAATGACAAACTTCCCTCTATCTTTTTACATTGTATAATTATCTGTAAACAGATCACCTGAGTTCAAATTAAATATTTAAACTGTTTGCTGATTAGTAACCTATGAAGTCATAGCAGTTATTATTTGTGACACAGTAATAACAACCTTCTAAAACTAGAGATCTTTTAAAAGTAAAATTTACATTAAAATGTAAAATACTACAGAAAAATGTACAAATCCTAAGTGTTTTAACTCAATGAATCTTGGTATTTATTTTAATATCTAATTATAAATGACTTCTGGGTTATAAATTATTCCTGTATATTTTTCTAGAGAGTAGGTCAGCAGGGATTAGGGTGACCAAGTCATCATTCTCCCAGGACTTTGCAGATTTTAGCACTGAAAGTCCTGCAACCAGGGTAGCTCTTCAGTCTCAGGTAAACGAACATTTGGCTACTCTAGCAGGGACAGGGCTGTGATCTGGTCTTACCATTGATTGAATGTATGTGTTGAATCACCTTCTCATCCCCTATCCCCTTCCCTTCACTTGTAGCCTCAAAATGAATTCTGTAATTGACACCAAAGTGTTGGTGTTGGGGCTAAAGGGAAACAAGAATAAGCTGGGGGACAGGATGGTGAACGGCTTACAGAGGTTTCCAAAGTGGAGCCTTATTTTACATTGCTTTTATGGAGCAGGTCCTTCTTTCTCCCTTTTTGGGTTCAGTACTATTTTCCTGCCCCTCAGCTGGAACCTCTTTGTGCTCTGACCTCTGACCCCAGGAAATCCTGATGGAGAATGGATTTGCTTGGCCTTGCAGCCCTCAGGTACCAATGGCTAAGTCTGTGCTTGTTTATCACTTGCTCTTCTGAATGGACTCGCTTCATAGGAAAAGGCACTATTAGAATTTAACTTTCCAGAAACATGGAAGGTATGGATGAGAGAATTTTTGTGGGTGAAGTGGGTAGGCTTATAGAAGTACTTAACTGTTACCAAAACATATTTAAATAAAGAGAAGAAAACAGAAAACACTCATTCCACAGCACCTGCCTGCACAGATAAAAAGAAAATATAAATGAGAGGACAAGAGTAGGTGAAGAACTCTTGTCCTAATGCAGTTTGCTTGATCTGTCCTTCCTACTGGTGGAATTTCCTTTAACGACACTGTAAAAATCCCAGTGAGCCTTGACCTTTGGGAGCATGAATTCCACCTTCACCAAGTTCTGGCTATTTGATTTGTGGCAAAATGCTTAGGAATCATGAGCTTCAGATCCCTCACAGAGAACAGTGGAAGTAAAGATACTTATCTTGAAAAGTTAGTCTGAGGATTAAATTATATAATGTATGTGAAGATTTTAGCCAAGCAATGGCATATAATAAATGCTCAATAAATACAAGATTACTCTGTCTCCTAACCTTAATTTAATTTCATAAATATTAAAAATAAGATATTCATTCATTCATAGATCCATTCATTCAACAAATATTTATGGCACTGAAAGGGAGCTGGAGAGTGGGTCAAGTGAGAAAGAAAGACAGTGGCCCACTGAGAGTGAAAGGTATGCTGGCAGACTCAAATGAAGTAGAAAATGTCGGGCATGTCATATATGGCCTTGTGTGCCATGTGTTATAGAGATGACTCCTTCCCACTGAAAATTATGCTGTCCCTTTCAGAATACACAGTTGCTCCTGGGAAGTGGCTGATCAATCAGGAACTACATTCCCATCATCCTCACATTTTGATGTGGCCACTTCTTGCCAACAAATCAAAATGATACATGTCATTTTTAGGCTGGGACCTTTAAGAGATAGATTTACCTCCCCAGAGCTCTCTTTTCCATTCTCCCAGCTAGAAGCAGATGTCTTTGAGGCTCTCAACAATAGTAAAGTTGCTAGACAGAAGAAACTTTGGTTCCTAAATCACGGTTTAAAACCATTGCTAACTAGGACCGCTCATCTTGGACTGTTATGTCCAGAGAAATAGCCTTCTACTGGGTTTCAACCATTATATGTTTTGTGTTCCATTTGTTACAGCAGCTAGCATTACTCCTACTTATACATTGTGCTAAGTTATTTTGTGCAATGTATAAGTTAGAGTTACACATTGTATAACTACTATACAAAATTTTATTTTGAGTCCTATTTTATTCTAAATGTAGCCTGAAGCCATGGAAGGGTTTTAAGCAGGGAAATGACCTGATTTTTGCTAGAAAATGATAACTCTAGCTAAACAAATTAGGGGAGAGATTAGGGATCTAGTATTGTACAGTAATAAAGGCAAGAGGTAATAATGGCTAAAAATATGGGGTGGTAGCAGGAGAGAGAGAGAGAGAGAGAGACAGAAGTTTTGGTATGTGGGATCCCTAAGGCTAAACAATGTGAGTAAGGGAGAATGATGTTGAAGATAACTTCTATGTTCTGACTGGAGTGCCACGTGCCAAGACGAGGACTCTGGGAAGAGTCCCAAGTAGGAATAGGGCAGTGCAGAAGCAGAGACATTTCTGTGGACACCATCTCGTGTCTCTGTCAGTCTTTGCTGTGCAGCTAATCTTCATGGGATGCCGCAGTGAACTCCACATTACCAGATGGCATCTTTGGTCTGGCTAGCATAAAGCAGCCTTTCATGCTAAGTAGCAAACTCGTCATGGCATGCATTCCTTTGTTCATTCATTCACTCAACCAGGCACTGCGCTAGGGGCTGGGAAGTTGGCACACAGTCCTGTTCTTGAAAAACTCAGTCCTCACACTCCCAGTCTTTAATTGCTTATATAAATCTATTATAACAGAATCATTATCCAGAAATAGGTGGTTGGAGGAATTGAGAATTAATAAAAATATTGCTTCTGATATGAAATATGAAGGGGAAGGGTGTGAGGGGCAAGTGTGGAAAGGGAGCAGGTAGGAACAGAAAGGGCAAGAAAGAATAGTTTCCCTTAAAAATTTACAGAGTGTTTCCGTCTATAAAACTTTACGGGATACTTAAAATGTGGGAGGGAGACATCAAGGCCCAGAATCTTTACAGCATCTCCCCAAGATGTCACCACACTAGAACAGTCTTCCGATGCAAGGGCCATTCTTTTCTCATCGTATGCCACCATGATGCTTCCCTGGAGAGGGAAAGTGCTATTCATAACTGAGTTGAGGAAAAATTGTTGGCTCTGGGGATCACAGAGAGGCTGCAGCTACAGAGGGGCAGAGTGATGCCTCCTCACCTGCACAGGTGCTCAGGCCTGCCTGGCCATCTACATTGGGTGGGTTCCAGTGGCTGGAACTAGTTTGATTGGGTTTCAGTGTGGAGCCATAGGATGACTGCAGGCTGTGTCCCATGGAGCCCTGAGGGCCAAATTCTGTCTCCAAGTCAGGGAGGAGGGCATTGGGCTGGAAACGAGGACTTGCTGAGAAGGTCAGAATGAGGGCAGGAAATAGACCTGTGGTATGTGGGAGACACAGCCTGGCTCACAGGCCTTATGGCCTGAGTGGATGTACTATTAGGGGCCTGCCTAGATCCAGTTAGAAACAAGACTATTTCCTCAGAGCCAGGAGAGCTTAGAGAGATAGCCCTGACATATGTGTGTGTGCACACCCATGGGCACATGTGAATGCTTATAAACATATGTACACATATATGTGCTCAGGATGTGTTCCATGGCAGCGTGGGGTCAGGATGGATAGAATGGAAACAGGACTATTAGAAACAGAAAGCAGACCTGTGGGGAAGACAGGAGAGCTATCCTGGAAAGCACCTGTTTCTACCCATACTGGCTCTCTCTGCATCACTGGGTCTTTTCGTTTGGTCTCCTGGATTTATCACAGAGCCAGTCTTTCCTACATTGCTCTGATTTTACCTAAGGAAGTTTGCTGAAGACCTGGGGATGCTTCCAGGCCTCCCCAGCATTTGAAAGAGCCCCATAAGACTCTGCTGGAAAGAACCAGTGGCAAAAGGCAGACAAGGTGCTAATGTCAAATACTTGGATTCTCCTGTTAAACCCAAACGTGCTTTAATGTTTCCACGCTCTGTAAGACTTCACAAATACATGTGTATAAATCAGGAGAGCTCTGCTGGCATATTCAGATGCCTTGGTTTTCAGTTTGCAAAATGTGGTCTCTGTCTCAGCTCATACTGAAAACAGATTTCATGAGGGTTATATTTTAACAGCAAAGTGCCTCCAATGTGCCAGGTACTCTGAAAATGCTCTTTCCATCCTCTGACAACCCCAGGAGTTTGGTATTATTATAGTCCTCATTTCACAGGTGAGGCCTCTGAGGTTCAGTGAGGTCAGGCACCTTGCCCAAGGTCACACAGCTAGGTAGCAGCTCAGGTAGGGTTTGAATCCAGGCTGTGGGACTGCAGAGGCCCTGTCCTTAACTGTGCCCTCTTCCTTCCATGTGGAGCAGAGGCCTCTGTTCTGCCTTGTTGCACGAGATGGCTAATAGGCTGTCTTCTGCACTAAATTCTGACCTCGGAGGCAGGAGCTGTTTCTCATTTACCCTCATTCCTCCAGCTGGGAGCACAGGGGCTAGCACACAAAAGCAGCATACAAAGGCTCATTACCTGTTTGCTGCTGGGACTGGAGAGGCCTGCCAAGGTGACCCAGCCCATTCTCTTGCCCCTGCCTTCATTGTCCGGGGTTCTGCGCACAGCAATCTTACCCAACCCTTTTCACCCTCATGATGATTTTCCCTCCATAGTCTAAATCTCTTCTAAACAAGCTTCTCTGACAGGCCAAGTCCTGATGCATGACCATGGGCATCTGTCGTTTCTGTGCAGAGCCAAAAGGAAATGTGCCCACAGTGCTGAGCAGTAAACAATTTGCAACCAGAAGCAGGCCCAAGTCTCAGCTATACTTTTCTGGGCTGGGCACCAAAGCAGGCTGTGGCCCCTTGTTACCTCCACAGCAAAAATCCCTCCAGTTCCAACAATGATTTATCAAGTGAGCTCACTGACAGTTTCACGGTGCTCCTTCAAAACTTCCTTTCATTTCAGGGCACCCGAGGTAAAATCCAGTGGTGAGACAGAATGGCAGATCCAATTTACATGTATGAACGTAGGCACTGTTTCTGAATGGCGAGAAAACATTCCATGCTGCTTGAGTTTCTTCCAGAATTAGGCCTTCCCTGAGGCCTAATCAAAATGAGACAAATAGATTCACCTTTTCCACTTCACCAGTAGACTTGGAAGAGAAGGGAATTACATCGTGTGGTCCTAACCACATTTGCAAAATGGTGGATTTTTACTCCACAAAACAACAGACTAAAGGAGGGAGGAGGAGGAGTGGATTAATTGAGCCCCTACTAGGTGCCAAATTTTTATATGTCCGTTTTATAGACACAATAATTTATGAAGTGACTTTCTGAGGTGCATTCAGGGATGAGATTGAGACTCAGAGATTGTGACTTGCCCAAGGTCACATGGCTAGTGGGTTACAGAACTCAAATTGATCAAAGGTTTGCATGACCCCAAAGTTCACACTGTTGGCTGGATGCAGTGGCTCATGCCTGTAATCCCAGCACTTTGAGAGGCTCAGGCAGGAGAATCGCTTGAACCTGGGAGTCAGAGGTTGCATTGAGCCAAGATGTGGTCCCCGCATTCCAGCCTGGGTGACAGAATAAGACCCTGTCTGGAAAAAAAAAAAGTTCCTACTGTTCCCACCTCACAGTGCGGCCATAGACCTTTCCTTTACTGAGCAGCCTGTAAAGAAGGATTTTCCAAATTGCTGCAATAGATGACTCTAACCTTTAAAAATACCATGAACATATAAAGAAAATACTTCTATTTTGAACATTTATCTGTTCAGAGATTTATATGGTAAATTGTGTTACACTAAACTATGTTTTTGAAATATCATGTTTTTGAAAAGCTATCCTGACCTAACTTAATAGAAATAAACCACATCAAGTAAAGGTGAAGAAAGACAAATGTTAGCACCGTTCCACTAGGTGTTTCAGAATTTTTCTTTCTGACCAAAGCCAACAGACAGCATAGTTAAACAAGGAGGCAAAGTTAACTATTAACTTGGGGGTGAAAAGTCAGTAGTGAGAACATACTTTGTATTACCCTGGCCACACTCCAGCAAATATTAACATATATGGGCAAGGGCACTTTCCTATAACTATACAATATGCTTACAAAACATCAGCAATGAAGGCATTGTCCAGTGCTAGCTCTTCCTATTACAAAGGCCCAGAAAAT
This sequence comes from Homo sapiens, assembly GCF_000001405.40. Lineage (NCBI taxonomy): Eukaryota > Metazoa > Chordata > Mammalia > Primates > Hominidae > Homo > Homo sapiens. The sequence goes on along the minus strand of NC_000003.12, from coordinate 40,911,961 downwards.
TGACTTGTCTAAGGTCACCTCACTAGTTAGAACTAGGACCCTACAGGAGAATGATCCTGGCCCTCTCACCATTGTGTGATGGTTGGATAGTTAGGTCCTGATGGAGTACCTAATATTGCAATACATGGCATAATCACTTCCACTGATGAGCTCATCATGAACTTAAATGCAACACAATATCTGAAACAAAATTTGAGTTCGGTAACCCACTAGCTATGTGACCTTGGGCAAGTCAAAATCTTTGAGTCTCAATCCCATCCCTGAATGAAGTGACCTCAAATAGTCACTTCATAAGGTATTGTGGCTATTTAAGGGACATATAAAAATTTGGCACCTAGTAGGAGCTCAAAATTCTCATATTCTACGAGAATTTATCTACTTACTCCTGATCTTTTGCCTCCAAGTGGTATGGTCTGGAAGCCAATGGATGGATAAATGTTGATGTCATTACTTTCTAGACTTGAGTTTGCAGTTTGGTTTTCTAGAAGCAGCATGACACAGCAGAAAGAGAATAAAGCTGGCATCAGACTGAGCTAAGTCCTCAACCAAACTCTTTCAGTGTTCAGTTCAGTGGCAGGGCAAGTTCATCTCCTCCTGGGTCTCACCTTTCCCATTGATGAAATGGAAATAACTATATCTACTAATCCCGATGTGAGAGTGGATTGAATACCTGCCCCCCAACAAGATTCATGTTCACTGAGAACCTCAGAATGTGATCTTATTTGGAAAGAAGGTCTTTGCAAATGTAATTAGTTAACTATAAAGATGAGATCTCACTGGTTAAGGAGGATGCTAAATCCAGTGGCTGATGTCCTTATAAGAAAAGGAGAGGACACAGAGAGATACAGAGACGACCATATGCAGATGGAGGCAGAGATGGGACTTACCTGCCATAAGCCAAGGAATAATGAGAACCACCAGAAGAGGAGGAGGCAAGGAAGGATTCTTCCCAAGAGGCTGCAGAGAGGACATGGTCTTGCCAACACCTTTATTTTAGATTTCTGGTCTTCATAACTGTGAGAGAAAAAAAATTATGTTGTTTTAAACCACCAAGTTTCTGGTAATTTGTTATGGCAGCCCACAGAAATTAATGCAGCCTGCAAAGCGCTCAATAGGGTGCTTATCACATAGAAAATAATTGATAAATGCCTCCAATAATTATTATTTACACCTCGTAATGTTCAAGCATCAATCAGAGCATTCTGCAGTAGGTGGCAGAAGTATGACAGTTGCAAAGTCTGAAAGGCTAAGGTTAGAATAACAGGCTTTATTAATTGAGAATCTGCATCTTTTTCTATTTTTTTTCCACCCAAATCCCAAACCCTACCACTAAAAACAAAAACAAACTTTATTTAAACAACTAACTTTAACTATACAACTTGACACTAAATTTTAAAAGAATCCACAGCAATAAAAAAATTCGTAAGAAATAGGTATCTAGGTTCAGTTTGGACAATTTTTCGAACTATAAACCCTAATTATCTATATAGCTTAAGCTAACTGTGGCATTAATTCCCAAATTTCCTTGTAAAATATTGTGCTAGCGCTGAGGGGAAAAAAAAAAAAAAAAAAAAAAGACAGTGAAGAATACAAGTGGCATGGCTGCCTACATCAAACGGTTACAAAAGAAAAAGGACTCTGGGGCCAGGCATGGTGGCTCACGCCTGTAATCCCAGCACTTTGAGGGGCCGAGGCAGGTGGATCACAAGGTCAGGAGATCAAGACCATCCTGGCTAACATGGTGAAACCCTGTCTCTACTAAAAATACAAAAAACAAATAAATAAAAAATTAGCCAGGCGAGGTGGCATGCACCTGTAGTCCCAGCTACTCGCGAGGCTGAGGCAAGAGAATCACTTGGACCCAGGAGGTGTAGGTTGCAGTGAGCCGAGATTGCGCCACTGCACTCCAGCCTGGGCTACAGAGTGAGACTCTGTCTCAAAAAGAAAAAGAAAAAAAAAGAAAAAAAAGGGACTCAGGGCAAGTGTAAAGATTCTGTTTGACAAGCAGGAGGGAGTATTTCCAGAGGGGAGCCAGCAAACAGGACAAAGAGGACAAGTGCCATGAAATACAACCTAAGACGCTGTGCCCTGGCCCACTATGGCAGTGGCAGAAAGGTTGAAATACTTCTTAAGTTTCAAACCTCAAAACAAGGCTTAGAATTTCATTAGAGCCTACAGCTTATACTCTTTAAAAACCAACACCACCAATGTCACATAGGGTTAAGGGTTGGGCCACTCAGGATGGTGATCTCAGAATGGAGGGTCCACCTCCTGTGAGTGTGACACAGACTATGAATGAACAGCTGAAGCACGTCTTCCCAAGCTGGCTTCCCAGTCCAATACACCTGCCCACTCCCCTGGTCACCTACCACGACCCCACCTGTGGAAATGGCCATGTCTCTACCACTTTCCTTGGCCCTTAAATATCATTCATAGGTCCACAGGCAGATGCCTCACCCAAGCTGACCCAATCAGACTCTGCTGTGGGAATCTGAAGTTTAGAATATATACAAATATGAACTAGCAGTCTTTCCAGCAGAGTCACATTAATTGTAGACAAAGAGGTAGTGTGAAACTGCAGACTTGGCTGGGTGTTGTGGCTCATGTCTGTAATCCCAGCAGTTTGAGAGGCAGAGGCAGGTGGATGACCCAAGGTCAGGAGTTTGAAACCAGCCTGGCCAACATGGTGAAACCCTGTCTCTAGTTAAAATACAAAAATTAGCCAGGTGTGGTGGTGAGTGCCTATAATCTCAGCTACCTGGGAGGCTGAGGCACAAGAATTGCTGGAACCTGGGAGGCAGAGTTTGCAGCGAGTGCAGATTGCACCACTGCACTCCAGCCTGGGCGACAAAGTGAGACAGTGTCTCAAAACAACAACAACAAAACAAACAAACAAACAAAAACAAGAAAGAAACTGCAAACTTGCAGGGCTGTGGACTCCACACAGCTCTGATCCCAGCCTTCCTGGGGCTGGGGTTTCCCTGTTTCTCGGATTCCATGAGCTACCTTAGCATTTTTTAGTAAATTCTCATAATTTATTAATTAATGGCTTCCATTGCTTGTACTAGTACCATAGCCGTGTCCTCTGGGTCACACCCAGGGTGTAAGTTGTATGGATGGCCTCCCTGGCCAGGCAAAGGGTGTGCCGCAAGGAGTACTGGTAAATAAGCCAATCAACACAGCAGCTGAGCATCAGTAATGCAGTGGATAGGTGGGGATTATCTTAGTGGCTGGCACAGAATCTCAGATAACACACTGGCTGAACATCAATAATGAAAGGGGTTAGGTAGAATTACTTAGTAGCTGGTACCAAACTCCTCTTTAGTGGAGTGAACTGTCTTTGTCTAAAACATTTTTTTAAATAAAAAAATTATTCACTCCTGATCCAGCGAGGCGTCCATTGCCGCTCCCGATCGGGCTAAAGACTCACCATTGTTCCTGCACGGCTAAGCGCTCAGGACTTCGAAATCTTCTGAAATGTACCTTCACAAACCCCTTGGGAGATTTCAAAGAAACAGACAACTTATTTGAGGAGCCAAGATGGCCAAATAGGAACAGCTCCGGTCTACAGCTCCCAGCGTGAGCGACTCAGAAGACGGGTGATTTCTGCATTTCCATCTGAGGTAACGGGTTCATCTCACTAGGGAGTGCCAGACAGTGGGCGCAGGTCAGTGGGTGTGCCCACCGTGCGCCAGCCGAAGCAGGGCGAGGCATTGCCTCACTCGGGAAGCGCAAGGGGTCAGGGAGTTCCCTTTCCTAGTCAAAGAAAGGGGTGACGGACGGCTCCAAGAAAATCGCGTCACTCCCACCCCAATACTGCGCTTTTCCGACAGGCTTAAAAAATGGCGCACCACAAGATTATATCCCACACCTGGCTCGGAGGGTCCTACGCCCACGGAGTCCCACTGATTGCTAGCACAGCAGTCTGAGATCAAACTGCAAGGCGGCAGCGAGGCTGGAGGAGGGGCGCCCACCATTGCCCAGGCTTGCTTAGATAAACAAAGCAGCTGGGAAGCTCGAACTGGGTGGAGCCCACCACAGCTCAAGGAGGCCTGCCTGCCTCTGTAGGCTCCACCTCTGGGGGCAGGGCACAGACAAACAAAAAGACAGCAGTAACCTCTGCAGACTTAAATGTCCCTGTCTGACAGCTTTGAAGAGAGCAGTGGTTCTCCCAGTACGCAGCTGGAGATCTGAGAATGGGCAGACTGCCTCCTCAAGTGGGTCCCTGACCCCTGACCACCGAGCAGCCTAACTGGGAGGCACCCCCCAGCAGGGGCACACTGACACCTCACATGGCAGGGTACTCCAACAGACCTGCAGCTGAGGGTCCTGTCTGTTAGAAGGAAAACTAACAAACAGAAAGGACACCCACACCAAAAACCCATCTGTACATCATCATCATCAAAGACCAAAAGTAGATAAAACCACAAAGATGGGGAAAAAACAGAACAGAAAAACTGGAAACTCTAAAAAGCAGAGCGCCTCTCCTCCTCCAGAGGAACGCAGTTCATCACCAGCAACGGAACAAAGCTGGACGGAGAATGACTTTGACGAGCTGAGAGAAGAAGGCTTCAGACGATCAAATTACTCTGAGCTACGGGAGGACATTCAAACCAAAGGCAAAGAAGTTGAAAACTTTGAAAAAAATTTAGAAGAATGTATAACTAGAATAACCAATATAGAGAAGTGCTTAAAGGAGCTGATGGAGCTGAAAACCAAGGCTCGAGAACTACGTGAAGAATGCAGAAGCCTCAGGAGCCGATGTGATCAACTGGAAGAAAGGGTATCAGCAATGGAAGATGAAATGAATGAAACGAAGCGAGAAGGGAAGTTTAGAGAAAAAAGAATAAAAAGAAACGAGCAAAGCCTCCAAGAAATATGGGACTATGTGAAAAGACCAAATCTACGTCTGATTGGTGTACCTGAAAGTGATGGGGAGAATGGAACCAAGTTGGAAAACACTCTGCAGGATATTATCCAGGAGAACTTCCCCAATCTAGCAAGGCAGGCCAACGTTCAGATTCAGGAAATACAGAGAACGCCACAAAGATACTCCTCGAGAAGAGCAACTCCAAGACACATAATTGTCAGATTCACCAAAGTTGAAATGAAGGAAAAAATGTTAAGCGCAGCCAGAGAGAAAGGTCGGGTTACCCTCAAAGGGAAGCCCATCAGACTAACAGTGGATCTCTCGGCAGAAACTCTACAAGCCAGAAGAGAGTGGGGGCCAATATTCAACATTCTTAAAGAAAAGAATGTTCAACCCAGAATTTCATATCCAGCCAAACTAAGCTTCATAAGTGAAGGAGAAATAAAATACTTTACAGACAAGCAAATGCTGAGAGATTTTGTCACCACCAGGCCTGCCCTGAAAGAGCTCCTGAAGGAAGCGCTAAACATGGAAAGGAACAACGGGTACCAGCCGCTGCAAAATCATGCCAAAATGTAAAGACCATCGAGACTAGGAAGAAACTGCATCAACTAACGAGCAAAATAACCAGCTAACATCATAATGACAGGATCAAATTCACACATAACAATATTAACTTTAAATGTAAATGGACTAAATGCTCCAATTAAAAGACACAGACTGGCAAATTGGATAAAGAGTCAAGACCCATCAGTGTGCTGTATTCAGGAAACCCATCTCACGTGCAGAGACACACATAGGCTCAAAATAAAAGGATGGAGGAAGATCTACCAAGCAAATGGAAAACAAAAAAAGGCAGGGGTTGCAATCCTAGTCTCTGATAAAACAGACTTTAAACCAACAAAGATCAGAAGAGACAAGGAAGGCCATTGCATAATGGTAAAGGGATCAATTCAACAAGAAGAGCTAACTATCCTAAATATATATGCACCCAATACAGAGGCACCCAGATTCATAAAGCAAGTCCTGAGTGACCTACAAAGAGACTTAGACTCCCACACATTAATAATGGGAGATTTTAACACCCCACTGTCAACATTAGACAGATCAACGAGACAGAAAGTCAACAAGGATATCCAGGAATTGAACTCAGCTCTGCACCAAGCAGACCTAATAGACATCTACAGAACTCTCCACCCCATATCAACAGAATATACATTTTTTTCAGCACCACACCACACCTATTCCAAAATTGACCACATAGTTGGAAGTAAAGCTCTCCTCAGCAAATGTAAAAGAACAGAAATTACACAAACTATCTCTCAGACCACAGTGCAATCAAACTAGAACTCAGGATTAAGAATCTCACTCAAAGCCGCTCAACTACATGGAAATTGAACAACCTGCTCCTGAATGACTACTGGGTATATAGCGAAATGAAGGCAGAAATAAACATGTTCTTCGAAACCAACGAGAACAAAGACACAGCATACCAGAATCTCTGGGACGCATTCAAAGCAGTGTGTAGAGGGAAATTTATAGCACTAAATGCCCACAAGAGAAAGCAGGAAAGATCCAAAATTGACACCCTAACATCACAATTAAAAGAACTAGAAAAGCAAAAGCAAACACATTCGAAAGCTAGCAGAAGGCAAGAAATAACTAAAATCAGAGCAGAACTGAAGGAAATAGAGACACAAAAAACCCTTCAAAAAGTTAATGAATCCAGGAGCTGGTTTTTTGAAAAGATCAACAAAATTGATAGACCACTAGCAAGACTAATAAAGAAAAAAAGAGAGAAGAATCAAATAGACGCAATAAAAAATGATAAAGGGGATATCACCACTGATCCCACAGAAATACAAACTACCATCAGAGAATACTACAAACACCTCTATGCAAACAAACTAGAAAATCTAGAAGAAATGGATAAATTCCTCGACACATACACCCTCCCAAGACTAAACCAGGAAGAAGTTGAATCTCTGAATAGACCAATAACAGGCTCTGAAATTGTGGCAATAATCAATAGCTTACCAATGAAAAAGAGTCCAGGACCAGATGGATTCACAGCCGAATTCTACCAGAGGTACAAGGAGGAACTGGTACCATTCCTTCTGAAACTATTCCAATCAATAGAAAAAGAGGGAATCCTCCCTAACTCATTTTGTGAGGCCAGCATCATTCTGATACCAAAGCCGGGCACAGACACAACCAAAAAAAGAGAATTTTAAACCAATATCCTTGATGAACATTGATGCAAAAATCCTCAATAAAATACTGGCAAATCAAATCCAGCAGCACATCAAAAAGCTTATCCACCATGATCAAGTGGGCTTCATCCCTGGGATGCAAGGCTGGTTCAATATACACAAATCAATAAATGTAATCCAGCATATAAACAGAACCAAAGACAAAAACCACATGATTATCTCAACAGATGCAGAAAAGGCCTTTGACAAAATTCAACAATGCTTCATGCTAAAAACTCTCAATAAATTAGGTATTGATGGGACGTATCTCAAAATAATAAGAGCTATCTATGACAAACCCACAGCCAATATCATACTGAATGGGCAAAACCTGGAAGCATTCCCTTTGAAAACTGGCACAAGACAGGGATGCCCTCTCTCACCACTCCTATTCAACAGAGTGTTGGAACTTCTGGCCAGGGCCATTAGGCAGGAGAAGGAAATAAAGGGTATTCAATTAGGAAAAGAGGAAGTCAAATTGTCCCTGTTTGCAGACGACCTGATTGTATATCTAGAAAACCCCATTGTCTCAGCCCAAAATCTCCTTAAGCTGATAAGCAACTTCAGCAAAGTCTCAGGATACAAAATCAATGTACAAAAATCACAAGCATTCTTATACACCAACAACAGACAAACAGAGAGCCAAATCATGAGTGAACTCCCATTCACAATTGCTTCAAAGAGAATAAAATACCTGGGAATCCAACTTACAAGGGATGTGAGGGACCTCTTCAAGGAGAACTACAAACCACTGCTCAAGGAAATAAAAGAGGATACAAACAAATGGAAGAACATTCCATGCTCATGGGTAGGAAGAATCAATATCGTGAAAATGGCCATACTGCCCAAGGTGATTTACAGATTCAGTGCCATCCCCATCAAGCTACAAATGCCTTTCTTCACAGAATTGGAAAAAACTACTTTAAAGTTCATATGGCACCAAAAAAGAGCCCGCATCGCCAAGTCAATCCTAAGCCAAAAGAACAAAGCTGGAGGCATCACACTACCTGACTTCAAACTATACTACAAGGCTACAGTAACCAAAACAGCATGGTACTGGTACCAAAACAGAGATATAGATCAATGGAACAGAATAGAGCCCTCAGAAATAACGCCGCATATCTACAACTATCTGATCTTTGACAAACCTGAGAAAAACAAGCAATGGGGAAAGGATTCCCTATTTAATAAATGGTGCTGGGAAAACTGGCTAGCCATATGTAGAAAGCTGAAACTGGATCCCTTCCTTACACCTTATACAAAAATCAATTCAAGATGGATTAAAGACTTAAACGTTAGACCTAAAACCATAAAAACCCTAGAAGAAAACCTAGGCATTACCATTCAGGACATAGGCATGGGCAAGGACTTCATGTCTAAAACACCAAAAGCAATGGCAACAAAAGCCAAAATTGACAAATGGGATCTAATTAAACTAAAGAGCTTCTGCACAGCAAAAGAAACTACCATCAGAGTGAACAGGCAACCTACAAAATGGGAGAAAATTTTCGCAACCTACTCATCTGACAAAGGGCTAATACCCAGAATCTACAATGAACTCAAACAAATTTACAAGAAAAAAACAAACAACCCCATCAAAAAGTGGGCGAAGGACATGAACAGACACTTCTCAAAAGAAGACATTTATGCAGCCAAAAACCACATGAAAAAATGCTCATCATCACTGGCCATCAGAGAAATGCAAAATCAAAACCACAATGAGATACCATCTCACACCAGTTAGAATGGCAACCATTAAAAAGTCAGGAAACAACAGGTGCTGGAGAGGATGTGGAGAAATAGGAACACTTTTACACTGTTGGTGGGACTGTAAACTAGTTCAACCATTGTGGAAGTCAGTGTGGCGATTCCTCAGGCATCTAGAACTAGAAATACCATTTGACCCAGCCATCCCATTACTGGGTATATACCCAAAGGACTATAAATCATGCTGCTATAAAGACACATGCACACATATGTTTATTGCGGCATTATTCATAATAGCAAAGACTTGGAACCAACCCAAATGTCCAACAATGATAGACTGGATTAAGAAAATGTGGCACATATACACCATGGAATACTATGCAGCTATAAAAAAGGATGAGTTCGTGTCCTTTGTAGGGACATGGATGAAATTGGAAATCATCATTCTCAGTAAACTATCGCAAGAACAAAAAACCAAACACCGCATATTCTCACTCATAGGTGGGAATTGAACAATGAGATCACATGGACACAGGAAGGGGAACATCACACTCTGGGGACTGTTGTGGGGTGGGGGGAGGGGGGAGGGATAGCATTGGGAGATATACCTAATGCTAGATGACGAGTTAGTGGGTGCAGCGCACCAGCATGGCACATGTATACATATGTAACTAACCTGCACAATGTGCACATGTACCCTAAAACTTAAAGTATAATAATTAAAAAAATAAATAAATAAAAATAAAAAAATAAAAAAATTGTTCAAAAAAACTTTCTAAAGGTGTCCAGTAGACGGATTTCCTGAGAGGGAGAGTTACGGTAACAAAAGGAGTTTTTGGAATTCTCAGGGCATTCAAGAAGGAACCAGGGAGGTGTTTTAAGTGGGATAAGACCTGCCTCTTGCTGTCTGCCCTCACAACCTTCAGAAAAATTCACCAAATTTACATATGCTACATGTGAACAATTGTTTGTTGTTGGGACAAAACATGTGCTTGAGTTTCTCATTGGTATTGATGTGTTATAAAACATTCAAGGAAGCTGGAGCCTATGAGGCAGTGGACCCAGGAGAACAGAAACTCCCAAGACTTGGCAGGAGGCTGAAAGGGGGTTTTAGATTTCCCCTGGCCATGGAATTGGACTGGGGGAGGTGGGAAGGCAGTTCCAAAGCAAATTCCCCTAAACATGAAGGAGGAAGGGGAACCTGGGGTTCCCCCATTCACAGGGATGTGTGAAAATGACATCCCTGAGCAAACAAATTTCAGTCTCATTCCCTGTAATATGTGGGGATGTTCCCTTTGCTTCTTTGCTTGTCATGGACCCTTTTTCTGAGAAGAATGTCATTCAGAAATAAAAACCCTTCTCATACAGGGCCTCAAGGTAAAGGAAGGGCAAACCTTTACACTTATTCCTCTTAGAAATGAAAGGAGTGTGAATCAGGGGACTCCAGAAAAAAAATCCTGGCTGTTTGTCATTTAGCAATGAGCTGGCTAAACGGCCTCATGTAAGCTATAAGAACAAGGATTGAGATGACAACTTTGCCTCTGGATAGAAAGAAGTAGTTAAGAAAACTGTACCAGATGCCTCCAGTGACCCACGTCACATTTCCAGGCCACCTCTTCAGCGACACCTACAGAGAATGATTGTGGGCAAACTCAGGTTCACCTGACCTGACAGCATCTAGTCACTGCCAAGTTCTTTAGCTTTCTGCCCCAATCCTCTCCAAGGCCAGACTCCCTCTCTCCCTGAGCTTCAGTGTATGGATAAACTCTCAGGGGCAACCCCCAGCTAGTGGCAAGCTGGTGGATAAATGCCTGACTCCCATCCTTTGGATGGACAGTTGTAGGAAATGTTTATTTTTTATTTAAAGATTTTTTATTTTTAATTTTTGTCAGTACACAGTAGGTGAATATATTTATGTGGGTACAGGAGATATTTTGATATGGTCATGAAATATGTAATAATCACATCAGGATAAATGGGGTATCTATTAAGCATTTATCCTTTGTGTTACAAACATTCCAATTATACTTTTAGTTATTTTAAAATGTACAATTAAATTATTGTTGATTATTATAAAATTATGATAGTCACCCTATTGTGCTATCAAACACTAGCTTTTATTCATTCTTTCTATTTTTTGTACCCATTAGTCATCCCACTTGCCCCCACCCCACCCACTACCTTCCCAGCCTCTGGTAACCATCCTTCTGCACTCTATCTTGTAGAAGTTATTTTTGATGACACTTAGGAGGTCCCAATGGAATTGAGCCCCACTTGCACACAGTGGCACCTCACTTCTTAACATCGCCCTTATTGGCTTCTCCTCCTCCCTACCTCACTCTCCTCATGCTATCACCTCCCAAATAAACTAGATGCTCCCTAGTCATTAGCTCTATCTTAGGTGGAGTTTCAATATTATGCCATTTTGAGTGAGATGGAAAGCAAGTGGATTTGGTTCTGATATCAGATGAAGAAGCAAGACTTCAGATGTTCTGATGTCAGATGAGAATGTCAGGTCAAATATGTTCCAGAAATCCTGAAAATACAAGGCCCCAACTTCAGAACTACATATTCATCAAGCAATAAAGACATAATCAATTCTTAAATGACCCCAACTCTCTCGGGCGCCTTAGTGTTTACCTTGTAACTGCTGCTTGCCAGTGGATGGACTGGCTCTTCTGTTTTAGGTGAGTGCAATTCCCTCACTTCACTCATGGCCAATGCCTTGTGAAGTGAACAAGTAATAGTCTCAGAAATCCAGTGGAAATGCAATAGTTCAAGGAATACATCTTTAAAAAGTAATATATAGTTCTTGAAATGCACATACTGGGGGAAGCCAGCTACTGTATAAGAACTCCAACTATTCTAAGACTGTATGCTGTGAAGAAACCTAAGCTAGCCATATGGAGAGATGATTAGCTCTGTTTCTGGTTATCTTAGCTGGCTATCCTATCGGGTTATCTGTTCTGGTTATCTTGGCTGAATCTCTGAACATGTGAGTGAATAAGCCATCCTGGACATATGGTCCAGTTGAGCCTTCAGATGACTTCAGCTCCATCTACCATCTGACTGCAACTGCATGAGAAAGCCCAAGTGAGAACTTCCCAGCTGATCCCTGTCATGTAAACAGTGAGGGATTATAAATTGTTGTGTTAGGCCCATAAGTTTTGGAGTCATTTGTTATGCAGCATTAGATAACTAATACATTCCACAAAACTAATATGTGGGAGCTACAAGAAGCTTGGCTTCACTGAAATGTCGGATATATGACCAGAGGCTCTGGAGATGAGGCTTGAACATGAGGCACCATGAGACTGTATGGGGCCTAACAAGCTGTTCAAGGTGGTAATCTATTTGGTGGCTGTTGTCCTGGACCAATAAGAGATGATGATGTTCTGGGCTTGGGCATGGCCATAAGGATGGAAAGGAGACAGGATGGAGCTGACAGGGCTTGTTTGTCTATTGTCTGACAATTGCAGTGGCTCCACTATGTGTTTGTTGAGTGAGTGATGGATGGATGTTTGTGGGCTGAGTCAAGCAGAGCTGTCTGTGTGTTAGTTTGAATGACTGTAGCTGACTAATCCCTGAAATAGGATTTAGGGAATAGTCCACTGACTTTTGCATTATGCATATAGACTGCAACCCAAGAGGTTCAAATAACTGAACCCATCTTCCACCTAGAAGGTGTTATCTGCGACTCTGGCAGTCTTCCACAGGGACATGTCTAGGACAGCACATGGGAGATCTGCAGAGAAGCAGCCTCCTAGAGCCTGACTCATTCCTTTGCAATCCGAATGTTGGGCAGACAGCCTCTGAATTCAATTAGACATCTAGGTACACGACGGAAGGAAGGGACAAGGAAGGGAACGCTGGGGTTTGGTTTGCAGTTTTCATCAGTTGCTGGAAACTTCATTCCTGCTTGAGTGTGTTTGGCTAGGAGTGAGAAGTATTAATACATTTTCTTTTAAAAGGCTGTGAGAGAGAGAGAGAGAAAGAGAGACAGAAAGAGAGAGAGAGAGATTTGGGTAGAATAGGGCTCGACACAGATGAAAAGAGGATATTTGCTTTGGAAGCCGGGCAATTGACTCTGTGCAGAGGTAAAACCAAATATGATCATAGATACGACAGAGAAAGAGACATAAAGATTTCATGGAGCTATCCTTGAAATGAAAGGAAACTAAAGTTTATTGAACATCTCCCAGGAACTATCCATCTATGATCTCATATAATTCTCATGGTAATTCCAAAGTTAGGAGTAATTATCTCCATTTCACAGATATTAAGTCTCAAGGTCACACAAGGTAGAAATTGAGAGAGCTGAGATTCAAACGCAGGCCTCTAACTCTGGAGCCTCTGTGTTGTTACAGTTTCACGCTTTCTCAAGGGTGGGCACTGGAAGGGCTTAGAATCCCCTTCCTTCCCCTTCCACCTTCAGCCTGAGACCCTGAGTCCAGGAGGGCCACCTTGTTATCCTCTTGATTCAATTCATTTGGTTGGGTGGGGACACAGTGAGGGCCACAGGGACATAGGGCAGAGCTAGAACATTTTCATGAATAGGCTCCTCCCTTCCCAAGACCACATGGAACCAGCCTCCTGGGGCCTGACACCTTTGTCCCCTGTATGCTGGATTTACTTAGGGAGCCTCTTCTATGTGCAGGGCACCATGGGTGCCTCAGAGGTCAATAATAATAATAACCAGCATTTACTGAGCAGTTACTATTTGTCAGACTGGAACACCCAGGATACCTGCATCATGGCACTTAACCCTCTGAAGTTGCTCCCTTTAATCTCCCTGTGTCACAAACCAGGCATGAAGCTCATCTTATCCCTAAGATGCCCAAGAATACTCAGAGTGTCCCAGAGCCTGAATTCAAACCCACTTATGCCTGACCCCCAGCACCCAAACTCTTAAGCACTGAGCTTTGCTGTCCCCAGGGGAAAAGAGAATTGTGCTGTTCTTTCTTGGGCAGGGTGGTCCCTCCTCTGACTCCTTTCTTGGCTCTTCCAGGAGATAGCAGACACTGAGCAGTGCTTAGGAGCAGTGGTGCTGAGTGTTTGGAGGGAAACGGAAGGGAGTTAGCTCCCCATATTATATCTCGGTGGCAGCCTCTGGGCCTCCACATAATCCTGCCCCACCACCTCAGCCCTGCTCCTCCTTTTCTGAGCTATGTGGTCAGAGTTGGCCTCTACTGGTCAGGGAGCTTCTGCAGAGTGAAGGCCTGTGTGTGTGTTTGCGTGTAGTCCCCATGCTACCCTGTCACTTGCCCCTCATGCCAGCTGCCCCTTCTGTCTTGAGTACCAGCATGCCCCTTGAGCCTTTGTACACTGGCAGTTGTGTGGCCCATTGCCACTCCCTTTTCTTCTGGAGCATTCACTGAACACTGCCAAAGGTGAGAAATCTCAGGGGACTAGAGAGGTGACAAGCTTTTCCAAGGTCACACAGCAGGTTGTAGCAGCCTGGGATTTTGACACCTCCTTTTCTTGTTTCCACATGAACAAAGAGTGTTGTGTCTCTTCCTTCCATGGCACACCACTGGCCTCAAGCTTGATGACGCCTTGTTACCCAGAACCAGAGCTCCCATCCTCACACACAGAGAGCCTCCCTGGTATCCTCCTTGCTTCAAACTGCTCTCAGGTTAGGAAGGCCCAGGGAATCTTCTATTGGAAGCAAATGGGCTTTCTCAGCCCCTGAGTCTACTGCCCCTCAAACCCCTGGAGTTGAGCCCCCACCCCTGCTTTCACACCCCAGCCAGGGAAATGGCTGTGGCAAAGGTGGTTCAGGGAGTCATGTGGTACCTGCCTGGCTTCAACCACAGGAGGAAACAAAGGCCCAAGGTCCACTCGCATTTGACACAAGCCCCCCTCAGTGTAAGGCAGGCATTCGAAGCCAGGGTCTTTCACGGTTAAAATAATATCCTCTGTCATCACTGCAGCGAACAGTTTCTTGGCTCTATTTTTACAATTCTTGTTTCAGATTTCTTCAAGGCAAGACTTTCCCAGGAGCTCGCTGAATCAGATAGTCCTCGAGGGAACCCAGGGGAAAGTTGGCCTGGGAGTACCGCACGCCCACCAGTGGGGGCCCTTCCTCAGGAACCATGTGGTCACCTGCTCCTCCCCCACGTTTTGGGAAGACATAGAGAGGACAGATCTGGGATCTGCCAAGGCCAGTCTCAGAGCCCTGACCCTTCAGTGACCATGTATTTGGCTAAATCCATCTGTCAGAGCCTGCAGAGCCTCATTCACTCACCAACATACAAGCCCCTAATTCTGGAGGGCCTTCTGTTCTGTGGCCCAGGACTGCGGCGAGCTGGTGCAAACTCCTGCAATGACAGGTGAAGACACTGAGGCCAAGGCAGAGCCCAGGTCTCTTCTTGGCCAGAGTGTCCCTCCCTGCCTCACAGCTCCCCTTTGAGGAGGCCTGCACCAGGAGAACCATCTCCTCCATTCTCTTTCTCTCGACTCTAATTTCTCATTTAAAAATAATAATTATATATATAATATATATCATATAATACATGATATATAATATATATCATATAATACATGATATATAATATCATATTATATATTATATGATATATAATATATACTATATATGTCATATATCATATATTATATATAGTTATATATAATATATATTATATCATATGATATATAATATATTATGAACATTATAAATATATTATATATTATAAATATATAAACATATATATTCTATATAATATGTATTATATAATTATATATTCTATATAATATGTATTATATAATATATCATATATTATATATTATATAGAATATATAGAATATCATATATTATATATTATATGATATATAATATATGTTATATAGAATATATATTTATATATTATCTATATCATATATAATATATATTTTCAGCTGGTCATGGTGGCTCACCCCTGTAAACCCAGCACTTTGGGAGGCCGAGGCAGGCAGATTTCTTGAGTCCAGGAGTTCAAGACCAGCCTGGGCAACATGGCAAAACCCCGTCTCTACAAAAACACACAAAAAATTAGCCAGGCTTGGTGGCGCGGTGGGAGGTGGGATCCTGAGGTGGGAGGATCGCTTGGGCCAGGAAGGTTGAGGTTGCAATGAGCTGTGTTTCTGCCACTGCACTCCAGACTGGGTGACAAAGTGAGACCTTGTCTCAAAAAAAAAAAAAAAAAAAAAAATTTTGTAAAGAGATTGAGGTGAAGCCAAACTCCATGGGCTACATTTAACTTGTGTTCTCTTCCTGTGGAAACAGAGAATTCTGGGCTTGGTCCTGCTCCTGTAAGCCGACACTTTTGTGCTTCCGCACCAGGTCCCTGGTAATTAGGCCTCCAGGTGACTTCTCTGAGGCTCAGAGGGATCATTTGCCTGAACCAGGGAGGGGACTTGTGATAGTCTCAGAGCAGGGAGGCATTGCTCCCAGTCTGGGGGTAGGAGGGGACCCACCCCCATCCTGAGAGTGTAATTGTTTCTGTGAGTGTAAGAAGCTTTAATTGAAGCAAACCATCAGGTTGGTGTGAACAGCTCACAAATTACACTGTTGAGAACAAATACTATGGAAATTTTCTTCAGAAAATACAGAGAGAGAATGGTATATCCTGCCAGATATTTGCACCAAACTGTTAGATGTGGAACTAATTAGCTAATGTCGTTTAAGTTTTGAGTCTCATGTTTGTTTGTATTTCTTTTATTCTAACGTAACTCTCTTTAGTATAATGGCATGGTATGTATATATAAATGTATCTGAAAGCCTGCAGTTTAGAAGGAGCTCCTCCCCTTAGCGGTTTCTCTTTTATACTGCAATCAAGAGGCAGCAATATGTCCAACTGTCCCTTGTAACTGCCTCACTCCAGAATTGCATCACGTCCCTCACTGCTGAAGGGATATGATTCTTGCACCTCACATGGGGACCTTCTTGGACCCTCTCTGTGCCATTTTTACAGCCCAATACATGAAATTTGCACTATTTTTAATCTAATGCTGTTTCATTTCACATTTTTTAGGATGGGTTAAGAAAAAAAAGTTGTTAATTTTATTTATTTATTCATTCATTTATCTATTTATTCATTTTATTTGTTTCTTTCTTGGTTTGGGTACTCTCCAATACAGCCTGAAACATCAGCTTAGGTGCAGGCAAATTTTTGAAAGGTGATTCCAGGGAGTAGAAGTGAGCAAGTGGGGGACTGAGACGAGAGAAGGAAGAAAAGTCAATAAAGGGCGAGTTATTGAAGCAAATCAAAGCTGGTTATTGCCATGGTTCCCTGAAGCTCAATCTCTCTGGGGGCTCTCTAAGAAACTGTGTAGAACGCTTTCAAAATTGTCCCCCTGAATAGGAGGCTGGGGCATTTCCATGCCAATTCCCATCCCCCTTTGACTGAGGGTTTCTCTGGGGGATGTCAACTCACCCACTCTTCTGGGCTATACTTGTATGGGTTGTCCTGGTGGCTTTGGAGGAAGCCCTGAGGCAGGAAAATGGAGAGAAGCTCAACATTGCTGTGCTTAGTTCATTATGGGATTAGTTCATTACAGTGACAAGCTGAAGTCAAAGGGTAGAAATGCATCTGCTTTTGAATATTTCTTTCGAATATTCCTCATTCGAAAGAAAAAGAAGAAAAAGAAAAAAACACCCAGGTTTGCAGTGGTGTACACAAATGCCTATGGTACAGAAGATAAAATATGTGAAGAAATTGGGCAATGAGGGGAGAAAATAATAGAAGAAAAATTCTCTTGGGGCTTCTTAGCAGCCAATGCAAGGAGGGAAACAGATTAGTTGTACAATTTAGTGTCCACAAAACAAAAGCAAACTGTTGCTCAGGCAAACATAACCTTCCCCATGGTCCTCAGAGCAAAGGCACAGTGTCACTGTGCTGACATTGACATTCCAATGGTGAATGCAGTGGCTGCTCTTCTCTCTGTCTAATGTCATCACAGTCTGATGGTGGGAGAATTTGTCCTCAAAACAACAAACAGCATAATATTCTCAAACCCATTGTTTGGACAGGACTCTTTCAAGTAAGTAGCAGGAGCCCAATTCAACTCAGCCTTAACAGGTAGGGGCATTTGTTGGCTTGTGTGCTTTGACGGGCAGGAGTGGACTGACTCGGGCAAAGCAGGGGCCAGGGGTTCATATGTCACCAGGATTCAGTCTCTGTCTATCCAGATACAGAAGGTATTAATGGGCAGGTTACATCTCTGCAGCCAGACACAGGCATTTCCATCCCGCCAGAATGACATGGGATGGAAAGAGGAAAGCTGAGCAGCACAATGCAGCATATGTCCCCTGTACCCACTGTAACCTTCCAGGGCCCAGGTTGACTTCAATACTCGAGGGGTGGGAATGACATAATATGGTTCTCACCATGCACAATAATTTAAGATGATTTTTGAAATTATCCAAGTGATATGAAACAAACCTCCTGTTTGCTTAAGGAAAGGGATGAAATTCCATTGTAGTAAGGAAAGGGGTATGGCAGAGCTATTGGTGCCCCACCTATAGCACCTTTGTGTCACCACTCACATATGCTGACAGCACTTGAAACTATCCTGTGGGCTTTCTCTTTCCACAGGATTGTGTTTGACTTACTCATGGGATGGGGCAGAAGTATGGGTAGCTAATGTCGCCAACAAATGACAGTTGGGAATTGGAGGATATATACCCCAGCTTCCTCATCCCAGCACCACTGAAGCATGGTCTGTGTTGTCTTCCAGGGTACCCTGGTAGATTGAGCCACAGTTGACTACAGCTGTAACCTGCCCATTAATACCTTCTGCACTGGCTTCCTTTCCTTTGCTCACCTTCTCACCCTGTGCTGGGGCCTCCTGGGATCATCTTCCATATAAATTACTTGCACTTAAATTCTTGTTTTGTCTGCTTCCAGAGGAACCCAACCTATGAGTGGTCTTATTTATTCTCTCATTTCCAGAAACATTAATTATACTCCCCCACCTTCAAGTTGCTAAAATTATAAAGTCTACTCTCTGAGTTGGCAGATTTGTGTTGTTTGCTTAGAGATGAACAAGGTCTCCCAAAGGCAGGAGGAGGTCAAGATGACCCCTCTTAGATTTGGAAATCCCCAGCACAGCCAATTCCTAAAAGAGAGAAAGATGGCTTACCCTTGACTTGTAATGGGGCTCACATGCTCCCATTACAGTTCAAGGTCTGGGTTTTCTGCTCAATGTCCAATCATGGCAACAAGACTTATCGCTCAGCTTTAAACTTCTATTGGTTGTGTTAGATACAGCACAGCCCAGGAAAGAATAGCAGGGTTTGCAATCTGGATTCCTAGCTGAGAGACTACATCAGCACTTTGTTCCCGAAGCCACAGGGAACCGTGGATTTGTAGTCATTTCTAATGGAGTCCAGACAGGTTATAGCATAAGAATGAAGATAATTCCCCTGCCTGAAATATATGGATTTATTTCTAGGCATACCTCTGTCTGGTTGAAGTAGGACCTTCATTTAAATGTAAATGTGGGTTTTGAGAGTGCTCTTAAAGAAAGAAAAATACCCAAGCCGACATCCAGGGCCTGGGGGAAGGTGCACAGGATGGCTTGCGTGAACTAATGCTGCAAAGGTGCACAAGGGGCAGCCATGAAAAAGATAAGTCAAATGAAAGTGAAAAGATAATAGATAAGCTGAGGATTAGAAAATAAGATGATTTCATGTAGGGTGGGTTGGCTGCGGAGACCTATGGAAAGGCATTCATACTAGAAGAGTTGTCTAGTTGAACTTCCCAGGATGAAAATGCTCTCTGTGCTGTTCACAAGTGGTTATTGAGCAGTTAAAATGTGCTATAAGAAACTGAATTTTTAATGTTATTTAAGTAATTTAAATGTAAATAGCCATTTGTGGCTAGAGGCCATATAAGGCAGCACAGGTCTAGAAGCTTATTGGTTGGCGAAGGCTTAGAAACA
This sequence comes from Homo sapiens, assembly GCF_000001405.40. Classification (NCBI taxonomy): domain Eukaryota; kingdom Metazoa; phylum Chordata; class Mammalia; order Primates; family Hominidae; genus Homo; species Homo sapiens. The sequence goes on along the minus strand of NC_000003.12, from coordinate 40,892,209 downwards.
GACCATTCACCCTAGGATATTAGGCCTGGTAATTCTCCAGGTGGAGGGGGTATATCAGAATTACATCGTCGGGAGAAGAGGCCTTTCAACAACACCCATGTTCTTTTTCTGATAAGCACCTCCTCCTACCATGGGAGGAGGGGTCCTGCGCAATCCTGCGGTGAGCCACCATCATCTAAGACAGTGTTTGTCCCTCAGGGGTCCGGGGACAGCAAAAGAAGTTGAGAACTCCTGAGTGAGTGAGCATAAAAATGGAAATTTTCTTTTTTTAAATATATTTTTAGAGACAAGGTCTTACTATGTTGCCCAGGCTGGTCTTGAACTCCTAGGCTCCAGTGCTCCTCTGGCCTTGGCTTCCCAAAGTGCTGGGATTATAGAAGTGAGCCATTATGCCCAGGCCAGAAAAAGAAAAAAGGTCAAGAAGGCATAATCTTATTTAGAATTGATCTTGTTCTGGTATATTGTTAAAGATCCATTTCAGTTTTCTGTAAGACAAGTGGGGAAGCCATATCTATTTACCCTGTCTATGTGGAAGGCCTGCTGTGTGCTCAGCTCTGTGCTAGGCATAGGACCTGTCATGGAAGGGGTGGGGAGGTAGGGAGGTGAGCCATCTGTCCCTGGTCACACATTCATGACTGGGTTTATATACATGTATGTGTATTTATCTTATGCTTGAAATGTGGTATAAATTCATCTTATTTATCATTCCAGGAATGCTCTTGGGAATGGCACAGATTTATTTCACTTTGTTTTTGTGTTTGCATAATTTGGTAAATATAAACACTGAAATTACAACTAAATATTTGTGAACCATGACTGGGCATTTCTTTGATCTTGGCCTGACTTAGCTCGCTTCACTAGGCTCACTCACGCATCTGTGGTCCGCTAGTAGGTGGACTAGAGCTGGCTTTGATCATCTTCATCAGACTCTCTTACATATCTGGGGCCTATGCTGGGATAACTGGGGTGACTTTGCCCTATCTTGTTTCTCATGGTCCAGCAGGCTATCCCAGGCTTGTTCACATGGCAGATGCCAGGGGCCTCAGATGGTGAGTGAGGCATGCAAGGCTTATTGGGGGCCTCAGCTTGAAACTTTAACGTGTTACTTCTGCCACATTTTATCAGTCAAAGAAAGTCATGTGGCCAGCTCAGATTTTAGGAATGGGAATTTAATTCTTTTTTTTTTTTTTTTTTTTTTTTTTTTGAGATAGGGCCTCACTCTGTTGCCCAGACTGGCGTGCAGTGGCACCATCTCGGCTCACCACAACCTCCGCCTCCGAGTTCAAGTGATTCTCCTGCTTCAGCCTCCAGAGTAGCTGGGATTACAGGCGCATGCCACTACCGCCCAGCTAATTTTTGTATTTTTAGTAGAGACGGGTTTCACCATGCTGGCCAGGCTGGTCTCAAATTCCTGACCTCAAATGATCCACCCCCCTTGGCTTCTCAAAGTGTTGGGATTATAGACATGAGCCACTGCACCCGGCCTAATTCTGTCTCTTGATTGGAAAGGCAGCAAAGTCATGTTGCAAAGGGGTGTGGATACAAAAAGAGAAAGAGAAATAATAATGGACATTTTTGGCAATCTACACACGAAGCTCAGTGATCATTCTAATGGGATTATAGGGTGATGTGGAGTAGTATTTGAGGTTTTAAGCAGAAACACACAATCAGAGGAGGGAGAGATACCCTTGTGCAGAAATGTAAAATTGAGGTGGGATGAAAAGTTAGCATATATGGCAAATAAAGACATTGTCATTGACCCTACCCTCATCAGGAAAGCATACATGAAAGATTTTCTTAATGGAAGAGAGGGCTTAAGTTGATTCAGACTTCCATTTATTTCTATCTCCTTTTTGAGCATTGATCCAAATTTGGATTTTGCAAGACAGCTGGCTATAATGTGGACTTTCCTAGACAACTTTGGCACAGGGAGAAAGAAATTGATATATTTAGAATTAAAGTCTGCTAAGGTCCTAGAGACTTAGGTTTTGTTTATTTTCTCTTGTTTTAATGACTTTTTGGTTGCTGTTGCTGCACTGTTATATCTATGTGGTGTTGTTAATTTGCAGTTCATTGGTGCCCCGTTGTACCAATGTACACAATAAGATAAATACACTAGAGCAATATTAATAAAGATGAGTAGTTATGGCAGAGTAAGATAATAGTGGCTGCAAACTTAGAAGGAAGGGTGTATGTTTAATTCCATAAGAAATAGTAAGCTATGTATACTTGGCATGAAAAACGTTCAACAGTCAGTATCCATAACTTGGGTACATCACAGCCCTCGGTACCCTCCAGTGTACTTATCCAGCCATGGAACGGCAGGCCCTTGCTTGGCTGGCTCATGGGCACCATCTCTTTAATTTCTTACAGAGAAAACATCTCTAAAGCATGGAGTTCTTTGAGTGAGGCACCTTAAACAGTCAGAAGAGAATGGCCCTGACTGATCTCTGAGTTTGGAATGACATCAACTCTACCCAGATTACTGGGGAAATAGCAGAACTATTTCCTCAGCAGGTTTTAAGGGAATTTGTTTAGACAGATCCAGGAAATACAATTTGATAACTCAGGGTTTATCTCACCTGCCACTGTCAAATTGGAATCTTTCCTAGAGTGAGAAATGCCGTCAAAAATTGCAGTGTGAGTTAAAGTATATAGCTGCATTGGCAGGAATTTCTCATTTCTTATTGGCTGTTAGGGAGCAGACAGCTCTGAAAAAGAGGAGAGGGGGCAGAGGAACCCCCTTTGCAGTCCCTCTTACATTGTCTTTGGGATCTGAATGTAGACTAGGTGATCCTCTTTCTCTAATATAATCTATAAAACCCTTGTTTTTATGTCAGCTCGACCTTTGCTTTTAAGTGTGACCCATAGACAAGCAGCATCAGCATCACATGGAAGCTGGTTAGAAATGCAGATCCTGGACCTCCCCTCACACTTCCTGAATCAGAATCTGCCTTTTAACAAGATGCTCTAGTGATGAGTGGCACATTAAAGTTTGAGAAACTCTGGTCTTGAGAAATCAGTTTATTGGAGTCATTAGAAACAGAGCCTATTTCAGGTAGGGGTTGATGCTTAATATTGCCTATCACTAGCTCCATAACCTTGAACACCTTTCTTTGTCCCAGACATTGTGCCAGGCAGTGGGTTACCTTAGCAAGCAAAAAACAGCCCTTCCCCTCAAGGAGGTTATAATCAGAGAAGCAAATGGGTCTTTGGAAATCAGTTCAATAAGCTTCCCGATAAGAGCAAAAGTCAAATGTTATGGGAACAAAGATAAGAGGTATGCAACCCAGTCTTAAGGGCAGAGATAGCTTCCCAAAAGTGATATTTAAGGCTGAAAGCAGTGGCTTATGTCTGTAATTCCACCATGTTGGAAGGCCGAGGTGGGCAAATCGCTTGAGCCCAGGAGTTTGAGACAAGTCTGGGCAATATGGTGAGACCTCGTCTCTACAAAGAATTAAAAAAAAAAATTAGACAGGTGTAGTGACACATGCCTGTAGTCCCAGCTACCTGAGAGGCTGAGGTGGGAGGATCTCGTGTACCCTGGAGGTTGAGGCTGCAGTGAGCCGTGATTGTGCCACTGCACTCCAGGCTGGGTGACAGAGTGACACCCTATCTCAAAATAAATAAATACATACATACATAAAATTTTAAAAAATCCTTTAAAACAGAAGTGATCTTTGAGCTGAAGCGTGAACAGACAGACAGCCATGGTTTTTCAACTAAGAAATGTGGTAGGGGGTGGCAAGGGAAAGTGGTGCACATTCAGCAGAGCGATTGGAACAGAAGCCACCTTGATTGCGCTGAGAAAAGATGGGAGGTGAGGATGTGGAAAGCGTTTACAGTTCAAGACTTTCTTAATGTTTGGCTCTGAGGAGCAGCTGGAGAGGATTAACATGGGTTGTGGAAAGATTTATTTTTTCAGATGGAAGCGATCTGATTATGTTATAAATACTGATGGGAAAGAACCAATGGGGTGGAGTAGGGGATAACAGAGTGGAGGAGATCCCTGGAAGCTGAGAGAGAAGAGATCCAGAGCACAGCGGGATGGGCCTTGTCTCAGCCCAATAATCACTGGGCTCCTGTATTTTACCAAGGTGGAAGGAGTAGAGGATGGAAATGATGCACGCCTGTTTATAACTTCAGCGGCAGAAAGTCAAAGGACCTCTCTGTAACCTGGCAGTAACTTTCCCTAGAGTGAGCATATACTGTTCAGCTGGGTAGGGGAGTACGTGAAGGAAATGGATAATTTACAGAAGAAAATGGAGAAATCAAGGGCCTGAAGTTCCTGATGAGGCTGAAGAACCAGGAAGAGTAGGAGCCACTGAGTGACACGTTCTCTTTGTTTGTCAAACATGTCAGCTCTGTGCATCTGTGCATGTTAATGTGCCAGTGACCTATTATCAACCCAATGTGCTAGCCCTTGTCCCTTACAAAGGTATTACTATTTTTTTTTACAAGACAAACATTTTATTTCAAAAGAGGCAAACCACAGATATAGTTTGGAATAAACAATTTCTCTGGTCTCAAAATCAAACCAAGCAGACTACTGACCATTATTCCTTTGTATAAGTGCCATTCATCTGGCTGGCACTTCCTGGCACCAAAACCAGCATCTAAGGAGTCTCTATGGGTTCCCATGGTGTCCCTGGGAACATGGTATCCTCTGTTCTGCATCAGCACTGTTTACATGGAAAGGGCTGCAGTAGTACTGGGAGCATCCTAGCAGCATAGCCCAAGTCAAATGCAGGGTCTGGGGAGTGGTTCACACCCCCTGTCCAGGCCTTGAGGGTTCTGTACCATTCCCAGCACCTCCTTAGCATCTGCTCACTTTCTCTCATGGTGTTAACACCTTCTGCATTAAATGTGACAGCTAGCTGACTACAACCTTGCTTTCTGACTAGACTACAAGCTCCCGGGAAAAGGACCACGTCCCTTCCATCGTTGTGGATCCGGTAGTGAGATCACAGGACTTTGCCTGGAATGTGTGCTCCATAAAGATTTGTTGATATAAATAGAATGCTCTGTTCCCAGCTGTTGGCCAGGGACTATGGTTGTCTGACTCCTGAATGGGAATACAACCGTTGCCTGAATATCACTCTCTGCCCTCTTCTCCATTTGATGTAGTCCCCTCAAGTCTTAGAGAATCCACAGAAAGAGTGGCATCCATACTTGTTTATCGGCTTTGCAAAATGAAGGAGTTTTATAGTTATAAGATGGTAACTTGCCATCATTTTTATTGGAAATGGTGACAAGAGAGCAGTGAGGAACTCTCAATGCTGCTCTGGAGCTGTGGGATTTCCTTTGTGATTGATGGTGTAGCCACTTTTCCTGTCACTGTCAACTGTTGCTTGGCCTTTTGCTGCAGGAATTATTGGAGTAGGAGGGTTTAGGAGGGCCATGTCTGAGGTCACTTGGATTTATCAACCTGGATTGCCAGCAGGAAACTGGTCAGTTTCATGATCAAGAGAGATGATTTCCTCCACACAATTACCACACGGCTCCACCCCCACTACTCCTGCTGCACTCGGTGGCTCCCTAAGCACTGATATGGGGTCTGACCAGGCGCACTCAGCCACAAGGGCATGCCATAATGGAATGTGGGCTTATTGGTGACACCAAACTTCCACTTGGAGAAAAGATTGACTATAGAAAATGTAATTACCTTTGAATCCACCAGTTCTGCAAATTTGTGTAAGATCACACAGGACTGGGCTGATTTGCTTTCATGATAGCTATGAAGGACAGGTTTGCTAACAAAACAAATAGATTAAACAAAAATGCAAACGGCATATTCAGACATCTTAAGGGGTCATTTTTCAAGCCCGTTAGCAAGGCTGTATGTAAATCCAGTGAGTTAGAATATTTATTGAAGTGATGCTGTTTAACTTTGTTTTTATAGGTGAGGAATCTTTCTTTTGCTCTTTTTCTCTCTCTCACTCTCTTTTTCTCTCTCTGTCTCTATCATTCTGTCTATCTTATGCACAACTCTAATAGCTGTAGCCAAAGAAAGAGGAACTCTTTGAGGTGGTTGGGTGGGACCTGGCAGGCTTCGATATCCCCTAACCATCTCATTCTTCTTGCACTGCCAGTGTTAGCCCCTTAAGAACCTCCACAGAGACCTGTGATATCAGGGAGGCCAGTTTAAAACCCACCAGTGTGACAGGTAGGGGCTTTATTTGTAGCTGTTTGATAAGCAGTTAGAGGTACCGTGCATGCTTTGTAGAAATAAGACTGCTTCTGAACAAAACATTCTCTAATCATGGCTGTTCATTCACCACAGACTTGGTTCTCATTAAAATAGTTCTTTCAATTAGCCCAAACAATTGTTTGGAGCTCTTCAAATAGAACAGGTATGGAGGAGAGGTGAGCGAAACATAATAACTGGGCTGCAGGTGGTCACACACTTTTGAAGAAGAACAATGGAATGAAGGACAGAGGTTACATGGGGCTGTGTCTGTGTCAGGAAAGGAGGCGGGAAGGGAATAGGGGAACACAGAGTTAAGAGGTGTGAAATGGTTATTCTTAGGAGCTTACGTGATACGCTTTCAAATGTGCTCAGTCAGCCAGGGGTGTGGAGCGATGTTGCCAGGAATGGCAGCTGCCAGCAGGCCTGTGCCATGTGCCTCCTGGAGGTTGATCTAGATGACATGGTCTCAGGGCTGGCAATTGAATCAGCAAGGAAGTAAAACTGCCTTTGCAAAAATTATAACTGAGGAAATTATGACATTGAAAGAGATCAGACCTAACCGACTCCATCTTGCTTCTAACTTTTAAGCTGTCCTTGTTTATTCCTGGGCATAGGCCCATCTAACCTTGAGAAGGAATTCAGTTTATGGTTTGATTCTGAAACAAAATTGATAACAGCCCTTCCCTAAAAGACCCCCTTCTTGCCTGGGGACAAGTCTGCCTTTGTAGGACTAAGAAACTAGCTACAAGATTGGAAATTATCATTTAGGGCTCATACAGCCTCTGGCTGCAAGAGTCTGAACCTCAAATTGCTACTGGGGATAACATCACTATCATAAAATCTAAAATCAGTGCTTGAGATATTTTGCAGACCCTGCACTGGATGGATCAGCCGACACCACCTAGATCAGTAATCTGGCTCAACCAGTTCTGCCAGCCCCTCCAGGAACAGAAGACAGCAAGAAAACCTCAATTCTATCCCCTATAATTCCATCTCCAACTTGACCAATCAGCACTCCCCACTTCCCAAGCCCCTACTCACCAAATTATCTTTAAAAACTCTGATCACTGAATGCTGGGAAGACTTATTAATTAATTAATTTATTTATTTATTTATTTATTTTGAGACTTAGTCTTGCTCTGTTGCCCAGGCTGGAGTACAGTGGCACGATCCTCAGCTCACTGCAACCTCCACCTCCCAGGTTCAAGCAATTCTCCTGGCTCAGCCTCCTGAATGGCTGGGATTACAGGCATGTGCCACCAAGCCTGGCTAATTTTTGTATTTTTAGTAGAGACGGGATTTCACCATGTTGGCCAGGCTGGTCTCAAACTCCTGACCTCAAGTGATCTGCCCGCCTCAGCCTCCCAAAGTGTTGGGATTACAGGGGTGAGCCACGGGATCTGGCCTCAGAGAGACTGATTTGAGTAATAATAAAACTTCAGTTTCCCGCACAGCTGGCTCTGTGTGAATTACTTTTTCTCCATTGCAATTCCCCTGTCTTGATAAATAGGCTCTGCCTGGGCAGCAGGCAAGATGAGCCCGCTGGGTAGCTACAGAAGTGCCTTCAGCCAAGGAGCTATGGCTTGTGCACACCTATGCTTGGATCAGTCACCCAAGCTGGAATGCCAGGCAGCAAAGAAAGAGTCTGGTTGCTCTGATCCTGGTTTAGGGATCATAAAGGCCACTGCAAGGGGAAGCCTGACCAGCATTCGGAAGCACCTAACTGTGGCCAAAGTTGCCAGACCCTCTAAGGGCTGCTGACCCTTGTGTCTCCCTGTGGCCACCATGATTGTCCTCTGATATATTCTGGGATGCTGCTGGTCCAAGTGGTCAAAGATGCTTAAGGGTTTGCACTGTTGAACTAACTCTCTCATTCTGGGTATTTGTGTGTCCTCCCTTTAAGAGTGGGACACATGGCCTATTCCTTCTGTTTCCCCAGGAAACATTGTGTTAGGTGTTTGATGTATGTTTAAGGATGAATAGAAGAGAGGATGAGAAGTAAGTCAAGAGGGCAGGGGGAGGCGTCAAGCTCTGTGATTCTAGACCTTAAGCAATGGCCAGCCTCATGGGCTGCCTTGAGAACCAGCTTGCTGCATGTTTCCCACAGGCCAGCCGTGCCCATCAGTCCCAGGCTTTGTGATCACCCTGCTGCCCTGCACAACCCCATCCCCACCAAAGCAAGGCAGCAGCAAGTGTTCAAGATTCTCTTGCCAGAAAGCTGCAACTCTCACAGCACTTTCTTTCCATTAATTTGGAACCGTATTCTGGAAATTTTCAATGTGCACAAAGGTAGACAGAATAGTATAATGAAATCTCATGTACACATTATGCAAACATCAACATTTTGCTAATCTTGTTTTATCTATATCCCACTTTCTTTGCTGAAATATTTAAAAGAAAATCTCAGTTATTTCATTTCTGTATATTAAATAGATAAACATTCATTTTTAACATACCCATAATATATTATCACTAAGATTATCTAATAAACTATCTTTGTTCAAATTTCCCAGATTATCTCAAAAATTTTTTTATAGTTGGTTTGATTAAATCATGATCCAAATGAATTCCATGCATTGTTTTTTAAAATACATCTCATTTCTTTTAACCTGTGTCTTTTCTCACGTTTTCAATGCCATTTATGTACAAGCATGCCTCACTTTATTGTTCTTTGCTTTATTGTACTTTGCAGATTATTGCACTTGTTACAAATTGAAGGTTTGTAGCAACCCTGAGACGAACAAGTCTATTTGTGTCATTTTTTGAACAGCATATTTTGTGTCATATTTTGGTACTTCTTGCAATATTTTGAACTTTTTCATTATGATATCTGTCATGGTGATCTGCGATCAGTGATCTTCGATGTTACTGTTGATACTATTTTGGGGTGCCATGAACCACACCCATAGAATAGGGTAATCTCAATGTATAAATGTTGTGTGTGTTCTGACAACTCCACTCACCAGCTGTTCCTCCATCTCTCTTCCTTCTTTGGGCCTCTCTACTCCCTGAGACACAATATTGAAATTAGGCCAATTAATAACCCTATGATAGCCACTAAGCATTTAAGTGAAAGGAAGAGTCACATGTCTCCCACTTTAAATCAAAACCTAGAAATAATTAAACTTAGTGAGGAAGGCACATCAAGATAGGCCAAAAGCCAAGACAGGCCAAAAGCTAGGCTTCTTGTGCCAGTTAGCCAAGTTATGAATACAAAGGAAAAGTTCTTGAAGGAAATTAAAAGTGCTACTTCAGTGAATGCATGAATGATAAGAAAGTGAAGCAGCCTTTTTGCTGATATGAAGAAAGTTTTAGTGGTCTGGAAGAAAGATCAAAACAGCCACAACATTCCCATAAGCTGAAACCTAATCCAGAGCAAGCCTAACTCTCTTCAATTCTATGAAGGCTGAGAGAAGTGAGGAAGCTGCAGAAGAAAAACTTGACACTAGCAGAGGTTGGTTCATGAGGTTTAAGAAAATAAATCATCATCACATCATAAGAGTGTAAAGTGAAACAGCAAGTGTTGATGCAAAGCTGCAGCAAGTTATCCAGAAGTGCTAGCTAAGATCATTGATGAAGGTGGCTCCACTGAACAACAGATTTTCAGGGTAAACAAAACAATGTTCTATTGGAAGAAGATGTCATCTAGGGCTTTCATAGCTAGAGAGGAGAAGTTAGTGCCTGGTTTTAAAGTTTCAAAGGACAGACTGACACTCTTGTTAAGAGCTAATGCAGCTAGTGACATGAAGTTGAAGCCAGTACTAATTTACCATTCTGAAAATCCTGGGGCTCTTAAGAATTATGCTAAATCTACTCTGCCTATGCTTTATAAATGGAACAGCAAAACCTGCATGACAGCACATCTATTTATAGCATGGTTTACTGAATATTTGAAGCCCCCTGTTGAGACCTATGAATCAGAAAAAAAGATTTCTTCCAAAATATTACCACTCACTGTCAACGCATCTGGTCACCCAAGAACTCTGATGGAGATGTACAGGAACATGAAGGTTGTTTTCATGCCTGCTAACACAACATCCATTCTGCAGCCCATGGATCAAGGAGTAATTTTGACTTTCAAGTCTTATTACTTAAGAAATATATTTCATAAGGCTATAGCTGCCTTATGATAGTGATTCCTCTAATGAATCTGGACAAAGTAAATTGAAAGTCCTCTGGAAAGCATTCGCCATTCTAGACGTCATTAAGACCATTCATAATTTATAGGAGAAGGTCAAAACATCAACATTAACAGGAGTTTGGAGGAAGTTGATTCCAACGTTTATGAATGACTTTGAGGGTTTCAAGCCTTCAGTGGAGGAAGTAACTACAGATGCAGTCGAAATAGCAAAAAAGAACTAGACTGGGCACGGTGGCTCACGACTGTAATCCTAGCACTTTGGGAGGCTGAGGTGGGAGGATTGCTTAAGCCCAGGAGTTCAAGATGAGCCTGGGCAATATGGTGAGACCCTATCTCTATTTAAAAAAAAAAAAGAAAGAAAAAGAAATAGCAAGAGAACTAGAATTAGAAGTGAAGCCTGAAGATGTGACTGAATTGCTGCAATCTCATGATTCAAGTTGAATGAATGAGGAGTTGCTGCTTATGCATGAGCCAAGAAAGTGGTTTCTTGGGATAAAATCTGCTTATGGTGGCTGGGTGTAGTGACTCACGCGCCAGTAGTCCCAGCACTTTGGAAGGCCTAGGTGGATGGATCAAGAGGTCAGGAGTTCAAGACCTGGCCTGGCCAATATGGTAAAACCCTGTCTCCACTAAAAATACAAAAATTAGCTGGGCATGGTGGCATATGCCTGTAATCCCAGCTACTTGGGAGGCTGAGGCAGGAGAATTGCTGGAACCCAGGAGGTGGAGGTTGCAGTGAGCCAAGATGGCGCCATTGCACTCCAGCCTGGGCAACAGAGCAAGACTCCATTTCAAAAAAAAAAAAGAATCTGCTTATGGTGAAGATGCTGTGAACATTGTTGCAATGACAACAGGGATTCAGAATGTTTAGAATTGAGAATATTACATAAACTTAGTTGATGACGAACTGGCAGGAGTTGATAGGATTGATTCCAATTTTGAAAGAAGTTCTACTGTAGGTAAAATGTTATCAAACAGCATCACATGCTACAGATAAATCTGTTGTGAAAGGAAGAGTCAACTGATGCAGCAAACTCCCTTGCTGTCTGATTTTAAGAAATAGCCATAGCTACCCCAGCTTTCAGCAACCACCACCCTGATCAGTCAGTAGCCATCAACGCTGAGGCAAGACCCTTCACCAGCGAAAAGATTATGACTCACTGAAGTCTCAAGACAATCATGAGCACTTTTTCTCTTTTTTAGCAATAAAGCATTTTAAAATTAATGTACGTACTTTTTATTTTTATTTTATTTATTTATTTATTTTGAGATGAAGTCTTACTCTGTCACCCAGACTGGAGTGCAGTGGTACGATCTCGGCTCACTGCAACCTCCGCCTCCCAGGTTCAAGCCATTCTCCTGCCTCAGCCTCCCAAGTAGCTGGGACAACAGGTGTGCACCACCATGTTCCGCCAATTTTTTGTATTTTTAGTAGAGATGGGGTTTCACCATGTTGGCCAGGCTTATCTCAAACTGCTGACCTCAGGGGATCCACCTGCCTCGGCCTCCCAAAGTGTTGGGATTACAGGCGTGAGCCACCACGCCTAGCCCAGTATGTACTTTTTAGACATTGCTTTTGCATACCTAATAGACTGTAATATATTGGAAACATAACTTTTGTATACCCTTGGAAACAAAAAATTTTGTGTGGCTGGCTTTATTGCAATATTTGCTTTATTGCAAGGGTGTGGAACTGACCCCACAGCATCTCTGAGGTATGCCTGTATTGAAGGAGTCAGGTTCTCTGTCCCATAGAATTCCTCATATTCTGGTTTTGGCTTCTTTCTTCCTTATAATGTTGGTTAGCGTGTTCCTCTATCTCTTGAATTTCCTGTAAACTGGTAGTTAGATCTAGATGTATGATTAAATCCAGGCTTAATTATTTCTGGAAAGAACACTGCTTAGGGAATGTTGTGTTCTTGCTAATTTGAGGAGACACCTAATACTCACAGCATCTTCTTAGCTCACGTTAAATGCATACTTACTAAATGCATGCTGTTGTTTTTCTTAAATTTAACATACTTTTCTTGAATTACAATCTGGCCCCACTTGTAGCTTCTTACTATTGACTTTATGTTTTATCCCAAAACTGTCATGAACCACAGGGTACTCCAAGCAGCTGACACCTCTTGGAGATCAGCAGGTACAACACAGGAGGTTATTCCTGAAGTTCCATTTATTGTCCCTAATTATCATTATACCCAGTTGTTGATTTTTAACCTCTCAAGTACAGATGAAGTTTTGCCTGGGATAAAATAGTCCATGGTATTGGCCAGGTACTGTGTTCCATGCTAGTCCTCAGACCTCCGAGGAATCAGGCATGTTTTTACAAAGCAAAGCAATCACTTTCACAGGTCTGAGTTACTGATACTGATAAACCATTTGTAAGTTTGCATGTATTATTTAACAGAAACTCCCACGTGCATCTAAGCAAGTTTGCATAAATTGATTAAAGAATAATTCTCAGCTGCAATAATATTAATTATTGTCCTGGAGCCCCCAATGATAGTTTTAGGAATTCAATCTGAAATGCCCTCCATGCTACCAGGACTTTCATTGGTGAAATTTAGGCAGTTGCTTGAGGGCTGTGGCATCTCAAAGCAACTACAGAGAACAAGGTCATTGTGAGATTAGCCCCAGGTTCTGCTTGCCTTCTTTCTTCCTTTCTACCCAGGAGCCAGGGAGGTAATTGTCATTGGCTAGGGAAAGTTAACCCAACTACTCAAATTAAATGGATGCAATTCTCACAATCAAGGGCTTAAAATAGACATGTAGTCTCAATTGTTCTATTGTGGAGACCTGTCTTGAGAAAACATGATCCATTCACAGAGGAGGATGGGATGGCCTCTTCTAGGTCCAATTTTGAATTTCATGAAGATTCCCTTGGGAACCTGGAGCCACTAAGGAAATGGAACTATCAGGTCCTGGAAGTGAATGTTTGCCAGTCACACTGAAGTTAGAACATCTTTGTAGAAAAAATTGGTGTGATTTACTTTACTCATAGAGTCATACTTGATTTGAACCCTGGGCTTTGCTTTGGTTGAACATGCTATTATGGCTGCATAGGCAGGGGTCAACCAAGAGCAAATTTCTGGAGGAGGGCCACATTGCCACAATCAGCTGATTAAAACTCAAGTGGGTTTTCAAAGCCTCGCTCCAGGTCAGGTTATCTTTGCATCTGTTTTTCCACTACCATTAGAGGAATAACAGCAGCCTACTTTGGAGAAAAAAAAAATGATCGGAAAAACATAGTGAGAGCATTTACCAACACAGTATTCATATTTCTCTGAGCCCTGGGGCTCTGGACCACCACAGAGAAAAGTTTTGTTTAACCTTTCCATGATGGGAAAACACTCATCCCTAATGCCAGCTCTCCACCTTCCAGCCGAGTCAAACTGCAGTAGTGGGAAATTGCTAGGGAAGCCGGCTTTGCAACAGTGAACAAATGTCTTTGTGAGAGAAGAAGGCTGCTCTGAGCAGTGGCTAATGGGGCTGCTTAGTGGAATTTTTTTCCCTTTTTAACCAAACTGAGCCTTGCTCCTTTCTGGCAGGCAGACAGGCCCACTCTTCCAAGTACGCAGGAAAGTTCTGTTTTGACAAGCGCACACATTCTTTTTCAGAAAGCCACAGAGGCAAACGCCTTTGTTGCAGACAGACCAACTCCCTTCCAGCCCAGGAGGTGAAAACTCTTTCATGAGCCACATAATGGGAGCAGCAGTTGTGCTTGCTTATACAGTTCCCGAAAAGTACATAACTTCCATTATGTAGCTTCCACATACGGAATGTACTTCCTCTCGCAAACCCAAACGCTAGCAGGGCTGTTTGTCCGGCACTGGGCCTGGCAAGGAGCAGGAGGTTGGCAGGACTCATGAGGCATTTTTCTGTTGGGCTTTGGTTTCCTGGCCAGTTGAACTCAGTCCAATTATTGTCCCAAAGTTCTGCCAGATAAAACAAGGAGAGAGCTTTTCTAGATGCCTGGCCTTGGGACTAGGAGATGGGGGAGGGAAGGTGCAAGCTGAATGGGGGTGGGGTGGGGCACACCCAAGGCCAGGGCTCAGGAGTCCCCTTTCCAAGCAAGGGCTCTGACTCCGCCCTGTAGAATGTGCAGCAGCCTCCAGAGACCTTGCCCTTCGGGTGAATGCCTGGCACTCAGGCCATTCTCCCTCTGGCATGGGGCCTGATCTTAGCATCATTTGTGATGGAAAGTCAAATTTCCTGGAACATAGGGTTAGCTTTTCAGCAGACTAATCCCATTTGCAATATACTATACAGTATTCCGAGCAGAATTGGCCCTATCCAGCAGCAGTTTAGAAGGCTGCTTCCTTGAGATGGTATCAATAACAGTGCAAGATACTGCCCACTTCCAAAGTGTCTCCCTTTACTGCCCTTCCATTGCACTTGAACTTCCTACTGTTGGAACCAGTATTTAAGAGTCACTAAAGCAATGTCTTCAGAAAATTCTATTTAAGTGCATGTATTAAATTCATAATTATGCCCACATTAAGATGCATAAATACATGTGAGCAAATTACAAAATATATGTAGGCTTAACCCCTATGGGTCTAGTGGTTACTCCCCATCCCTCCTTCTTAAGGAATGGTTGCATCTTTTCGACAGAAGAGGCTGAGGATAAATGTCTGCTCTGGAATCTCCTCACATTGCCCTGGTTCCATCTTTATCTTACTTCCTTCAACAGTCCATGAAGGGGCTTTTCCCAAATCAGTATAAACAAACTCACATTGGATTGATCATTTTCTTGTGTCTGAGCTGGGTTGCTAAATACAGAAGTTGTTCAATGTCCAGTATTTAAAATATGGAGACTTTCTGTCTTGATTACAGTTCAGTAACTCTATTTCTGTTGCTCTGTTATTTTGGTACCTAAGTGTGATTGCATAAATCTGTGAAATGTTGGAAATTCAAGTGGAGCTCATTTTTTCTGAGATATAAGTGCACTCTGGTTTTGCTTTTTGAAAAATGTCTTTGAAGTTTCCCTATACAAAGTGCCTGTGTTCAGCCCTGCAGAGGTGGCGGCAGGGCGGAGGGGCTTGAGCCTCCCTGATGACAAGCAGGACAAGGAATATCATCCAGGCTGTCAGTTGCCAACAGGATTCTGATCACTCAAGGCCCTTGCCCCTGTGGTCACTTTAGGTCTTCCACTATTGAATGTCCCTCTGGTTCTAGCAATTTTTCTCTGACCACAAATTGTGGCTTTGCTAATGTTTGATGTTTACTTAATTCCATGAAGTCTAGGTCACACATATTGTCTTGTTGCCTCCCAGTTTTCTCATACCTAAC
This sequence comes from Homo sapiens, assembly GCF_000001405.40. NCBI lineage: Eukaryota > Metazoa > Chordata > Mammalia > Primates > Hominidae > Homo > Homo sapiens. Next base: position 40,876,583 of record NC_000003.12, on the reverse strand, counting down.
CTGAAGAGTAATGGAGACCCAGGACATGGGATCAGTGCAGGGAGGAAGGCCTGGGATTCTAAGCCACTTCTATTTCTATATAAATGTGTAGAATAGGAAGTTAAAAAAAACTCATTCAGACTGGGTAACGCAGGCAGACATCACTAAAGAAGTAGCACTGAGGCTGAGGCCTGAATGAAGAGAAAGAGGCAGCCCCATGAGGAGCGGGAGAAAGAGCCTACAGGTAAAGGGAAGAGCAAAAGCGAAGGTCCTAACTTAGAAACGAGCTGGAGGCATCATACAACCAAGGCCTGGTCACTGTGTCTGCAGCTGCAAGAAAGGGGGAGAATGGCATGCATGGGACAAAGACGCTCAGAGTAAAGTGTTTGAAACTATTGGGAAAGAATCCAGAAAGCCTTGGAGGGTTTTAAACAGGGAGAATGATGCAATCCAAACTATATATTTAAAATTCCCCTCTGGCAGCCGTACAGGAAGACAAGTAAGGACCACTGCCTAAATCAAGACAAGAGACAATGGTGGGAAAGATGCTGAGAGCCCCAGGCAGATCTCAGAGACATTTTGGAAGTTTAATTGACAGGATTTGGTAATGGGCTGGATATGACCCCAGGATCCCAGGCTCTGCCTGGTCCCAGTCCACTGTCTTTACCTGAACTTTATCACCTCTTAAGGATCCTCCAGGAGCCCATAGAAGCTGAGCCAGGCATTGGCACCCAGCTCGTGAATTAATCCAGACCACTTAGCACTTGTGCACACCTGCTGTTCCTGAGTCTCAGCTTTACTGAGGCCTTGAAACCTCTCTTTCTTCCTCTATTCCCCTGGTTACCATTGTGTTCCTAGAGCTTCCATATGTCAGGCTTCACTCTGACACCTGCTCCAGGGTGATCCACAATGTGGCTCTTGCTATTCACCCTTATGGCTTTATTCTGTGGGTACAATGCATCCCCCACCCTGTCCCAGCACCTACAGGCCTAACTGGCTGGGTCTGCCCCTCACCAACCCCTTTTCCCCAATCATGTGTGGTCCTGAGATGCTGCCCAGCTTTCTAAGAATGCCTCTTTTATTGGGATATTATACTTCTAGCCATTGACTAGGGCTGCTTCTACCTGGCTATGCCTCTTAGATCCATGTCTCACTGGCCTCCTGTTTCTAAGAGTCTACCCTTCTTGAGAACTCTTGCTTGTCTCATGGCCTAGATGAGATCCTATCTGCCTGTTCCTCTTCTATGGCACCACTAACTAGAACCAAAATGAAGCTGCTATGTCCCTTTGGACTGTTGGCTTCTTCTGTCTTGGGTGGCAGACAGAGCTAATGGCAGGGAGGCCACTAGCTGGCCCTGTCTTGGCCAGACCAAAGTTCTTCCTATGTGGTGAGATCCTGGCCTGTCACTTTGCTACACCCACCCAAGTCACAACCATGAGAGCACTATGCAATGAATATGCCTAGGTAAATATGCCTATACAGGCTGATTCTTGTGCATAAACATGTATATATGTAGGTATATGTTTATTAATAGAAGTCTACAATGACACAACTTCTTATAATTATTTTAGTTCATCTAAGGCCATATATGTAAGGATTAAAATTCAGATATGTAGACAGACCCTGATTATTGGGTATGGTCATGAACTGCTCACAAAATGACACCTCCCTGAATAGGTCTCACTCTAATCTTGCTTTTATCTTCCTGCACAGAATTATTCAGGTAGGCCTTCCTTTAAAAAAAAAGAAAATAAGACAAGATCATTGCAGAAAAGCATACCCAACTCCCATAGTTTACCACCTCTTCAAAGCTGATTCTTTCCTTGGTTCATCTTTTTCTTATGATTCATAATTCCTTACTTTTTATATCAGTCACCTATGGTCATAATAGTGCTGCATGAGGTACAATCTCAAAATATAGTGGCTTAGGATAATAAACATCCATTCACTTTACTGTTCTGTGTGTTGGTATTTTAGGCAGAGGTGGCTGAGCAGTCCTGGTCTCAGAATTCTCTCACGTTCCTGGTAATTGACTATTGGTTGATCTTGGCTGAGATGACTCTGGTGACTTGCCGGTTCCCACGTTGTGTGTCCCATCCTCCAGGAGCCAGACTGGGCATGTTGTCATGGTGATGACAGAAGGCAAGAACAGAAACGTAAATGGAAACATGCAAGTACTCTTTCGAGCATTTGTTTGTGTCACATCTACTAACCTCCCATTGGATAAAGCAAGTCACATGGCTTTTAATGAAAGAGTTAAAGCTTTAACAACACCTCTGGAGGCTTCCATAGTCAAGAATTTTGAGGTTTAGTTGAGTAAAATGGCAGAGTCAAAAGAATAAACCATCAGATGGAATGTCTTAGGAAGACTGCAGTAACAAGAAATTTTAAGAGCTTCAAGCCAGGAAGATCTTAGCTTGAAGAAATCCTCACCCCACCATTTTATAAATAAATAAATAAATAAATAAATAAATAAATAAATAAATAAATAAAAAAAAATAAAGCCCAGAGGGGTTCAAGTGCATTTTCAAAGGGAGAGAGATGGAGCTAGAACAAGAATCCAAGTCTTTTGCTCAGCCCAGTGTTCCTTCTGTTGCCTGAAGTTTCTCTGGCCATTGGCCACTCGGCTCCTCTATAATGTTCACCTCTAACCTTTGTTTTCATTTTCCTATCATCCAACTGCGTGATAATAAATTGGTCTCAGTACTCTGTTTTCTTAATTCCTAGTAGAAGCTGAAGGCATTGCTTTTCTCCTGGGAACACTGTTTGGTGCTGACTGATTGGAGGTGCCTCCCCTGGGTTTGCAGAGGGAGCAAGGTTTTAGTTCCTGGAAAATTTAATACACAATTTGATCTTTGCTACTCTACTGAACTTCTCCTAAGCTTGCCTTTCCTTATCTCCTTGCTCTCCCAGCTGCCAGGTAATTTGATCTGGATCTGTCTTATCAGTCCTAGGCCAGCAAGCAGGTGATGAATGAGGGGCTGGGGAAGCAGCTGTCTCTTCTTTGAGGCCACCGGCATTTTTGGAAGAGACTCTATGCGTGGCAGTTGCTGGAAATGGAGGTGAAACTCATTCCCACACTCCTTAGTCTAAGGCCTGTACTGTTTGTTTTTTGTTTTTTGTCTTTGCCTCCTCCAACTCACTTAGAGGTGAATCTTTCTTCTTCAGAGTTCTTGGCATTCCTGGGGCTTTACAGTGGTCTGGTCATTGAGGCTCCCTACCAGAGGACAGAATTTCCCTGGCTTAACCCTGGTTGATCTTAAAATAATCACTCACACTTATAAATCATATTCAGAGTCTTGAATTGAACTAGAGTGTAAAATAGTGCTGCAGATGGATTATTCATCCTTCTGAAAGAGAAGCCTTAATGGTACAATGGTGGTGCTGCCCCAAGTAACCTGGATAGGTCTTATGCTTCAGATGTGAGATTAAAGGATCAAGGGGAAGCTGTTGAGTCATGGCATCTGACCCACTTAAACCTGTTAGACTCTCTTCAAGAATCTAATATGTCCTTTGAGAGGAATCACCTCTGAGTTGTATCTCTTCTGCATGGCTACAGGGAGAAAGCCTGCTATATCTACTGGAATAAAAAAGGAAGCAGAGAAAATGGAATCTAGACAAATGGATATCCGGATCCAGCTGGACAAAGCCCTGTGATGTTAAAGCCACCAGTCTGACTCTGTAGGACACTGTCGCTACCACATCCCAAAAGGAAATGTACCCAGCCTGCCTACTTGCCACTCAGCATCCCTCCCAGGGGAAAGAGCTATGCCTTAGGGGTGTGATGTCACAAACAAGTCAACCATCGTTTAGAGGCATCATTTCAAGGTTCCCCCTCTCTGCTTCTCAGCTTACTTTCCCTCTGCTGCTGTCACCTGGCTGTCAGCATCCAAATTAGCACAGAGCCCCAACCCAAGCAAGCATCAACTGGATTGTCAGCCCAGTGAATGACCCACCCTGGGGACCTGCTGTTATACCCTGCCTCAGCTGTCACCTTCCTGTGGCCTTCCTCTTTCCCCGGGCATGCAGAGCCATGAAAACAGCAGTAAGCTTCTCCCTGAGAAAGAAAAAGCTGCGTGTAAGGTCAGGTAAACACAGGGCCAGAGAAAGCTCTCCCTTCCCCCATCCCACAGACACATCTTATCCTCGCCCCAAGCTAAGGACCTCTAAATCCAGCCACAGTAGCAATGCTGGGATGGCAGGAAAATGTTCAGCCTGGAAACCACAACCTCTGCAGCACAGCAGCCAGCACCAGTGAAGGACATGGAGTTAAATCGAAAAGGAATTTGAATGACAAAGTGACATTATGTCTATCTCCCTAATGATGGGACAAGTTGGTCTTCTGTCATTGGCAAGGCAAAACTGCCAGGACCAGATGTGTATTTAAAAGCTATTTCTCATGGTTTTAAGTCACCAGGTCAGCTCGATACCTAAAACAAAGAGAATGAATTATGGAACAGGACGAGGGGAGCTTGTTAATTTTCCTACTGATGCACTGTGAAATGAAAGCTTTATTCTAAGAATGGTATATCCTCAGGGCTCTCTCTGGAGAGACAAATTCAAATGTCCTTACTGTTTTCTTTGTCCCTTACTTTATGGCTTTTTCTGTACACATTTACGAAGTATATATATTTCATGGTATGTCTGTGTCTATAGGACTCAGGGAGTTCAAGTCTGTGATTCTCTTTAGGGCTTCCTTGACAATAAGGAGTGCTTAGGTGATGTTATTGATGAATACACACACACACACACAATTAGAATTTGTGGCCAGCCTGTCTGTATATATTATAGAGACATCCATGCAGGCTGCTTGCTATTGTCTGCACTAGTGAGCTATAGCCCATCTCCAATTGGAACCCAATGAAATAATCATAACAATTTTGCCTTCATGTATCACCTTTCATCAGGGAGGATGAAAGGACTTCACAAACTCTGGGTTCTTCTTTGATCTAGGCGCCTATCTGGTACACCGATCTCCATTGTGTATTCTGCCCTCACCCTGCCGATGGGCCTCCCATTGACAGTAATTGAACTTCCATATGCAGAGCAGCCAAAAGGCCGGCCTGGCCAGAGAGACTTCTGTCAGCTGCCAGGAGGGAGAGGGCTGCTTCCAGAAGGGACTTGGGTTGCTGTTCTGCATCTGCAACAGGGGGCAGGGATTATAAATGTGGGGAAAGAGGCAAGTAATTCTTAAGCTGCAACTTCAGTTTGAGAGAGGGGTGCTTAATAGGAGATGGAGGAACATTCTAGGTAACATGATAAAATAAATCTCCAGAATGTGGGTGTTGCCTAAGGCTCTGCTCTTCACTGTCTTCTCTTCCATATCGACTTTAGCTATTAGCTTTATGGGAAGGACTCCGAAATATGTATCCCAGGCTCAAACTCTCTTGGGTCTAGCCAGGCATCTCTAGCTGTCTCCTGGGCATTTCCATCCACATATTTCACTGGAACATCAATCACAGCTTCTACCAAATATTATATATGATTCTTCCTCCTCCTTCACTCTCAAATAGCTCCCTTCCCTGACCTTCCTACTTGTAGTCACTGATGTTACAGCCACAAGTAATTTAGCCAATATCTGTGTTCTCGTGGAGCTTGCATTTTAGAGAGGGGTGAGAGAATCCAATAAACAAGCAATAAATGAAGAAGAGAAATAGCAGGAAATGATAGTTTAGGTGGTGATGGGTTAGGGGTGTGGACCTCTTTGGACTGAGTGACCAACATTGGCTTCTCCAGGGAGGAAACTATTCCAGGTGCAGGGAACAGCAAGCACCAAAGCCCTGAGAGAGCCAAGGCCCCAAACAGAAAAGATGCTGAGCTGCTGGAGCATGATAACAGGAGAGTGGGAGGAGATGAGGTTAGAGAGGTGGCCAGTGATTAGATGAGGTGAGGCTTTGGTGATGGGATGCAGAGTTTGGAATCTAAGCCAAGTGCTGTCCAAAGCCAGGGAGGGTTTCCAGCAGCGGCTTGTGGGAGCTGATGTCCATTAGTAGCACCTCTCAGCTGAGACTTTGAGTCACTTTGACTCTTCTCTGTATCACACACCTCTCTCCATACAGGCAGTGTCTAATGTGGAATGAGAGAAAGGTTTTGGTAACCCTCCAACTCCCTTTGCTTCTCCCCTCCAGGGTCCCGGACAGAGTTTTCTGTGTTCAAAAGAACTAGAAGCCAAACAGAAAATAAAGCATCCTTTTTGTGATCGCTGGGAAAGGACAACATACCCTTCAGGCTGTAAATGTGGCTTAGGCTAGCAGACTAAAGCTTAGTTTCCCAATTTTTCTGAGAATATAGATCTTGGGACCCACCTGCTCAGGCATGCTTGCTGTTGGAGGGGGTGAGAATGGGTGGTCTCATGGAGAGTGGTTGCTACACCCATCTCCCAGCTGCTGAGAGTGTTGTCTGCTAAGGAAATCACAGCTGCCCTCCTCAGAGAATCGCCATTGGGAGGTTCCCCACCTTCCCACCAGGGGCAGCATGTAATCCATGACTGGCATAGGGTACAAAAGGCAGGCCCCTTACCTCTAGGTGAGACAATTCTGTGGTACAGTTCATACTCCAGAGCTCCCGTGGGAACAGGTCCAAGAAGTGTCCAGCTGAGACCCCAACCTTGCTCAGTCCTCTGCTGCACCTGGCTTACCTTCCCCCCTTCTCCTGAGAGCATTTTCTCAAGAGACATGTGCACTTCATCATCTTATCAGGATCTGCTTCTACGGAATGCAACCTAAGACAAGTGGAGATAGAGCCAGGCCTTTTAAGGAGCCCTGACAAATCTCTACAAAATTTCCATTCACTTCTCCCTTTTAAATTCATTCATTTATTCAACAAATACATTGAAACATGTTTTGTACACTCTGGCACACAAGAAATCAGGTAGGCACAGCCCATTCCCTCATAGAGCTTACAAACCAGGAAGAAAGGCAGACATCAAACTGGTAAATGCATTCATTTGGGTGCATCATGTTGAGAGTAGTCTTCGTCATTGTAATGGGACTGTTTGCCTCCAAGTCCCTATTTCTAAGACGATGAAGGAACAGGAGTAAGCCCGGACACCAGAGCCTTTCTTCTGCTTTGCGAGCTGCTGATATGTAGCTGGGATCTCTTTGTGTCCCCGCTGGGCTGACACTCACCAGTGAGCCAAGAAGGGAGGGGTGGTTAAAGGCGTGAGGACCCCGAAGGGGACCCCTTGAAAGTGCTCACTCTTCCTTCTACTAATTATTTTGTTTTTTTAAAAGCTTGCCCTGTTTAGTCTCTCAGGAGGTTTTCCTGCCCACGGGGGGTATGGCTGCCTCCCAGGAGAATCTGGCCAGGATTTACACCACCCAGCCCACAAAATCCTGAACAGCTCAGGACCAGCCCATGCTATTGTGAGCTGAGAGTCACTCTTCAGTTCTCATGATTGCAGGTAAATAAATGTTCCAGCCGTCCCGAGCTCTCACATGAAGACTACCTGCCAAGGAATTTTTTCCTCTGGGACCCATGGCCACATTGCTGGGCTGAGACTTTCTTGCATTCATAGAATTCCCCTGTTACAACGGCCACTAGTCAGCTCCCATTGCCTTAGTTTCCTGCTTGAAGGAGGTAGAAGAGAACTGCTGGCTGATGCTTGTTTAATTCACTGTGAAGGGTGCAGTTTAAGGAAGATCTCCCTCAAAGGCAGCCACATTCCGGACTCCTCTATAAGTGCTTACTAATGGAAGAGATAATTTGGGGTCAGGGCCAGCTTCGTGGGCCCCTGACCTGTGCAGTTTACATAGGACTCCACACTTAGAAGGGCCCTACTCTTGGTTTAATGTTCTGTTATTGCTGTCTTAAAATTCTTAATAATTTCTAAACAAGGGTCCCTACCTTTTCATCTTACCTTAGGCCCCACAGATTATGTAGCTAGTCTGGTTTGGGATCATGCATCAAGACTTGTTCCAGGTTGCCTGCCAAGAGGCAGAGAGAAAGGTAAAACTTCCCTTGGATCTCTTTCACCCCAGGATGCTGGTGAATTCTAAAGGCACAGGGGCAGATTTCTGCAGTTGAACAGTGTCTCTGGGGAGAGTATATTCACAATACAGAACCATCAGTCTGTACAGAGCCCAACGTGGTGGACAGTTGCTGACTGTCAGGGGTAGCTGCAGAGGGAGAATGGAGATGTAGGAGCAGGAAAAATCTGCTTGATTGTGAATAGAACTAGATCTGTTTTTTCTTGGTATGGCAGGTGTTTGGAGCTGATCATTTTTCTTAGGGAGCATCTGGGGGCTCCTTGAAGGTCTCCTGTTGGCCCTTCACTGGGTGTTCCCTTCATCCTAACAGATGCTTCTCGCTTCCAGGAGTCAGTTGAGGGCTCTTCCACAGCCCCTAGAGATCCAGCATCTCCCCTCAGCTCCTGGGGCCCCTGTTGAGATGAACCCAAGCAAATCCCACTCTGTTCCTCTCTCCTGCAGGGCCCACCTCCACCCAGCCCCACCCCCTCAACCTTGAAACCATGGCCATTTTATCTCTGTCAGTTGCACAGTAAGACACTGATCTTTCCTCCCACACTTTCAAATGCAGGCAATGCGTTTCACAGTTTTCTGAGTGATCCCGTGGAAGCCTCCTTGCTAAATCTGAGGCAAAGACGGCACTCCCTACCTCTTTCCCATGGGTGGAGTGGGAAGCCTCATGACATGACCACAGCTTTCTCTGAAAAATGAATACATCAGACATACTCACACACATGTTCAAAATTCTCTCATTCTCTCTCTCTCTTTTTGTATTCCCAGAGTAGGTAAGAGGGGACTTAGAAGTTATGAAACCAGTTCCTCACAATTTTCCTTATAATTTTTGCATGAGAGATCTGGCTTTGGAATTTCACACTATTGTGTTTCATTGTGTCTGTGGAAACTTCAATATTAACACCTTACTACAGGTGCCAGACCCTGGGTTAAGCACAGTAAGTTGAGTCACATATTATTCGCACGACCCTGTAAAGTTTACAGAGCAGCTCATGTGCCCTGCCTCATTTGGCTCTCCCCACTGCCCAGCAGAGTGAATCTATTGAGATTCAGGAGGCTGTGTGGTTTGCCCTTGTCGCTCAGCTTGTGAATGGAAGGGCTGAGGTGGAGACTTCTTCCCAGATCTCCCACTGCTGACTGCGGGCTCTGCCTTGGCACTTCTGCCCCAGAAACACACATGGATGTTGGTGACTATTACATGAAGCAGCCACTGCTTAGCACTCTACCAGATATGGAGATTATATTAGTTTGTTCTCACTCTGTCAATAAAGACATGCCTGAGACTGGGTAACTTACAAAGGAAAGAAGTTTGGCCAGGTGCGGTGGCTCACGCCTGTAATCCTAGCACTTTGGGAGGCCGAGGCAGGCGGATCACCTGAGGTCGGGAGTTCGAGACCAGCCTGACCAACATGGAGAAACTCTGTCTCTACTAAAAATACAAAATTAGCTGGGCATGGTGGTGCATGCCTGTAATCCCAGCTACTCGGGAGACTGAGACAGAAGAATCGCTTGAACCTGGGAGGCGGAGGTTGCAGTGAGCCGCGATCTTGCCATTGCACTCCAGCCTGGGCAACAGGAGCGAAACTCCATCTCAAAAAAAAAAAGGAAGTTTGATTGACTCACAGTTCCACATGGCTGGGGAGGCCTCACAGTCATGGTGGAAGGCAAATGAGGAGCAAAGCCAATGTCTTACATGGTGGCAGGCAAGAGCATGTGCAGGGGAACTGCCCTTTTAAAACCATCAGATCTCGTGAGACTTATTTATTATCATGAGAACAGCACAGAAAAGACCTGCTCCATGACTCAATTACCTCCCACCAGGTCCCTCCTATGACACATGGGAATTATGGGAGCTACAGTTCAAGATAAGATTTGGGTGGGGACACAGCCAAACCGTATCAGAGATAAAGCAAAAGACCAGTAGAATGTGTTACTATTTTTGTGGTTGTTACTTTGAGCTCCTGGGTCATCTGGGTTGACTGTTGAGGATGTCAAAGTTCATACTCATCTCTGGTGGCCATCTCACTTCTGGACTTCATCTGGACAGCTCTGACCACGGCCTACCCTCGTCTTTTCCCTGTGTGCCCTGGTTGCCTTGGACGTCTTGGGGTTCTGATGTACCCTCAGTATCCCCTACTGAAGTTTACTTTTCTTGCCTCTCCGTGCTCCAGGCCTCTGCTCATTGTGTCACCTAATTACCTTGCCTTCACTAAGGCGAAAAGGTTGAGGCAAGCCCTCAAATCCCTTGTAGGTGGCCAGTTAGCTTTTTAGTGGCCTTTAGAGATCATAACACCAGACTTGACCAAGTCCCACCCTAGTCACCTAATCCTAAAGAGTGTCTGACATGGTGGACAAGGGGACAGAAGCTTGGGATCAGGCTCCCAGGAGACTCGAAGGTGTGGGCAGGATTTTGTAGCTCTAGATCTTACACCAGATGATCAGCCATGCAGAGGACACGCTGGCCTTGAGTGGAAACTGCTTGGTAGTTGCTGAGGATGTTATGAGTGTCTAGAAAAGTTATTAGAGGGATTCAGGTTAAGGGAACATTGGCTAAGATCAAGAAACAAAAAATAGTAATAGTTAGTACATAATACATTCAGTGCATGCTAAGTACTGTTGTGCATTATTTTTTATACCCTCACTAACCTCATGTGTATATGAGGAGGGTAAAATAATTATCTTCAGTCTACAGGGGTATAGAGAGGTTAGGTAACCAGTCCAAAGTCACACACAAGTGGTAGGATTCAAACCCAGATCTTTCTGAGTTTGAAGCTCATGTTGTTAAGCATTATGCTGTTTTGTGATCTGACTCCTTAGGAACACCAGAGATGAAAATTGCCCATGTAACAATGTGGGAAAAACCATAAGAACTATTTTAAAGAAAAAATAAATTACATTTGTTGCAAAGTTCCACCATGAAAACATGTATGATTCCTCCAGCTTCTTCTCTCCCAGGGTTTCCCATTGGCTCTGCCTTGGATTATAAAGTAAATAATGGCTCTTCATTTGAAGTTTTGCAAACTAAAGTATCTTTAAAAGAACTCTGGGTGTGTTACAGAAAAGTGATTTTCCAGAAATACACATTCCTTTAAACTTTTATTCTGAGGGGCAGTCATAAGACCTACTGCCCCCATGGCCAAATCCACCACATTAAAGCAAATGAAAGCATAACTCAGATGATTAATGTGAATTATTCCTTCCATAACCCTTTATATTGTCAAAGTGCTTTGCCCTGTTGCTGTTGGTTTGTACAAATTAAGTAACTCCGCCAGCCAAAACACCAGGAAGAAAGATTTCACCAGGCTTTGATAGAATTAAATAGTCCAGCATTCTTTGGCCAACACTAAAGTTTTCATATGAAATTGAAACAAGAATAAATGCCAGGCTAAGAAAGTCCGATGACCAGAAAAACTTCTGGAATAATATTTTCACAACAGTGAACCAAGGAAATATTCAAGGCCAGATTACCCCTCCCAACAAGGTCACAGCTCTGTAAGAAAATAATTAGTAGAAGACTCTTTGTCCTTCCCCTCTCTGCAGAGTGAAGTCACTAGCCCTTTGTATTTGGTTGTAAGGCTGATATTTTAGAGAGCTTTGTTTCCTCATGCCCCAGTGCAAGCTAACCTGAAGTGGAGTTGTGTTAGGCTGTTCTTGCATTGCTATATAGAAATACCTGAGACTGGGTAATTTACAAAGAGGTTTAATTGCTTCTGCGGGCTTCATAGGAAGCATGGTGCTAATGTCTGCTAGGTTTCTAGAGAAGTTTCAGGAAGCTTCATGGTAGAAGGCTAAGGCAGAGCAGGCATGCCACATGGTGAAAGCAGGAGCAAGAGTGAGAGAGCGAGGTGCCACACACTTTTAAATAGCCAGATCTTGCAAGAAGTCACTCACTATCACGAGTAGTGATGGCACCAAGGGGATGGCGCTAAACCACTCATGAGAAATTCACCCCTTTGACTGAATCACCTGCATCCACCCCTTTGACTTAATCACCTGCATCCACCCCTTTGACTTAATCACCTGCATCCACCCCTTTGACTTAATCACCTGCATCCACCCCTTTGACTGAATCACCTGCACCAGGCCCTACCTCCAATACTGGGGATTACAATTCAACATGAGATTTGGACAGGGACTCATATCTGAACTGTCTCTGTGGTGTCTCAGTTTGAGTTCTCCCAGCAGCAGACTGAGACAAGGATTTGAGTGTGAATGTTTTTTTGAGGGGAGGAGATCCCGGAAACCACTGGCAGGGCAGTGGAGGAGTGAAACAGGAAAGGGAAAGTAGCCAACAGAAGTTCATACTAACCAAGTTACCACACTGGGGGACTAGAGGTTAATCTTGCTTAGGTCCTCTGGGAGTTGATGAAGAACATGTGCCTCTGAGGGGTAAGGATTTGGGGTATTTAAATACCATCTCCCATTACCTATTGTTTAAGAGCTGTGGGATAAGGATGTCAAATAGCTGCCTCCAGCAGCCAGAGAGAGCTCTCGGGCAAAGTGCTTTGGGTGCTGGCAGCTGGAAGATGGACTGACGTGCATGGAGACGGCAGCAAATGCCAATGCAAGCTGCATCTTACAGAAGAGAAGAAGGAGTAGGCAGAGCATCTAGGGCCCACGATACTTTTAGGGGTTCATAAAAATGTCTTAATTTTGATTCCTTTTAAGATCAGAAGAAAAACATGAATATAATAATCATGATACATAACAATAAATCCAGTCTGAATTACATTTGTCTTTATACCAATACCGTCATAAAATATGATTTTTAATTTTTCTTTTTTTTGAGACGGAGTCTTGCTCCGTCGCCCAGGCTGGAGTGCAGTGGTGCGATCTCGGCTCACTGCAGCTCCGCCTCCCGGGTTCATGCCATTCTCCTGCCTCAGCCTCCCAGGTAGCTGGGGCTACAGGCGCCTGCCACCACATCCGGCTAATTTTTTGTATTTTTAGTAGAGACGGGGCTTCACCATGTTAGCCAGGATGGTCTCAACCTCCTGACCTCGTGATCCACCCGCCTCGGCCTCCCAAAGTGCAGGGATTACAGGCATGAGCCACTGCGCCCAGCCAATTTTTAGTATTTTTAATGGAGGAAGGGGCCCATGAAGACTGACAAAAGTCATATGTGTCCCTGGATAGGGGAAGAGCTTCAATGATTTTTCTTGATGGTTGGCACATTCTCTCATTTCGGATGGCTCACACATCCAAACCACCCCACCTCATTTTACCAATTTCTCTCCACTTTTCTTTCTTTCTCTTCTGCTTCCTTGCTCCTGTGTCTCTCCTGCTGTATTTCTTTTTCTCTCTCTACAGTGAACATTTGTTATTTTTGTCTGCCCATTATTCATTCCCAAATCTTCTGATAAATAGCCTCTGAATTTGCTTCAGAGGAACCAGTCTTTCTCACTGCATGCAGTCTGCCCTACCTGCTCCTAGCCAAGAGGTGGGCACTTGACACAGATCAGATGCTCACTTCTTGGAATTTGACTTTTGAACAGAGCAATAAAAAAATAGTAGTTTCTGCTTCCCAGATCCCTGGCCTGCCCTCGCACCTATTCTCTTTGAAACCTGGTTCTTCAGCCCTTCCTTCCATTCTGTGAGTGGCTATTTTGTGCTTAAGTTATGCAGAGGTGAGTGTTTGTTGCTTAGAGCCAACCGCCCTCATTTATGTGTACATACACTGAATATATATACATGTATATATAAATTATCTCCTGGGCAAAAGTGGCTCCAAGTTCCAGGTTCATCCCTCTTCTCTGAATCTCAGCTTAGTAATTCTATATATAATTACCAAGCCAAGATTTATTCATCTCAGATAATTACAAAAAGAAGGTAAATAAATGGAAAGAATACAGAAAAACATAGATATTAATAAAATAGAAAGCGAACATATGAAAGAGAAAAATCAACAGGACCAACACATTTGATTATTTGGAAAGCTTAACGAAATTGATAAACTGGCCAGGCGAGGTGGCTTACGCCTGTCATCCCAGCACTTTGGGAGGCCAAGGCAGGGGGATCACCTGAGGTCAGGAGTTCGAGACCAGCCTGACTGATATGGTGAAACCTTGTCTCTACTAAAAATACAAAAATTATCTGGGTATGATGGCATGGGTCTGTAGTCCCAGCTACTCGGGAGGCTGAGACAGGGGAATTGCTTGAACCCAGGAAACGGAGGTTGCAGATCGCGCCACTGTACTTCTGTACTCCAGCCTGGGCGACAGAGCAAGACTCCGTCTAAAAAAGAAAAGAAAGAAATTGATAAAATTTTGGTAAGATTGATCCAAAAAAGGAGAAAAAGTCACACAAATGATCAGTGTAATAATATTATACAGACATTAAAATGACAATGAAAGAATGTTTTAAACATTATGCCAAATAGCTTGAAAATTAAAATGCATGGAAAAAATCCTAGAAAAATACGATTTACAAAAAAGACAGGAAGCGAGAATTTTAAACACCTGAATAATCCTATTATTATTGAATAAATTAAATCCATAATTAAAAAAATACTTCCCCTATATAAAACTATAGGCCCCAAAGCTATCATTGTTAAATTCCATAAAAATTTAAGGAAGAAATAATGCCAATCTTTAACAAACTCTTTTGGAGAACAGAAAATTATAAAAAAAAATGCCTCAATTCATTTTATGATGCCGGTATAACTTCATACCAAGCCTGATAAGACCAGAATAAGAGACAAAAGTAAGTTAATTTTACTCATGATCATACATTAAAAATTCCTTTAAAAAGTTAGCAAACACAATCCTATCATACACACACACACACACACACACACACACACACAATCCATATATATGTATATAGAAAATACATCATAACCAACTTAGATTTAGTCCAGAAATGCAAATGCAAGGTTAGTAGAACATTAGCAAACCCATTAATGTGTTCTGCCAAATTAAGAAATAAGAATGGAAAAATCATGTTTTTCAAAAAATGCAGACGTATTTGGCAAAATTCAATATTCATTCATAATCTTAAAAATAACAATGAGCTAGGAGGAGAAGGAGAATTCCTTATTCAATTAAAGAGTATCTAATTTAAAAAAACTGCAGAAACATTATATTTAATGATGAAATACTAAAGCCTTTTTCTTTGGGATCAGCAACAAGAAATAACTGGTACAGTTATCACGTCTTCTAGTCGACATTTTCCTGGAGGTCCTGAACAGTTCAGTAAGGTAAGAATAATAAATAAAATACATAGTGATTAGAATGGAAGAAACAAAATTGCCATTATTGAGATATGCTATGATCATATACACAGAACATTCAAGAGTATTACAAATAAATCAGACTTAATAGCAATATTGTAGAATGCAAAATCAATCTACATTTGTATCCATTTCATTTCTACATGTATTAGCGATAAACAAATTATAAATAAAATAAATTGTCTGTATAATAGTATAAAATACTTTGTAAACTAGAAAGCCTCTCCCCCCAAAATTACATATCTGTGTATGTGTATGTGAAAGGCACACCATGTTCAGAGATTAGAAAACTCAATATCATAAAAGATTCTTATTAAATTGATGTCTCAAATGAAATATGAATAGGTTTTTGTTTTCTGAAAATTAATAAGTTCTTTCTAGAATTTATATGGAAGTGCAAAGGGCCAAGAATAACCAAGACATTGTTGAAGAAGAAACATAAAGCAGGATGATTTGCTCTAGCAAACAAGGACTATTATAAAGGTCTAATAATTAAGGTCTAGGCTGGGATAGTGGCTCATGCTCCCAGCATTTTGGGAGGTCAAGGTGGGTGGATCGCTTGAGGCCAGGAGTTAAAGACCAGCCTGGCTAATATGATGAGACCCCCATCTCTACTAAAAACACAAAAATTAGCAGACTGTGGTGGCACATGCCTGTAGTCCCAGCTGCTTGGGAGGCTGAGGCACAAGAATCACTTGAACCCAGGAGGTGGAAGTTGCAGTGAGCCAAGATTGTGCCACTCCACTCCAGCCTGGGCAATAGAGTGAGACTCTGTCTCATACACACACAAAAACAGTATAGATGACTAAGGTGAAAATCTAGACAAATACACCAATGATAGAGAATACAGAGCCAAGAAACAAACCTATACAGGTGTAGAAACTTAATTTAAATCAAGGCACTACTACAGAAGATTAGAAAAAAGACTTTCCCATAAATGGTGCTGAAACAATGGGATATCAATGGGGTATCAACATGAAAACATTTAACTGAATCCCTACTTCACATTACACAAAACTAAATTCCAGGTGAATTTTAAACATAAATGTGAAAGGCAAAACAATAAATTCTCTAGAAGACAATGTAGGAAAATATCTTCATTATCTTGGATTAAATAAGAAACAAAAACACTGACTATCGTAAGGAAATGGTTATCAAAATCAGGCTCAAAATCAGTAACTTCTGTTCACAAAAATAACATGAAAATGCAAGCCAAAGAGTAGGAGAAAATATCTGAAACACAAAATTGACAGAGGACCTGTATCTGGAATGTAAAGTTCAACAAATTCAAAAGAAAAAGGCATAAAACCCAATGAAAAAATAGGCAAGGGGCTCAGAACAAATCACTTAGAGAAGAGGATATACAAATGGCCAAAAAAACACAAAACAAAGCATGAAAAGCTGATTAATTTCTTTGTAATGAGGGCAGTATAAATTGTAACCACAATGAGATACCAATAGATGTTCCTGATGAGGGAGGCCAAGGGTCACTGATGTTAAGAGGAAATTTACTTTTTATCGTATACTGTTTTGCATTGAATTTATTTTACATCATCCTTGTATTGCTTTACATTTAAAGAAGGAAATTGAATTACATTTACATTAAAGAAGGAAAACAATGAAGCCAAGGACAGAAGTGACTGGACAGACCCTGTTTCCTTGCTTGTGGATTAGTGACAGCTATTAGCTGATTGATGTTCTCAAGCTCTGACAACTACACAAAGATTAATCAATGGCTGAGAAATCAATCGATGGAGCAGCCCAACAGGTCTAGAGTCAGGCTCTAGACAACTTTTTCTTTTTTAATAGCAGAGTGGTTTAGTAAGACAATCTGGTTTTCTTTAGCTTGTAACAGCTAAACATTAGGCTAGGATGATACCCCACTGACTTGAAATAAAACCCCTATGAATATACCTATGTTTTAACTAAAGTATTTACGCAGGGGCTAATTTTTCTATTTTGATGGTCCATTTACTCACTAATATTAACTGAATGCCTATCATGTACCAGGCATTGCTCTAGATAATCGGGATATAGCAGTGAACAAAATAAACAAATTATCTGCCCTCTTGAAGCATATATCTTAGAGAGATACAGAAAATAAATAAATAAATATGCGGAATGATACAAAGAGTAACATGTGTTCTGAAGAAAATTCAGGCAGAGTTAGGGTTGAGGGTGGTGCTATTTCAGTTGGGATGGCCATAGAAGGCCTCTCTGAGGGACTGGTATTTCAGAAGACAATGGAGTGAAGTGAGGGAGGGGATCACACAAATATCTATAGAAAGTCCTCAGCAGAGGGAACAGCAAGTGCAAGAGGCCTGAGGTAGGCCTGTGTATCCCTGGGCTCTACTTGGGTTATTGTTGTTTTACAGGATGGAATGTTTTTTGCTGTGCTATCTCCTTTAAAGAGGTAAAGCCACAAGTGGGTTTAGTGCCTTTTGTTTGCCTGGATATGCCCTCCAGACAAGCCTGTGCATGATAGGTCAGTAGCAGATGTTGTCAGCAACTTGCTATGAAATAACAGATTGTCTCCCCTGGTGTCCTGGTTATGCCACTCACATCCCCAGAAGGGCTAATAAGTTGTCTTCTGGTGTAAAAGCTAGTATCTGGGGATTTCCACCCTAATTCTGTAATGTCGCCAAAGTAAAGAAGGCATCACTAACCCTATCACATACTAGGGGTCTTGGACCCCCCACCAACCTCCCCTCTAGGTGTTCAGATGGCACGTCTCGAGCTTCCAGGCTCTACCCCAGATCCTATTTGCTTGCTCCTATTCCCACAGTCTTCCTTCCGGTTCTGACACACAAAAGCTCTATTTTATTCTTTCACAATTAACTTTGGCTCATTAAAACCCAGAGCTCCGATATTTAGCAATCATAAAAACTGGCTCCCCTTTCCTTGAGGGCAAGATGAGCTTACTCTTTAAACTCTGCCAGCAAGTGGTGAGACATAGGTACATACTACCCTGGTGGGTGGGAAGTGCCCTCCACTCCCAAAGTGGATAGCGTCCGGCTAATGAGAGAAAAAAAAAAAAAAAAAGGAAGAAAAACAGCTGTCAGCATGTACAACCAGGTTGAATAGTCCATTCCTGCTGCATTTTCTCCTGCCAGTGATCCTTTGTGCATCCCTGTGTCCTCAGGGGAGCAACTTCTTTTCATTGGGTGGACATACCACCCACCACTAAGGGAGTGACTCTCTCTCCTGGCTTCCTTGAGTATGTGTGTTAGCAGGGCCCCTGGGTGAATTGCTCACCTCCTTTGTGCTTTTTCTCCCAGGGTGTCATTTCCTAATGATTCTGTCTCTTGTCCACCTCTGGACCATCCCTGTGTGTGTAGTTAGGTTCCAACATCATCATGCAGGTGTTCACTGAAGCTATGGGAATGTGTTTACCTCCCTGGCCCCCCGGGCCCACCCTCTCTTGTGGTTGCCTCTGTTTTCCTCAATTAAGGCTCTACTTTCTTGCCACAACCCAAGGGCATCCACCATCAGACTCACCTTTCCAGAAAGCCCCCTTTCCTGTCCCTTGTCAAGTGACCCCACCTACACTTGAAATTTGCACACATGAGGGCAATTTTCTTATTATTCTCCTTCGGAGAAATAGCCAGTTGTTTCTAACCTGAACAACCTTAGTGTGCTCTCCTCCACTCCCCTACATATTTTGTTGAAGAATCAAATCTTACACTGGGAAGCTTTAGTATTGATCATTTTTTTCCTACCGTGATATCCTTAGTTTTGTTCCTCAGTTGGTCCCCTTCTTGCAGCCCCTGATAGCTTAGGGTAGCAATATAATTTAATCAGTTCCTTGCTGTGGTGAACAATAGCGGTGGCTAACTGGTACTCTTACCATATTTTGGTTCTGAGGCCACCTGTGCTCTTGATCCTGTGGCTAAATTTCTTTGCTTATCTTCAGCAGAGATGGTTGGCAACCAAGATTCCCAGCCAAACCTAATGGCATTTTTCTTGGTAGTAATAGGCATGTATTAAATAGTAAATGCACCACACAGAGTCTCCATGTCCCTTTCACTCAGGAGGAAGTGATCCTACCTGTGTGTGGGGTGAGAGGAAAGTGAGCAGGCAATGGAAAGAATGACCTCCATCCAGAAGGCAGGCGAACATGTAATGTCCTACAATGCTCCTGACATAGTATGACCAGGGCAGTAGATTCCAAGACAGAGTGTGCATCAGACGCCCTTAGCGATCCTGTGAAAATGCAGATTTCAGAGATCCACTGACAGATATGGAAACTGAGGCGTAGAGATTAAGTAACTTGCCCAAAATTTTACAGTGAAGTAAATTCTATATTATAAATGATTTATTTTTATATTCTGAATTTGATACTCTTATTGTCTAAAGTTCTTCAAACTCTAAATTTGCTGTTAATTGATTCTCCTGACTATGGCTCATGGCATTTTATTCCAGGATATGTTTCATAATTTGAAATTGTGAGTTCATATTTCATGGGCTTTATTTGTGAATGTCCTGTGTATCTTAGGGTGGAAGCTTCCTACATTCTTCCTAAACAGTTTTAGTTTTGCTTCCTTCCAGATGCCCCAGAGATGTTGCCTACTGAGAATAACCTTTTATTAATTTCTAGGTTTGGGGTCTCCTGTGATACATTTGCAAATTTCCTAAGTAGACTCATTTTCATTAAAAAGGGTGGTTAAGAGAGATTCAAGCTTGTTGGCCATTTTGTTTTGAGGGCAGGTAGACTTTCTCTAGTTCACTGTGTATGTTAGTCAGCGTCCTCCAGAGAAACACAACCAATAGGGTATGTGTTTATGTGTCTATGTGTGTGTGGAGGGAGAAAGAGAGAGAGAGAGATTTATTTTAAGGAATTGGTTTACATGATCGTGGAGGATTGGCAAGTCCAAAGTCAGCAGCGTAGGCAGGAGGCGGGAGACTCAAGGAAGAGTTGCAGCTGGAGTCCATAGATGGTCTGCTGGTAAAATTTCCTCTTCTTCCAGGGAGGTCAGTCTTTTCCTAATTAACGAACTGATTGGATGAGGCCCATTCACCGTATGGAGGGTAATCTGCTTCACTCAAAGTCCACTGGTTTAAATATTAATCTCATTTAAAAACCCTTCACAGAAACATACAGAATAATGTTTGACCAAATATCTGGACACCATAGCCCAGTCAAGTTGATGGACAAGATTAATCATCACATTATGTCAGTGAGTGTGGGACATTTGAGAATTCTGGATTTATACAAAGATTCCAGTTCTAACTTTCTGTCTCATATAGGTCCAAATGCTTCATCTCTTACCCTGCATGGAATTAGTCTATTTTTAGGCCCAGGTTTCTGAGTTCCACTTAGGATGACCTAATTCTCAGAGCCTGAATTTTTATTTGGAAGTCTGTTATTGCTCTCGTTAAATTACTCCCCTCACCTGATGTTCTTGAGAAAACCAGCTCTTTAATGATGTGCAGAGATTGTGATGGTGTATTCCCTTGGCCCACATATCTCAAATCAAGTGATCTGGTAATAAATTTTAGCACCTGCAATTCATACAGTATTCACTTGGTATATTAAAGGAAATTCAAGTTAAAATGTTGTCAGCTCAGAGAGCAATTATGATCTGAGCCCAGCTGATTTAGGTGTCATGGGAGATCTGGCTTTATAAACCAGGCCATAGATTAATCTGGAACCTACTGCAAAGTGTGTATACCACAGTCATTGAAAAGGACCCAATACATGAATCTTGTAGTGCTATTAATATTAATGATGATGACAAGGCCACTATTTTTGAAGCACTTATTATATATGCTAGGTGCTATATTTAGTATCATACGTATGGTATTTCCTTTGAAACTCATGGAACAAGGAGCTGCAAGAAGTGGGTACTGCGAATGGAAAACAACCAAAGTTTGGAGCAGTTACCTTATTAGGCAGGTTTTAAAAATTGCAATATTATTGTATAACAACCCCAAATCCTAGTGGCTTTCAACAACAAGCATTTATCTGTCACTCATAAGTCTGTGGGTCAGCTGCAACTCAGGTGCATCTCCAGACTCCAGGTTTCTAGTTGCCCATTTGGTTTTCTCAGCATCCCACCTGAAAGCCCAACCACTTCCTGAAGAAGTCCCTTCCCATGGGGGAGGTAAGAAGCTCCAAGATGAGGGAGAAACAGTACGTGATGATTCTTAAGGCTTCAGCCCCGCATTTATACCCTGTCCACTCTGCTCACATTCCATTGGCCAAGGCAAGTATCACAGCCAGGTCCAGAGTAAATCGGATGGAGAAGTGAGCTTCACCCACAGAAAACCACCAGAAACATAGAAGAATCATAGACAAATAATACTATTCACCATGCTAATCATCAAATGTGTGCCTAGCACAGTGCCTAGCATGCAGTCCTCTCTCAATTAGAATTTTTTGAAAGACAGAATGAGAATATTTAAGCAAAGCTCTGATCGAGGTGTCTTGCTAGTGTTGTGGGGGCAGATCAGTCAAGTTATAGCATACTCTCTGCCCTTCATTTGCCTACAGTCGCCATCACATGCCCAGAGCCAAACCCATAGTAGGTGCTCAATAAATATGTGTTGAATGAATGAATAAGACTACCAAGCAAGAAACCCATGAGGCACATGTAAAACATGTGATGTCCCTAAAGGACCTTTGTTTGCGAACTGAATTCAAAGACATTCACATCTCTGGATGCAAGGCACCATCTCAGTGAGCAGACAATGAGGCAGCTCTGATTCGGCGGCAAAACCATCCTTGGGGCCTAAGAAATGAAAGAGCCTCTTGGGCCCTGCTATGTGGATAGGACACAGAAAAAGGGGGCCCATCTGACCCATAAATTGGAAGACAGCTCAGCTGAAAGGTGAGGGATGAATTGCTTTGCCAACTGGCATAAAAGGGACTTGAGGTTCACACTTGGTGATTAGTCCATTAATTTAATAAAAATCTATTATTTTTACCTTACACATGAAAGGGTAAAAATAGCAAACGTAACAGCTTGATGGAGGTGGTGGGAGGGTGGACAGTGACACAAGGAGGCAAACACATAGTATTTATAAAAGCAATGAGTGGGGAAGGGCACAATTTTTCACTAGTATCAAGATTAAATAGAGGATGTCCCATCCCCACTAAAGTCTGAGAGGTCTATCAACCCATTTGATCATGATAATACAAAGGGCAGGTGGCATTTCTGAGCTTTTTGCAATTTTATTTACAAAATTAGAGGTAAATCTCAATTCCAACATTTGCATTAAATAGCGTAGTACCAAATAGGAGCAAAGACAGCAAGAAATGTAGACAGAGTTGATAAAAATGTTCTAATGCAAATCCTGGGGTGAGAAGTTTGGGAAAAGGAGACTGCAGAATTCTTTGCAGTTAGTATATCACTGATCAGGCCTGCTACAGGAAGTGACCAGCCCAATGATCAGCATGGGTCCCAGAAAATGATCCAAGGATGACATGTATAAGAAAGGAGGAGAAGAGAAATAGTCCAGAGACTTTTCCTGGACTCTTCCTGCAGATGGATTCCCTGGTGCTTCATGAAGAGGGGTATGGGAAGTTGATATGTTTCTCAACATAGTTGATTATGTGTGTTACTTGTGGTTTTCCCCCTATTTTATGCTGTTCATTTTCTCCCTGTTTTATGCTGTTCATTTACCTGTTCACCTTGAATTCATTCCCTGTCCTTCTCCTGTTCTGTTCTGTGTGACATCAGTTCCCTGAAAACTACATTTCCCAGGCTCCCTTGTCCACTGGATTTCTATTAGTTTCAACCAGTGGGAAGAACCAATGGGAAAGCAACATCTCTGCCCTTCGTCGGTCCAGCTCTATGGGTGGTTATGTCTTTCTAATCTTTAATTTGTATCTCTGTCTCATTTAAAGCTCTTCCAACACTGTACACGTTTCGATCTATAGTGTGGATTCAGTTGTTATGAATTAAATCTTTTTGAGTCCCAAGTGTTTTAAAGGCAGGCTCCCTAGAAGCAGAGTCTGAGACATGGATTCTTGAGTAAGTGATTTATTGGGGCAGAGCTCTCGAGGAAGTAGGATGGAGCAAGGGGTGGAACTAATCAAAGATGTGGGTCTCAGCTGGAGTCTGATTTAGGCTCTCTGGAGCATGAATTGAACCACAGAGCTGATTCCACCTGGAGGCAAGGGGACTGGGTTTTTGTGAGTCTAGGTCAGTCAGCCAATGGCTGCTCAAGGATGGGTGGGTGGAGAATTGATAATCTCCACTGGCTTCAAGACCAATGAACAAGACAGCTGTGGGCTCTTAGGGGCCAACACTTGTTGCAGTTAGGCAGGTGGATGTGCTAGTCTGGTAAAGATGATCTAAGCAGGGCGCTATAGTATCCACTGCACCAAGTCAAAAGAACTCCTTTTAAGGTTATTCTCCATTCCTTCCTCAACCATAGCCCACTTCCCAAAAGAGAGGAACCCTATAGAAGTGACATGCAATCATCATGCATTAGCACTGTAGCCAGCAGGAAGTTACAATGCTTCCATTGTGCAGGAAGGTCATCAGAACATCTACTATCAGTGGCTGTGAGACATTGAAACTCTCTCCAGAGAGATGGGGAAAACATTCAGAATAAAACATCTGGCTGGGATGACTTGTGTGCAGCCTTGCCTAAGTTGGAAGTGGCCTTACATTGCGTGGTTTCTCCTTGAAGATTTGAAACAGTTAAATATGATCTATTACTACAAGAAATCTTTTTTCCTTATTACACAGTGAAAAAACAAGTTCCATGGGTTATTCCTGGGATTTTTATTTGCATCTATTCCTCTCCACTCCTGTTAAGAAACCTTAGTCTGGATCTACATGATCTCATTCTTGGATTGCCATGTCAGTTTCTTCATCATTTCCCACTTCCAATCTCTCCTCCTTCCATCTAGCCTCTGTTCAAGAGGCTAGAACCTCTGTAGCTCCTAGCCTGATCATAAAACACTAGTGTCATCACACCTCTTCTAAAATTCCCCAGCTGAAAATCTGTCTGCCACTTAACACTGTCTATGGTTTGGCCCACTGTGCCTTCATCACTGTTTCCTACCACCTTCCAACCCCATCCATCCTCTCCTCCATTGCTGTTCTCTACAGCGGTTCCTGCTCAGGTCCACTGGTGTCTTTGCACCATCAGTAGCCCAGGCCTTTGGGGCCTGGATGCACAGTTCTAACAGATCTTTTAGCTAGTTTCCACTTCTGTAAAATAAGGAACATTATTTAGCTTGTGGATGGACATCTAAGTGAAAAACTGTATTTGTCATGTAATTCTGTGCCTAGCACAGAATTTTTCACATGGGATGTTCAATTAGTCTTTAGTCTTCTCATATCTCTCATCACATTTTCTCCCACAGGAAGCACTGCTCTCTCCCCTTGGAGTGAACTTTGAGTGTCTATGCTAGTTATGCCTCTGCAGAACTTCCTGAACTGCCCCAGCACCAATTCTATTTTCTTATCCCCCATCTGACACACAAGGCCTCTAACAAACTAGCAAGAAATGCCGCTTTAACGTATGTTCTAACTGTTGCTACGTGTGTGGCTTCTACCCACCCTGCAGTGTTATGCCATTCATCAATGGTGCAGGTCCCTCCTTGCCCGGTGTGACTGTCTCAAATGTTAGAACCTATTCTTGATCTGAACTAAACCAGCTCAAATTGATGTCTTGACCTGGAACAATCATTAATACCATACCCCTCCCCGCCCCATTATTCTCCCAAGGAAAGGAAAGAATTTGCACCCTCCTCTGAATTTGTGCAAATTTGGAATATCAAACTATGCTGGCTGAATACAGATTTCAAAACCATTTTCCTTTTATTTCAGATCCAGCCCTCAAAGTCTGGTTGAAAAGTTTGGCTGACATGGTTTGCTTTTCATGACAAAAGGGTGTCTTAGGAAAGGTTTGCCTATTGGGGAGAAAAGCTCTGAAAAGCCCAAGAGTTAAATTCTGCCGGTGTGGCCACAGCTCCTCCAATCCTATATTCCATTATCTTCCTCTGCCCTTGAACAGTTGATAATATGGGGGATGGGGAAGAGAGGAAGAGAATACAAGCCACCTTTTTAAAGTCAGCCTGCTTTGGCTCCGAGAACTGAAGACTATGAAGATCAGAGCAAGTCCATATTCCAAGTCTTCAATGGACCATGTCCTTTGAACATGAAAGCCCTAACTTAGGCTCCCCAAGGCATGGAATCACTTAAGTGATGGTCACCCCGGGCCTAGGTCCAGCTGAGAATAAAGCCAAATATTTCAAGGCTAAAATCTTTATGAGAATGGGACATTTAACTACACCATATATTTCCAAAAATATACTGAAGACCGGAAGTGGGAGGAGACCCAGTGGCTTTGGCTTTCCTCCAGATGCCATCCAGGGCCACGTCTAGAGAGCTCTGCTTTCCCATCCTGGTTATCTACTGTAGGACGATCTGAGCAATGTCACTTCAGTAAAAAAGGGCTCCACCCCTTAAATTTTTCTGTCACTATTTCTCAATTTAAAAAAAGACTGTGTTATGGAAGCAAATGTTTTAGAAATATTTATGTATCAACTCAGCTGCCTTTTGTCTCCTTTGCTTTATCTCTAGATGAAATAGGTTCTGGGTGCAGTGCATAGAAGAACAGGATCCATCTGCTTTCTCATCTGCTGTAGTCCTCTAGTCTCTATGACTGGAGACACTCTCACTAGTCCCTCCAACTCTTTCTGGATCCTAAGGTAGTTAATGGTGTTCTAGGCCAGGCATTCTGTTCTACCCACACAAGACTTGTGTTGGTCTTGTAATGCATGCTTTGTACCAGGGGCATCATCCGGTTGGAGTTTTTTGCTTGATTTATTTTTGTTTTTTGGAATCAAGCTGCTGTTTCACACTCTACTTCCAGCAGGTTGGTTTTGGTTTTCTTTCTCCACCTGCCTTAGTTCCTACAGGAACTTTTTTGCGCTTACCCATTCTGTGTCATCTCCCTGACACTCCCTGTCTTTCCCTCTCTCTCCCATTCTGCCTCCTGCCAAGACATCTTGCTGTTAATTCACCTCTACCAGGATACTCTGTCCTTCTACCTACTGTCCAGATGACATGTTACATCCTTCCAGACCTTTCTGGGTCACTTGCAGCCTTGTGATATATTTTCAGTGCCTGAGAGGCCTCACTAGTCTGCCCTGCCAGACCCTGGTATCTGGCTATATAAGAGGCTATGATTAAGCATCAAGGAATCAGCCACAGCTTGGTGCATAGCTTGGTGCCCTGCATGGAGAACTGAAAATATGGGCCTAGAACTTTGGCTACTTTTTACTGAAGTTATAGTCCTGCATTTATTGGAAATACAATGGTTATAGAGGACCTGGGTTTTAGTCGTAGCCCTACCTTTTATCTACTTTGTCACTCTGGCCAAATCCTTTCCCTTGGTGGGACTCATTTTGCTTATCTGTGAAATGAGCCTTGAAGGAAGAAAATCCTTAAACATGATTCCAACTTCAAAGTGCTTTGACTCCTATTCACTTTGATCTGAGACAGTTCTGCTTTCAGAGATGCATGAAGACCTTGTGAAACTCCTCAGTTTATGTGGACAGAGCTGATCATTCTCTACTTGGTCTTTGTCTATAAACTTTGTCACTTAACTAGGATAATCCTTCCCCAATGACATTTTACTTTATATTGCTTTAATTAGCATCTCATTAAACTAATTCAGCATGTACCTATTTTGTATTGATGTCAAGGTAGAATGACTTTGAGAATGAGTTGAGAAACTGGAACACGAGTGCCTCCCTCCTTCTGGAGATGAAACCACCAAAACTGTCATCTGGGAACCACCCTAAAGTGGCTAGAGCTCCCAGATGCTCCTACCCTATTCTGCCTTTCATAGACCTGGGGCTGGGAATTCTATAAGCTTTCCTAGATGTGCGTTTCCTCTTCTTCCTCTTTTTTTTTTTTTTTGACATGGAGTCTCTCTCTGTCGCCCAGGCTGGAGTGCAGTGGTGTGATCTTGGTTCACCGCAACCTCCACCTCTCAGGTTCAAGCGATTCTCTTGCCTCAGCCTCCCGAGTAGCTGGGATTACAGGCGTCCACCACCATGCCAGGCTAAGTTTTGGGATTTTTAGTAGAGTTGAGGTTTCACCATGTTGGCCAGGCTGGTTTCATACTCCTGATCTCAAGTGATCCACCTGCCTTGTCCTCCCAAAGTTCTGGGATTACAGGCATGAGCCACCACACCTGGCTGAATTTCCTCTTCTTACAGAGAAAGAAAACAAAATCAACCTATACCTTGGGAAGGATCATAAGGACAAGGGTCCTTAAAAGAGTAACTCCGAGCTGACGCAATCAAGGCAGGCTCCTCTCCACGTTTGCCTTGAGAATTCTCCTTGCAGTATGGCTGGACCAAATAATAGCATCTCATGTTTCTATAGTGATTAAAAAACCCACATTATTTTTGCTACCTTATTTGAGCCCCAAAATAACCCTGTGAGACAGGCAAGGCAAATATCTAGCTGTCTACCTGGTGAGCTAGCTATTCTTATTCCCATTTTTTAGATGAGAAAACTGAGTCTCAGGAAGATTGCATGACTTGCCAAAGTCATTTTCCAACCCAGAAATCCCATATCTCAGTCTTTTCTCTTCCATACTTCACCTTTTTTATCTGAGAGTGTGTGCCTCCCTGTTCAGCCATGAGCCTGAGCCTTGCTCTGCAGTGATGAGCAAAGAACCTTTTCAGACAGATTCACAGATCATTTTAATGCAGCTGTGGAGAGGACAATAAACATGATCTCATAGCTCAGTGCGCAGAGGAGCAAGCAAGATTTAATATTATATATGGTCATGGAGCCCGGAGCCCCAGATCCAATCCTCCTGGTGGTGTGACAGATGACTTCATAGCTCCAAAAATATTGTTAGTCAGTTTCTCATAAGCTCCAGTTGTCTAAAGCTTTTGGAAGCATTTATGAGATGGGGAGAGGGGTGGCAGGAGTGGTGCTTATTGCTGCTTTGCTTTAAACAAAATTACAAAATGAGGCTCTTAATTTGCCTGTTTCTCCAGCAGCTCTACCAGCAGATATGCGTGGGTTTATAAGGTCTTTATTTCCTCCCCTCTGCTTTTTAATAGGAGAGTCATTCTTGGGGTAAACCAGATGCTGCAATTACTTGGCAACAAAAGAAGGGACCAGCCATGTGTCTAATTACTAAGGCAACCCCACATATGTGTCTGCTTCCCTCTTATTATGTAAATAGCAGGTAGTCCTATGTGTGGAGAGCAAAACCCACACAAGCTCGTAGATTCATCCATGCATTGCCCTCCAAGAATGACCCTAGAAGGGCTCCCCACATGGGCATGGCAGGGCTGAGACTTTGAGAGTGGGAAGGAAAGGCTTGCCCTTCCCAGCATGGCAGTCTGCTAATGGGGAAAGACTGTCTGGTCTTACAATGTTAGAGGTGGGAAGGCCCCTCCAGACTCCCTGCTGCAGCCTCCTAGTTGGATCTAGCTACAAGGAGGAGTAGGGGACCCCCGCAGCCTGTGGGTGGCTGGTCACGCTTCCTCTCCCAAGGCAATCCCAGAGGGAACAATGATAGTCAGTAACCACAGACTTCCAGAGCCTCAGCACCTGCTGTGGGCCTGGGTAAGAGGGAGCATTCCAAAGATGCCTGCATCCCTTGTGTGCTAGGGATGAAGGCAGAAGGAAACAGAATGCAGGAACAGACTGGGCAGACTGCACGTGTCTCTAGTGCAGCCTACAGGGAACACAGACAATGCTCAGCTGGTCTGGCAGCCTCTATTCTGATAGAGAAGACAGAACCAGCGAGTGAGCTAAAGAGAGAGAGAGCTATCCAGACTGACTCCTAAGTAACTAGGAAATCCAAAGGAAGCTAGAACAGTGCGTGGCTTGCCGATAAAAGTCCACACCGTGAGGCTTATCAGCTGTATTTGTGTGTGTGTATGTGTGTGTGTGTGTGTTTTCACAAAGACATACTGTCCCAGGATTCAGCTACTGAGCTAGGGTTCCTCTAAGTGGACAGAAACTACAAGGCTGCAGAAGTTCTTGTAGACTCTAGAATCTTTGCTAATGTACCTTGGAGCCATAAAACATGCAGGGCAATTTTTAGAAATTGATTTAACTTCTCAAGACATTTTAAAATTCCTTAGAGACTCACTATAGCAAGTAGCAGTGTCTGCTACAGGTGTTTGATGCAGAGGAATGAACTGGGTATCATTCTGTGTGAGCATGAGGACCCTGTTGTGAGGATTAGCCCCATCAACTGATGTCAAGACCTTCCACAGAGCAGAAACCCTCCCAATGCCTGGTTATCTCAGAAGGCTGCAGTCAAGAGTTCTTTCTGTTTGACTTTGCTTTCCCACACAGGTTTTGCATTTTAATTAGTTCCCACTGTTGTTGCTTTTCCTCTGTTTTTACCCCCAGGTTGGCTTTTTGTTATGGCAAAATTAGTACATTGAGAAATAAAGCTTAAAACCTGAAAACTTCCTTACCTCCAACAGTAAAAATCTCAAGTCTCAATCTTATACAACTAGTATAAGCCCAGGTCTTTGGTTTGGTTAACTCAGAAAGACTGCAGACTTTGGAGAGGGATAGACTTGAGGTCAAATCCCATCTTTGCTATTTACTTCTAGGTTACTTTGGGCAAGTTCCTTAACTTCTCTGTGTCTCAGTTTTCTCATCTATTAAGCAGAGATCATTATGCCACCCTTGTTAGGTTGCCTAAGGATTAATCAGTCAGTCATGTACAGATAGCAGCACATGGCAGCTATTCAACAAATGCCACTTCCTTTCCCAGCTGTCCTCTTGTCCTCTTGTTCCTGTCAGCAGCTGTCATTCCCAGACATGGTTCACACGGCCACCATCTATCTTTGTAAAAAGACTGACATAGGGGCTCCTTTAGGGAACCATGAAGGAAAGGGGTAGTCAGGAGCCATTAGCATCTGTTAATCCAAGAATTCTAACATATTTCCTTTGAACAAAGGGCACCACTATTATATACCATGTACATGGGAGTCCTGATTCTCTGTAGAGAGGCATGAGCGTATTTTGGTTAAGTGAGAAGACTGAAATCAGGCAGCCTGGGATCATGTGTCAGCTCAGCCATTTACTAGCAATGTGACATCCTGCAGGTCATGTAATTCGTAAAACCTCAGTTTCTTCATTTGTGAAATGTGGGGAGTAGTTCATACCTAACAGGGTTGATTGTTATATTTATTAATTTAAATAATACTTATTAAGCACTGTTTCAGTTATCTGCTACTATACAACAAATCATTCTGAAACTTAGTAACTTAAAACAACAGTTATGATTTCTCACAATTCTGCCATCTAGGCTGGGCTCAGCTGGGTGGTTCCTCTCCTCTGTGTGGTGGCTGTTGAGGCTGAAACATCTAAGATGGTGCACTCTCTCTCTCTCTCTCTCTGTGCGTGTGTGTGTGTGTGTGTGTGTGTGTGTGTCTGTGACTTCTCCATTTGGTAATTGGGCTTTCTTTTTTTTCTTGTTCATGTTTACTGAGACAGAGTTTTGCTCTGTCACCTAGGCTGGAGTACAGTGGTATGATCATGGCTCACTGCAGCCTCCACCTCCTGGGCTCAAGTAATCCTCCCACCTCAGCCCCAAATGTAGCTGGAACTACAAGTGCACACCACATCTGGCTAATTTTTTAATTTTTTTTTTTTATGGAGATAGGGTCTCACTGTGTTGCCTGGACTGGTCTTGAATTCCTGGCTCAAGCAATCCTCCTGTCTTGGCCTCCCAAAGTGCTGGGATTACAGGCATGAGTCACCGCACCCAGCCTTAACTGGGCTTTCATACAATGTGGTAGTATCAGAGTATTTGGTCACCCTACTTGGCAGCTGGCACCCAAGAGAGAGGAAGCAGAAACTGCCAGCTTTCCTAAAGGTTAGACCTAGAACCAGCACAGTGTCATTTCCACCAATGTTTATTGGTCAAAGAAACTCAAAGGGCCAGCCTAGATTCAAGGGAAGGAGAAATAAGCTTCATCTTTTCAAATGAGGAACCATGTGCATCCAGGAGGGGAAGGAATTGATGGTGGCCATGTTTGGAGAAGGGTTACCATAAGCACTTAGTCTGGTGCCTAACTAAGGACTAAGTAGGACTAAGTAGGAGTCATTTACAAAAAATGTTTGGTAGAGATCAGATTGAGATCTCTAGACACATTAGGATAGGAAATAAAACATGGACTTTCCATTCAAAATTTCAGGAGATCCTGGGTCCTTCAGACTGATGAATCAGAAATAATTCCTAGCAAGCATTCCCAACAGAAGCACCAAGAATGCCACATTCATCCTCATCCATTAAATCTATGCCTTATGTAAATGCAAAGGCTTATGCAAATGGCCTCTCGGAGTGTTGTAAGCAGTGCAGAGGTCCTGCTTTCTGTGGAGGTTAATGCAAATAAATGTGATGAAACCTACAAACAGGTGGTTCTTGCAATGCGGAGCAGAACATGGAACCCATTTTACAGGAGCCTGTTGGCCAGAGTTGAGTCAGAGTAACTACCAGAAAACCATTTGGGTGAGAGATCTCTACTACAATAAGGAATGATTTTGTGTGTCTATCATTCTGTCAGGCATGAGACAGTGATGGATGTGGAAGAGGATATTGCTGCAGCTAGCCGGAGGTGGAGAGAACACGGATATTTTCATTCATTGGACCTCAGTGCAGTCAGGGCTTCATAAATGCCAGGACCAATCTGCTCTCATAAAAGAATCAGTCGTTTTTCCCCCACACTCCCAGATCGGCAAAGTTGTATAATGTTCTTCTGAAATAAGAATGGAATAAAGGATAAAGCAAGGCAAGGAGTGGTTGGTGTGTATGCTCCGAGCCCAAAGATGATGATCAAGAAAAATTTCATTAAAATGTTTGAGAAAACAGACATATCCGCTGGACTAAATTTCCAGCTTTTGCTCTCACAGCTTATACCAGTATATTTAATTACAGGAAGAAATAAAGCATCGCAATGATGTAAAATCCTGCCTTTTGAGGTTACAAAATATTCAGTTTACAGAGTTAAGGAAAAAGATTTTATCTGTTACATGCTCTGTATCTGGACTCTGGACAGATTTAAATGTGTTTTGGGCACACAGCTTGTGGTCACAGTAAAATTGTGAAGCAATCAACTTTTTCTTAGGCCCGTTCTCTGCCTTTATTCACCAATTTTACCTTCGATTTGGCCTTCCTTTCACCCTGTCCTTGAGTGCCAGTGCTCTGGTGATTCAAGGCCCATAGCACAGCAATTTATACTAGAAGAATAAGTTTGTTTTTTTTTATGCTGGTAAAAGAATTTCTTTAGAGAGGAAATTGTCTCTGTTTAGGGAAATACCTTGATAAGCTGTTGGAGGGTGGAAGGGAGCAGCGCCCTGAGGGCATGGTCTGAAAGGAGGTAGGGAAACAGACAAGATGACTAAAGGGTTCTGCATGGGAAGCAAATAGCAGCTGGGAAACAGAAACACGGCAGAGAAAGAAAATAAACGCCTAGCCCCTTAGCCAGGAGCTGACACCTAAGATGGTAGAAATCACCCAGTGACTTGTTTTCAACAGTGTTAATTACTATAACAGCGGGTTCCCAAACTTTCTTGGTTCACAGCTTCCTTGGTGCCTCTGGCATTTTTTCATAGTGTCCCCTGGGCCACAAGAAAGAACAGTTCCTTTATTAAGTAGCAAACCCAACCAGCTTAATATGTCCTAACAACTTAATTGTGGTTTGAAATAATAATGTAAATTTAAATAAAAATAATGTTACTTTATTGTTAAATAACTACAATGATTTATTAATCACATATGTGTACACTGGATGTGCACACCTCTCAAACTTTGGACTAAGATTGGACACCCCCCACCCTCATTTCCTGTTCCATGTTGATTTTCACTCAGTGCTTGCTTTTTATCTCAGTAACCCTGAATATCCAGATTCACAAAGATATCATTGAAAGGATGTGCCGCAATCTACTGTTGAAACAGTGAACTACTTTGAGCTAACAACTTCTGCTCCAGTACCTAAGAGATACTGAATATCGCTTTGTTTACCTTGAAAATGTAAAATACCTCATAGAATTTCTTTTCTTTGTATTTTTTTTTTTTTTTTGGAGACAAAGTCTGGCTCTGTTGCCCAGGCTAGAGTGCAGTGGTGCTATCTCAGCTTACTGTAACCTACACCTCCTGGGCTCAAGCCATCCTCCTACCTCATGCTCCCTAGTAGCTAGGGCTACAGGTGTGTGCTACCACACCCGGCTAATTTTTGTATCTTTTGGAGACGGGGCTTCGCCATGTTGCCCAGGCTCGTCTCAAGCTCCTCGGCAGATTGCTTGAGCTCAGGAGTTCGAGACCAGCCTGGGCAACATGGCGAAAAACCCAAAGTGCTGGGATTTAAAAAGGCGTGAGCCACCATGGCCGGCCCCCTCATAGCATTTCCGTAAGTTGGCTACAGCATCTCAAGGTGTCTCCGCACACAGTTTGGGAAACGTAGTGCTGTAGTATTTACTTGTAAGTTGCCGATGTTGACTGCCACGTCAAGTTCTTCTGCCTTTCCTAACTTTCAGCGTGTTCTTATAAACCTGAAACAATCTTCTGTGAGTCTAAAAGTGGATGAGTGTCAGAGATGGCTCAAGGAGGCAGGCTGGGAACAACTCATACATGGGGGGGAAGAGAAACCCAGAACATAACTAGTTCAGCAGAGACAGGTGCTCGGTGTGAGTGACCCTCTGGACATAACTTCCAGAGTCCTGGTAGAATATCAGGTGGCATTTCACTTTCTACAGGATTCAGAATGGAATTTGAGCCAATCTTCAGACTCAATGACTCCAGTTGGCATTGTTTAAAAGAAGTGAACACCTATTATGTTAGTTGTTGGCAAGGTTTGTAGAAAATTTAATGTAAATTACCATCATTGCTAAGCCTAAAATTAGAGATGTGAGTCATGGGGACCAAAAAAAGAATCCTTCTATAGGATATATATATGTATGTATGTATGTATTTTGAGATGGAGTCTCGCTCTTGTCGCCCAGGCTGGAGTGCAGTGGCATAATCTCAGCTCACTGCAACCTTCGCCTCCTGGATTCAAGCAGTTCTCCTGACTCTGCCTCCTGAGTAGCTGGGGTTACAGCCATGCACAATCATGCCCAGCTAGTTTTTGTATTTTTGGTAGAAACCAGGTTTCACCATGTTGGCCAGGCTGGTCTCGAACCCTTGACCTCAAGTAATCCACCTGCCTTGGCCTCCCAAAGTGCTGGGATTACAGGTATGAGCCACGGCACCTGGCCTATAGAATATATTTTGATGACAGAGGTCAAGGCGGAAGCCAGTTTTGACAGCTGTCATTTTACATTAATAGAGCAATAGTGCCACACTTAACTAGCAATTTGCCCTTCTTTTGCTGAATCCATTACTGTGCCTCACTTTCCTTGTCCTGTATGAACCATCATGAAAATGTTGTCCTGTGAAAGACAATGTCCATATTTAGTGACCCTCTGAGTTCATACTCCCAATTCCCAGGTCAAGGTCAGGTCCAGGTCAGTAGCAGCAACTGGCAAATTTTTTTTTATGAAGAGCCAGACAGTAAATATTTTAGGCTTTGCAGACAGTATCATCTCTGCCACAATTGCTCAGCTCTGCTGTTGTAGCATGAAAGCAGCCACAGACAATACATAAAGGAATGAGCATAGCTGTTTTCTAATAAAACTTTATTTGTAAAAATAGACAATGGGCCATATTTTGCCTATGGGCTGTAATTAGCAAACTTCTGATCCAGGAAGTGACAATTTGTGATAGAATGCATATGATATAGTTCAGTAGCCACTGTAATAAAATACATAGCTGCAATGAGTTTGCCAAACTCACAGTTAAGGGCACAGTCTTCCAACACAACTACCACATCTGCTCAAAATTCAGATACCAGCTGAAAGTTTAGAGAGCTTCAGGGCCACCCTCACTTCTGACCAACTGGCTACAAATTCAAGGGTCCCTACCCACAGACTTTCTCAGGCATGACAATTTGCTAGAACTACTCACAGAACTTAGGAAAGAGCTATGTTTCCAATTATGGTTTTATTATAACAAAAGGATACAAGTCAGAACAAGCCAAAGAAAGAGATACGTAGGGCCAAGATCTGGGAGCTTCCCAAACAGAAAACTGTCAGTCATCTCCTGGGGAGTCCTTGATAATGTTACCTCCTCCCAACTACAATTAGTGATAATACTCAAGAGTACTGCCAACTGGGGAAGCTGAACTGAGTTCCACTGTCCAGTGTTCTTATTGGGGTTTGATCACATATTGCCTATGTTAGCTGATCTTTAGTCCCTCTGCCTCTCCTGGAGATTGGGGCTAAAAGTTTTAGTTTCCAGTTCTTAAACTGAAACTGGGAAAAGATCAGAACTGATACGGCATGGGCCAAAGTCCCCATCATATTGCATTATTAGGCTGTCCAGTGGCTAAAAACCCCTGGCAAACAAAAATACTTCTATGAAACAAGACATTCAAGGGACCTAGAGATCAGCTTCTAGCAGCTGAGGACAAAGAACAGAACTTGCTTTGGGTAAAGTTAATTCTTCACTACACAATAATACATAACAGCTTCAAAATTCCCTAATTTTATGGTTTCCATTTATTTATCTGTTTCTTCATTCATTTATTTATTAAAGCAACATTTTTGCCATTCTAACAGTCTCCTAAATGGTCTCCCAGCTTCCACCCTTTCCCTTGTTTAGAGCGATCCCCTGTAAACCTAAGTTAGATTTTGTCACCCCTCAGCTAAGGACTCTCCAATGGCTCCCATCTCAGACAAAAAACCAGAGTCCTTACAATGTTGTACAGGGCCCTTCATGACCTGGCTCCCATCACCTGACTACCCTCATCTCCCTCTCCCCTCCTCTCACTCCTCTCCAATCGTAATCAGCTTCCTTGCCATTCTTCACACATATGAGGCCAAGGCCTCTCCTTTGCATTGTCTGTTCTCTATGCCTGGAATGTAAGTATCCTCCAGAGAGCCATGTGGCCATCCCCTCCTTCCTTCAAATCTTCACTGAAATGTTACTTTCACAATGAGGCCTATCCTAACCACTCCATTAAAATTGAGACCTCCCTGAGCCCCCTGCCCTCAGCACCCCGGTCCTACTCTCTATTTTTCAAATATTTTTAAATTGTGGCAAAAAGTGCTTAATATAAAATGTACCATCTTAAACCATTTCTAAGTGTACAGTTCAGTAGTGTTAAGTAACTCACATTGTTTTAACTAATATTTGGAACTTTTTCATTTTGCAAAACTGAAACTCTGTGCCTATTAAACAACAACTCCCCTTTTCCTCCCCCTCCAGCCCCTGACAACCATCATTCTACTTTCTGTTTCTATGAATTTGACTACTCCAGGTATTTTATGAGTGGAATCATATAGTACTCATTCTTTTGTGTCTGGCTTATTCCACTTAGTATATTTTTCTCAAGGTTTCTCCATGTTGTAGTGTGTGTCAGAATTTCCTTCCTTTTTAAGGCTGAATAATATCCCACTGTACTATGGTCTGAATGTTGGTGTCCCCCCGAAATGCATATGTTGAAACCTAGTATCCAGTGTGAGAGTATTAAGAGATGGGTCCTTTGGAGAAGTGATTAAACCATGAAGG
Source organism: Homo sapiens (assembly GCF_000001405.40). Lineage (NCBI taxonomy): Eukaryota > Metazoa > Chordata > Mammalia > Primates > Hominidae > Homo > Homo sapiens. Next base: position 40,839,821 of record NC_000003.12, on the reverse strand, counting down.
CTCCACCCTCATGAATGGGATTTGTGTCCTTATAAATAAGAGAGGTTGAAGGGAGCTGACTTGCCCTTAGGCCATGTGAGGACACAGTCAGAAGGCCAGATCTATGAAGCAGAGTGAAACCTTACCAGACACTGAATCTTCTGGCACCTTGATTGTGGAATTTCCAGCCTCCAGAATTGTGAGCAATAAGTCTATGTTGTTTGTAAATTACTCAATCTAAAGTATTTTGTTATAGTAGCCTGAACTAAGACAGAAATTGGTACTGAGAAGTGGGGTGCTATTATAACAAACAGCTAAAAATGTGAAAATGTAGAAATGGCTTTGGAACTGGGTAATGGGTAGAGACTGAGAGTTTGGCGGTGCATGCTGAAAAAAGCCACGTTGCTGTGAACAGAGCATAAGGGTGATTAGTGTGAGGGCTCAAAAAAAGAAGAGAGCCATAGAGAATGCCTCAATCTTCTTAGAGATTACCTAAGAGATCATGATTAGAATATTGGTAGAAATAGGGATGATAAAAACCGTTCTCATGAAGTCTCAGACAGAAATTGAAACATATTATTAAAAACTGGAGGAAAAGTGATCCTTGTTATAAAGGATCAGTGATCACTTGGCTAAATTGTATTTATGTCCTAGTGTTTTGTGGAAGGCAGAGCTTGTGAGTGCAGAAATAGAATAGTTGGTGGAAGAAATCTCTTAGAAAAGTGTTGGGGGTGTGGCATGGCTGCTCTTGACTACTTATAGTAAAATGGAAGAAGAAACAAAAAAAATTAAAGATGGAATTAATAATCAAAAGAGAAGCAAAACTTAAAGATTTTTGAAAATTCTCAGCCTGGCCATATTGTAAAGAATGGAAAGGCATGTTTGGGAGATACCACCAAGGGCATGGCCAAGTGACCATTTGATAAAGAGATTAATATGGGTGGGCAGAAGCCTAGTGCTATTCTTTATGACAATGCAAGAATGACCTCAAAGTCATTTTGGAGATCTTTGAGGGTGCCCTACCCATCACAGGCCCAGAATATCTGGGCCTTGAGAGCAGAATGATTTCGAGGCTCCACTCCCCTGACTACAGTGCAGCACTCCTTGGCCACTCCACTTGTGACTCAAGTAGGTGCAGCTTGTCCAGCCCTTCCAGAAAGCACAGGTGGTAAACCTTGGCAGCATCTATGAGGTTCCATCTCCACCAGGGTGCAGGGGTGGATGAGCTGTCAAGGGATGGCTACCCTCACCTAGATTTGGAAGGATGCCCCAAAGAGCCTCAAGGCCCAGGAAGAGAACCACAGCAAGGGTGGAACCACTATAATGAGCCCCAACTAGGGCAATACCCAGTGGAACCCTGAGGGTGGGACCACCTCAGAAAGTCCCCACTAAGGCAATGCCTGGTGAAGCCATGGGGGTCAGGGCTATTCCCAATACCCCAGAACTATAGAGCCCCCATTGTGCAACCCCAGCCTGGAAGAACTGCAGGTACAAAACTCCAATCTGTGAGAGCTGCCACACCCAGGAACCCATAGCAGCAGGGCCACCCAGAGCCTTGGGAGACCAAACCCCACCTGTGTGTCCAGAAAGCGGGACATGGAGTCAAAGAAGATTATTATGGAACATTGAGATTTAATGTTTGCCCTGTTGAGTTTTAAATTTGGTTGGGACCTGTTAGGCCTCCATTCTTTCCTGTTTCTCCTTTTTAGGATGGAAAAGCCTGCCCTATGTCTACCCCACCATTGTAGTTTAGAAGCACATAACTTGTTAGATTTCACGGACTCATAGTTGGAGTGGAATTTGCCTCAGGATAAATCACACCTTTGAGTCTTATGTGATTTAGATGATATTTGAATGAGACTGTGGACTTTAGACTTTTGCATTGATGTTGAAGCAAAGACTTTTGGGGTTATTGGAATGGAATAAATGTATTTTGCATGTGAGAAGGACTAAACTCAGGGGGCCAGAATGCTTTCATCTGCTTGTTGGTATTTCCCCCAAAATGTATATGTTGAAATCTAATATCCAATATGATAGTATTAAGAAGTGGAGGCTTTTGGAAAATGATTCTCATAATGGCCCTGCCCTCATGGATAGGATTAATACCCTTATAAAAGAGGTTGAAGGGAGCTGTCTGCCCTTCCACCATATGAGAACACAGTGTTTGCCCCTTCCGCCATGTGAGGACATAGCTGAAAGCCACCCCCTTTGAAGCAGAGAGCAAACCTTCGCTAGGCACTGAATGTATTGGCAGCTTGATCTTGAAATTCTCAGCCTCCAGACCTAAGAGCACTAAATTTGTTGTTTATAAATAACCCAGTCTAAGGAATTTTGTTATAGCAGCAGGAACAGACTGAGACACATTGTACATAAATATGTGTCTGTCTATCTACATATCTATCTACTCACATATTGTTTATCCATTTATCCATCAGTGAACACTTAGGTTGCTTTCATCTCTTAGCTGTTGTGAATAATGTTACAATGAACATGAGTGTGTAGTCACCTCTATTTTTTTCATGGCATTTATCACTTTATAATATATTATGTAATTTACTTATTTATCATGTATATTGTTTAGTATCTATTTCACCTCACTAGAATGGAAGCTCCATGAGGGATTTTTGTCTTGTTTGTTCCCTGATGTATTCCAAGCATAACAGGGTCTGACATGCAATAGATAGTCACTAAATAGTGCTATTAAGTAAATTAGTAACAAGCTTTTGTCATATACTAGGTCCTCTGCTAGACCTTGTGGAGGCACCAGCAAATAAAATACGGAATTTACAGCTTATTTATCTTTAACCCTTGGGATAGTTAAAGAAAACTAATTGGCAGACCCAAAATTGGAAAAACAAGCTTATTTGCAAGAATGCTATTAGTTCCTCAGCTTACCTACTTTGCTTCATGTGGGTCCCTTGCTGGATTTCACAGGCTTACAGCTGGAGGGGAATCACTACCTGTGTTACATGTGTATCCTAATGACTAGAATAAGCTGTTTCTAGCTCTTCATTTAAAGTATACATGATGTGAAGAGATCTGAATAATTGAATTGTAATTAAATAATGATTCTATTTTTATGTTATCTCTTCTGGAATAATTCCACCCACCAATCTGGCTTAATGGACAAGTGTATTGCAGGATTCTTCCAATTCTTCATTTAAGATTACCATCCACATGGAGAAAGGTTTCAAATGTTTTTCTCACCACACGTCTGTAGAATTACTCTCATTTCCAAAGTTTAGGTGATAGCCATTTTTAAAATCAGTAATTTTGCTTGAACAAAATTCCAGTTTCCCTGAAATAACTAAGCACCCTCATGGGGTGTACTATACTGGGGGTTTACCTGTGGAGATCTCAGGAGCTCTGTTCCACTCTTTGGGAGTATGTAATCAATGCAGTGGATTCTCTTTTCTGCTTCTGCTTGGTCTGACATTAAAATTATTATTTTTACTCCCTCTTTTCAGCAAATAGAAAAGTTTCTTTGCTCATTTTTTCCTATTAAAAATGTAGTTCATGATTATTCCAGAAAATACAAATAACAGAAAAAAACAAAAAAGGACACTAATTATTCCAACTGCTGTTAACAGCTTGGTGAATATAATTCTAGATCTGCACTCTCCAAATTAATAACCACTAGTCCCACATGGCTATTAAGCACTTGAAATGTGGCTAGTCTGAATTTAGATATGTTGTAAGAGGAAAATGCACATCAGATTTTAAAGACTTAATATGGAAAAAGGATATGAAATATCTCATTAATAATTTTAGGATTGATTACATGTTGAAATTAAAATATTGTTAATATATTAGGTTAAATAAAACATATTATTTGTTATATTAGTTTCTTTTTATCTTTTTAATGTGGCTACTAGGAAACATAAAAATATATTTGTGGTTTGCATTATATTTCTGTTGGACAGTGTTGCTCAGAAGATAATTTTCTGTGTATCTCTGTATATAAATACATACTGTAAGAGAAGGATCATGGTACTTCTATTTCATGACTCCCATTCTTCACTCAATAATGTATTTCAGCATATTTCCATGTCTTTGGACATATTTCTTTAAAATTATTTGTAATAGTCGCAGCATTTCATTGTAAAAGTGGGCCATAATTTCTTCAATCAACATGCTTTTAGTAAACAGTGGAATGTTCCCATTTTTCACTAAACAAAAAGCATTATAATAAATATCCTTGAACCTACATTTTTGTCTATGTGACTATTTTATTACACTAAATTTCCAAACGTGGAATTGCTAAATCAAAAAACACACATTTTTAAGGTTTTTGATACTTTATAGTTTTACAAGCTAAAAACTACCATGGCAGTCTAAAAAATGTGGTGCTAATTTAAACTCCATCAGTAGACTATACCCTGGTTCATTTCCTTATAGCTTTCTTTTATTGACTGTTATAATTTTAAAGAAAAATCTCATTGTTTTTATTTTCTTACTTCTGTTGTAAGATGGAAGGTTTTTACATTTTTATTTGTTTTTATTAGTACTTTGTAACTCATCTTTTGTAAACTAACTGTTCATGTCTGTAGCCCATGTTTCTTTTGGAGAATTCATCTTTTGTTACTGACTTATAAGGATGTTTTTATAGATTAATTATATTAATCCTTGGCCACACACGTTTCATATTTTTTTAGTTTATTTGCTTTTTAATCGTTTATGCTTCTTTTTGATGTTCAGAGGTTTTTAATCCCTACATAATTTTCTTTTAAGATAACTGCCCTTGAGCTTATGTTAAGGAATTCCTTTCATACTTTAAAAATTATATTGTTATTCAAGTATAATGTCTTCTAGTATGTTCTTGGTAAAACTTTTTACATTTATTCTCTTACACCATATGGAATCTATTTTTGTGTAGAAATTGCAAGGCTTATCTTTTCTAAATATTTAGCTAGATAACCCAACTCCATTTATCAACCATCTGTCCTTTCCTCATTGGTTTAAAGTCAACGAACGTGAAAGGATCAAGTATATACTAGGTCAACCCCATGGAAATTGGTAGAAGCAGAAAGAGGTATGTGTTTGTGTCCAGGATACAGGTGGGCAGGAATCAGGGTAGGCTGATCAGCAAGGAGGCAATAGCGTGCCAGCCTTCTGTTGTGTCCCAGAAAAATGTGCAAATACATCCAGCTTTGCATTTAATTGCATGAGATTGACAGATCTCCTGAATCTGTCCAGTGGAGTTATTGGGATACTGACTCAAACATGAAGGTCTCTAATCTGAAGAGTTGTGGAAAGCAAATTAAAGACCTAGAGAGGAAACTCATACACCAGGTAAAGAGAGGCACAAAGATGCTACTCTACTTTTTATGTAGTCACACTGGGATATTCAGCAGCCCCCAAACTCAGACTAGACTGCTCAGTCTCAGCCCTCTCTTCCTACTGATGGCTTGTCTAAACTGTGATTTTCTGCTGCAGTAGATATTGCTGGTTGCCTCTCGCGCAGCCACTCTCCACCCTATCAGTGTCCACAGTCTTGTTTAGTTATCCACCCTCCCACTCCAGGAAGCTGACTCCACCCCATTCAGCACCAGGGGCAGACCCTGGTTGACTCGGAACAATCGGAACGTTATACCCTTTGAATCTAGTCATTGGTCCAGGAGTGGACATGTGATGTAAGCCATCCTGTCGTTGGGAATTAAGGTCTCTTGCTTGGAACACTGGGGCAAAAGCATTGCCTCTCACCCACTGGACACAAAAGGGGAAACAAAGGCACCACCTGCTGCTGTCAACCATCAACCAACCAGCCTTAGAACAAAGTCAGCACTGTGCAAGGGAGTGAGAATAGAAGAGAGGAAATTCCTTAGTGAGATTGCTAAGCCACTGGATCTATCAACCCTGAAGGCCGTCCTAACTCAAGGCTTCTGTTACTTGAGTCAATAAATTTTTGAGTGATGTTTTCTGTTGTATGTAACCTAAGATTCCTAATTGATACATCCTGGCCTAGGGATTCCTGGCTTAAACACTACCTTCTCCATGACTTCCATAGTCAAGCCAGCTACAAGGGATCCCTCCCTCAGATGACCCTTGCTCTGAGCATATGTCGTGTCAAAGTTCGGTCCTAGGAGAAGGATTCAAAATCAATGAACAACATGCCTACCTGGACATCTGATGGAGAGGCTGAACCTTTGGGCTGGACTCTTTTTTTCTTGACATTTCAGGGGACATTAAGTGGTCACCTGATCTGCTGGACCCCTTAAAATGAAGGTCTCTGCTTTATCCATCTGGTCCACTCATAGGCAGCCTGTGATAAAAATGAACATTTAAAAAGGTAGAGAAAGGCCAGGTGTGGTGGCTCATGCCTGTATTCCCAGCACTTTGGGAGGGTGAGGCAGGTGGATCACTTGAGCCCAGGAGTTCAAGACCAGCCTGGACTACAAGGAGAGACCCCATATCTACACAAAAATTAGATAGGCGTGGTGGCATGTGCCTGTAGTTCCCAGCTGCTCGGGAGGCTGATGCAAAAGGATTGCTTGAGGCTGGGAGGTTGAGGCTGCAGTGAGCTGTGATCAAGCCACTGCACCATGCCTGGGCCACAGAGTGAGACCCTGCCTCATAAAATAAAATAAAATAAAATAAAATAAAATAAAATAAAATAAAATAAAATAATAAAACAGTAGAGAAAACTCCAGCCACTTACTCATGGTAATTGCTATAGTTATTCCTTCATAAATATGACAGGATTACCAAGATTCACTAGCTGTTGAAGCAAACAAGTGAAACAAAGGAGATGGGCTGATAAGATCAAATAGAACAAGTGACCCCAGGAAAGCAGAAATAACTTTTGGAGAAGAAGAAAACCTCAAAGAAATCTAATTGCCTCCCAGAAAAAGTTGAGTGGCTACTGCATCCATTTAAACAAGGGCACACGGCCATATAAAGGAGCAATAAGAGAATAAGAAATAGTTTACAAAAGTTCACAAATACAATTAGGAAAATTAAAAATATGATCACTACATTAAACATTGAATGCAGGGGCTATAATTTAAAATTTCCTGGGATGTTAAGCAAGAGAGGGATGGAGCAGAGGAGAGAGAAGGGGGATGAGAAAGCAATTCATGGCAGGGCTGGAACTGGGAGAAAGGTCTAACCAGGAGGGGGAACATCCATCAAGTAAAAGTCTAGAAAGAGAAAACAGAAAATATAGGGGAGAAAATATCTTAAAAACAATAGAAGACATTTTCCAGAGCTAGAGAAAGACACAAGACTTCAGATGTAGAAGGCCCAGAAATTATATATATATTTTATAATTTTATACATTATACTTTTATGTTTGTAATAACTACATGTATATGTATGTATATATAATTGAGACTCTGTTTGCCCTACTAGCATGTAAGCTCTGAGAATGCAGGGACTTTGACTATTTTTTTTAATTGCTGTGTCCCTACTGCCTAGGATCTGACCCAAATAAATAAAATAAAAATAAAAATATAACTAATCCAAATCAAAAGGAACAAAAGAGGGTGACAGCGATAGTATAAATGACCTAAAATGCTTGCTTTTCAAAGGAGAGCATCAATGGGATATTTCTTGATGTTGACAAATCAAGAAAAAATACTATAGGACTTCCATATCAAGATGATAGATGGAGCACATGGGTATATTTTTACTCTGTCTTGAAATCCCAACAAAACAACAGTAAAGGGGCTTTTTAAAAGACAAAAAAAAAACCCATAGGAACAAAAGGAAAGAGTAAAGTATAACATCAGAAAAATTTTGGAAGTTGGGAAGCAAATGGTTTGGGACTAACTCTCAACTGACCTGGGACAGCTGAATCCCAGGCTGGTAGTAGAGAAAGTTCTAAGACAGCTTCACTGACAGGGATGGGGTGCAAAGGGTGTGTGGTTTGATGAGGGCAGAGGTGAGGTAAAAGAGGTCTGGGCTCTCATCTTCTGAAAAAAAACAATAGATACTGAAAAGTTGAGAAGCGAAAACAGAAAAAAGAATTCTTAGTAATATGGAGGTAACTACCAAAAGAATCAGCCAGAAGAATTGAAAGTACTTGCCTCTGAGGGGAACAAAATCAGAAGGAAGCTTCTGTTGTTTGTAACAAACTTTATTGAAGAATTTGACTCTGTAAGTTAAGTTTACTCATATAACTATAATATTTTCTCAAATTGTTGAGTAACAGTAAAAAAGTTATACACCACTAGCTAAAAACATAGTTAAAAGTACGATCCTTTGGAGAGTAGGATTATGAGGAAGGGGGCTAGATGAAGTGCACACATATTTCCATACCCTTAAGTACTGTTCCAACTTTTATCTCCATGCATGTTCAGCAAATATCTATATTTACCTAGAGACATATATTGGTTGCAAAAATGGTCATAATAATTGTCTTCCCTGTATCCCTGCCCTTGTGTGGTATCCTCACGTTGTCTCCAGGCTTGGTCACTTGACTTGCTATGGTCAGTGGGACAATAGCAAATGTGGTACAAGTAGATGCTTGAAAATTGCTTATGTATTGGAACTTGCCCTCTTTTGCTGCTGGGACCCCTCATTACCGCTACCATGTAAAAAAGCCTGGGCTAACCTGCTAGAGGGTGAGAGACCAAATGGAGCAGATATCAACTGTTTCAGCTGAGGCCATCATAGACCAGCCAGTCCCCAGTAACCTGGCAGCCAACCATGGATGTGTGAGCCCAGCAAGACCAGCAGAAGAGCCACCCAGCTGAGGACAGCTCCAACTCCCTAGTCACAGAATCATGAGCTAAATAAAGGTGTATATTAAACTTCTGAGGACAAGTGATTATGTATCAAGTACTAACTGACAGAGATACATGCAGATATAGAAGTAGAAAATAAAATAGAAACAAAGATATATAATAGAATTTTTGGATCCCAACTCAAATTTATAAGATCATGCCAGAAAGTGAATCCTGAGAATTTATATTTGAAAATTTCCACAATGATTCTAATACAACCTGGACAAACATTTGAGAACCATTGGTATAGAACAAAGACTAAAGAGTTTGGAGATCTGGGTTCCAAACCAACTTCTTCTCCCTACTAATAGTGTAATCTTGGGCAAGCTATTTAACTACTCTGAGCTTCAATTCTTTTTCCCAGTAAAATAGAGGAAAGTTGTTATGAGGATTAAATGGTCTTGTACATAAAAAGTGTCCAGGATTGTACACAAAATTTCTTCCCCTTCCTCCCCCACGAACCCTGATGGACCCTCACAGAAGCAGCCAATTTAATGTATAATTCCAGAAAGCCTGCAGAGTAGTATAATATGAGATTTTTCTTGTCCTTTCTATTTTAATAAAGCACAGAAGAGAGAGAAAGTTTGGTGGAAAGCAACCCTCAGAAGGGTTTTATTTCCCTCATTTGTCAGCATGACTTTAATAAAAATGTGATAGTGTGAAATGAGAAACTTCCAGGGAAGAATGGAACAGGCCATAAGGAGAAAACAGGGTTTTTATCAGACTCATGATTTTGAACAAATGATTTGGAAAATCTCAAATACAAGACCAGAAGTTTCTAGTAAAGGTGCAAGAAATCATAGAAGCAGGACCAATAGCATGACAGCAACTTCAGAGTGTAAAATCTCCTTCATGATTTGTTGGAGTCAATAGAGTGAATTTGGACGACCAGGGGCAAGCTTCATGGCTTCATGAAAGTCATGTCACCTGTCTGGGCCCCAGTTTTCCTATTTGTAAAGTAAGAGGCTTGTATTCATTGATTCCTGTGGTTCTTTGGAATGCTAGCATTCTATTAATTTATAACTAGACCTTTTTTTTCTCCTTATCTAACTGTATCATACTTCAATCCTCCATTTTGAAAGGAAACTGGGCAACCGTTAAAAACAAACAAGTGTCTCTTGGTGTTGACCTGATCCCTGATTTTTATTTGTTTTCATTCAGAGAGAAAGATAACTATGTTTGTGGCCCATCATCTATGTCTGTGTTTCTTATCATTTTTTTCAAATTTGCAGCACCATACTATCGGAAGAAGAACTACATGCATTGCCTCAATTTCCCCCAGGTGATCAGATTTGGGAGGACAAAAATAGAATGGCTTGGTGACATCAAAAAAAAAACAAAAACAAATGAACAGCTATAATTATTGGCCAATCTTGTGTATAAATGCCTTATTGCTCCCACATCAGCCAGAAACAGACACACACTCAGGACATTCACCTTAGCTGTATTACAAACTGCATCATCAGTTCATATCAGAAAGAGAAAGATACTCTGTGTTTCTAGTGACCAGAGCCCCAGGCTTTAAAAATTTTAACCCAGGTTTCTGTTATCTGAGTATCTGTCCCCAAGCTTGGGCCCCTTCCTGACATGATGGTACACACAGCCTCTGATGAAAGAGGAATTAAAATGTGAGAGAGTTGTGATTGAATACCATTAGACAAGCTTTACCAGTTCTGGTAAAGACCTCAGAGAACCATCCATCTGGCCTAAGCAATCTGTTATAATAATGCTTGAAATGTGAAACTATTTAAAATCTAATTTTAAAATCCTATAGAAAGCAATGATGGCATTTTTTAAAGTCAAAGTGAACATTTTAATATTGACATTTGTGGATCTTTCCCAGTGTGGTCACAAAACCACACTGGAAAACACAGACACAGAGCTAACAGAGAATCAAGTAATTCCAGCAGGTATGTGATCCGTGTCAGGCCACTGTGGTTCTTAAAGTAGACCTATAATGTACATACTGCATTAACTGAGTTCACTGGCAGCATATCTTAAATTATAGGCATAGGCTGGGTGGCTCTCTACCCTTGGAAGAACCAGTACATTATTGGGCAGGCCAGCACTCGCCCCACTTAGTAGAGAAAAGGGAATGGACTTACCCCATGTCAGTGATTAGAACCTTGGTTCACCAACTGTACTCTGTGAACCAGCTGCATCAGCATCACCTGAGAGCTTGTTAGAAATACCTTCAGTCCCACACCAGACCAACTGAATCAGAACCTGCATTGTAACAAGTTCCTAAGGTGATTCATGTTCATGTTAAAGTTGAAAGAACACTGGGGTGAAGCCTCTTCTTTGTCCAGGTAAGATTATTTTCTCCTTGTGAAAGACTGCAAAAAACGGTCACAGATTTCTCCCACTTCTGTTTTCAGGTGCCTTTGCTTCCCCCATCAAGAGGTAGAGTCTATTTCTCTACCCCCTTGAATAGGGGTGCTTAATGTCCTGCTTTGAACAATAAATTGCAGTAGAAGTGATGGTGTTAGTTCCAAGTCTGGACCTCAAGTGGCCTGGCAGCTTCTGCTCTCGCTCTCTTGAGACCCTGAGAACACTGTGTGGAAAAGTCCAGTCCAGCTGGCTGGAGGATGAGAAAGCTTGTGGGGAGTAAGGTCCGGAGAAGAGCTGTCACCCATAGCCAGGCATGTAAGTGAGTCATGTTGGATCACTCAGCCCCAGTGGAACTGCCTGATGACAGCAGTCACGAGTGTCCTCAGGAAAACCAACAGAGGAACAGCCCAGCTGATCCCAGCCCAAACTGCTGACCCACAGAATTATGAGGAAAAACTTGTTGTATTAAACCATCAAATTGTGTAGGTGCTTTTAATGCATAAAAAGAGTTTCTGAACTCTTCATCGAGGGCTGTATGGATTTCCTGAGAACAAACAAGTCCATCTTGGTGAAAGAATCCACCTTCACTGATGTGAAACTAAAGGTTGAGCAAGTTTACTTCTGGAGAAGAACGCTGTTGACAGGCTTACACATGATGATGGAGCAATGGAAATATTAATGCTGGGTGATTAACACAGACTCTACAACCGGTGAGTTCTCTTCAGAACCTGAGGACGACTGTTGCAAAGAAATAAAAGCCGTGATCAAAATTTTCTGATATCTGGTGTCTAGATTTATGCAGGGACTTCTGGCCTGGCTCTGCCTACTCTCACCCCCATGCCTTGACCTAGACTCCTGATAGTTTCTGCTCAGATCCAACACCAACCGAAGCAGTGACCCAGGAGTCTTCAATGAGCAATGCAGAACTGGAAAGCGTCTAAGCTTTGGAGTCATCCTGAACCGAGTTTCAATCCTGGCCCCACCACTCATTAGCTAGGTGATTGGACAAATAGATTACTTAACTTCTCTGAGACTCAGGCTTCTGATTTGCTAATTGGGATTAAGAATCCTTATCTATCAAGATTGTTGAGATTATTTATCAGAAAAATGATAACATCTAATGACTGCCCTATAAGTGTATTCTGCATAAATGAGGCTGGGATGTGAAAGCTATAAAGTCCCTGACAGGTGTAATTTTTGAAAAGAGACAAACCCATCAGTTCCCCTCCACCAACTCCCTTCCACACTTCGAGAGTTCCTAACTTCTAAGTGTCAGGATGTTCTGACTACAGTCTGGCTGTGTTTTTCTGCTGCCTGATTGGCAGCTATTCTGCTTAGAGCCACTTGGAAGGAGGAGGGGGACAGGGTAATCAGCATTCATCTCTGGGCCACCAGGTCAAGTGGGTACTAATCAGGAAAAATGTTTGGCTATTAAATGCTCCATTGAGTCCTTTAAATATCACCTGATGTGTCATAAATTTGGATTAGCCGTAGAAAATCAATCTTCACCATATGCAAATTAACGATGAAATGAGATTCTCCTTGTGAGCCATTGCTGTCCCTCAGCAAACCAGTCACTTCAACTTTATTTAACTGGCCTGAATTTTTCTTCCATTTTGCTTCACTTTGTGACTTGAAGCTCATTATCCCTTTGACAGTTTATGGTCAGAGAGCTCTGGGCCTTCAGAGGGACTCAGCTAGTGCTTTCTTGGGTTCGTTTACTCATCTCCCTAGTGCAGACTCAGGCTGCCGCCTGGAATGAACCTGGATGTGCTGGCCTTGTCCCTGATGATTTCCCTAAAATTGGATGTTGAACCTGGTAATGATGCATATAATGCGTGTGTGTGGAGTGTGTGTGTGTGTGTGTTTGTATCTATGACTATAAATATGAATTCTAGGAACACATTCAGGAAGTTACTTTTTTCCATTAAAAAATAAAACACTGTATTTATTAGTTGCTCTTCATGATTCCACAAAACAGTGAAGCTTTGGGATCAAACTTCTTGGAGCTAGGCTGAACCTTTAGGTATAGAATGGCAAAAAATGGGCAAGTTTTTTACCACTCCTCATATTGCTCTGTTTTAGCCCATGCATATCCCATGTAGTTATATGTTACATACAAAGCATATAACTACAGGTAGGGAAATGGAACAAAAAGCACTGGTGAGTTTGCAATGGAATAAAATGCTAGTATCAGGTCCCAGCAGCCACTGGCTACCCAGGAATTTATTAATAGTCTGCCTTTGCGTTCAGCAAGCTTGCAATAGGATGCAGCTAATTAGCCTGCCTGGGAACCAACTGGCATGGATTAGAATGGGATGGAATGGAATGACTAATGATAATAAACTGTATACTACCTTATAATTTGCTAAAAACTGACAATAAATTATCTCACTAGATCCTCTCAACAGTCATGTAAGGTTTGCATTAATATTATCCCATTTTACAATATGGAAACTGAGATACAGAGAGGCTAAATTAACATGTGAAAAATCTTTAAAATGTTCATGCCATATGACTAGTAATTACATTTCTGGAAATTTAGCTTGACAAAATAAAAAAATCCAAAAATAGATTTATTGACAGATATATACAAAGAAGTTACATATAATAGCGAACATTGAAAATAACCTGTATGTCCAAAAAGAAGAAATCACTTAGGTAAATTATAGTGATTCAACATAAACATACACTTGATAATCTCTAAAAATAAGGTTTCTGAATATCATTTAAAGATGTGAAAATAAATTTACTACATAATCTTTAATTTTTAAAAGGAGATAAAACTTCTTATGCTGTATAATCCCAATTTTGCTATATCTCTGTATATACCTGAAAAATAACATGAAAGAAATATCTTAAAATGTTAGTTATGGTTATATCTGTTTCATGAGATTAATAGTGACTTTCCATCGCTTTTTACTTTTCTCTATTTTCCTAATTCTCTATAATATACAAGTATCATAATTTAAAAGTGATGAACAATCAATAAATAAAATAATAGTAACATACAAAATTATTTTTAATGTTACTTGTGCATGAAGAGCTAGTGAAAAAGCAGAATATTAAAATGTGAAACACTTGGAGTGGTTTTGAAGGTCAGAGTAAACATATGCCAAATACAGTTATTTTGTCAAAACCATTTTGTTCATTTCTAACTAATTTATCTTTAATAAGATAAACAAGTTCGAGGCTCTGGCAATGATCCATCTACAAAATCACTGGATGTTTGGTTCATCCTCGCAATTTTCTATACTTATTTATCCTTCACAAAGCACTGTCAGTGTTTGGGAAAATGATTTTGTGAAACTTGGTAAATGGCTAGGTAAAATATTTCCTTGGATAATGGTGTGCCTGACACTTTAAACATCTGAAAACTCTCAGAGTTATTAGATCTCAGGTAGAGGAGGTCAGATAATGTCTCTGGAGATGGCTCCTATTAGTAGAGCTTTGGATGATGTAAAATACAAGGCAGAGAGTGGAGAGAAAATGGTGGGCTGCAACAGCAGAATTCTAAATAGATACTTAGAAGGAATTTCCAAACAAGAAGCATAGTTCCTACTTCTATCAGAGTGGAGGGAAGCAAATTGATTCTGCAAGGGAAAAGTCCAGCCATCGTGAGGAGACTTCTAATAACGCCCAAATTCCATTTCTCAAAAAAAATTTTTTTTGCTTGAATTGCATTTAAAGCTACAATTTTAAGACTTTTGATTTGGGTACATTTAAATGTTAATGCACGGGTTTTAAAAAATTATTAAACTCATTTGGAATGTAGTGATAGTTTTTTACATTTAATTATTTAATTCTCCTGGAATGTACTTCCTCTTTTTTTACGTAAAATTTTTAACATATCTAGAGTGAATATTAATGATTTTATTAATAATCATCTCCACTACCACTTATCAGTACTTGCTACATGCCTGGAATTGTGCTAAATCTTTTTACACACATTAGCATACATCATTTGCTTTAAACCTCACAACACTGTGCAGATCTGGGGACTGAGCCTCAGAAAGGTTGAGCAAGGACACAGCCAGTAACACACACTCTGATTCCCAACAGTCCATTCCCTTAAACACCTTACTATGATGCCACTTGGATCACAGACCAAATTGTTATGTCAAGCATGGTTCCTTTCTCAAATTTTTGTTTGGTTCCATTGATCTGTTCGTACAGACTTACATCTTATTATTTAAACAGCTGATAGGACAAATGCCTCTGATGAGTCTATATAATCAAAATTAATCTTGGCTATTGTTACCCATACATTCTTCTAGAAGATTTTTTTTTTTTTGATGGAGTTTCGCTCTTGTTGCCCAGGCTGGAGTGCAAATGGCTCGATCTCGGCTCACTGCAACCTCCGCCTCCCTGGTTCAAGTGATTCTCCTGCCTCAGCCTTCTGAGTAGCTGGGATTACAGGCATGAGCCACCATGCCTGGTTAATATTGTATTTTTAGTAGAGATGGGGTTTCTCCATGTTGGTCAGGCTGGTCTCAAACTCCCAACCTCAGGTGATCCGCCCACCTTGGCCTCCCAAAGTGCTGGGATTACAGGTGTAAGCCACTGCGCCTGGCCCATCTTCTAGAAGATTTTTAAAATAATGTTTATGTTTTAATTATCCAAGTAATACATACTTCTTATTGGCTACTTAGGAAATGCACACAAGTAAGAATAGGAAAAATTAAAATCCCCTGTGAACTTACCCAACCAGAAACGATCACTGTGATAGCATTTTCGTGAGAATCTCATTTATTTATTATCTGTCTCCATTAGAATGTAATCTCCATAAAGCAAGAGTTTATCTCTTTTTATCACTGTTGCATCCTAGTATCACTAATGGATGGCATGGTTCACTCTCCAGATCACATGCTCAGGACCAAGGTACTTATTACCCAACCTGCTCCGAGTGCTGGCTCACATATGAATCCTTCTCTCAGAAGAGCCTTCAACCAAGGGAGCTACTCTGCCAAAGTTACATCTTCTCCAGAGGTAGCCCACATCCAATGATCTGTAGGTTTGGGGGTATCTAAAGGCCCAGCCCCCTCACCATAACTTGGAACAACTCCAAAGGGTCATTCCAAATCCAGAGCTTTCTGTGGAATTGGCTGGGGCCTATAATATCCTCCTTCCCTAACTCCCCTACTGATGTTATTCTGAAATTACTCCCCAGTAAACCTCCTGCAGGCTAACTTCTGCCACACAGCTTGTTTCCAGCGAGCATAATCTAAGATAATGTAGAACAGTGCTTGACAAGTGGTTAGCTCAATAGTATTTGTTGAATGAATAATGCAAAACTTCCTAGGGGCTCTTTCTTCATTCTTGCTGCCTTTAACTCTTCAGCAATGAAACAGAAACTCCACTGGGTCCCCAGGAAGTCAGAAGTCAGCCATTCATGTGCAACCATAAATACTATTGCAACGTCTTCCCATCATTGTCTCTTCTATTCTTGATGAAGCCAGGAGCCTCATCCACTTCTTGTTAACAGCCTAACATAACAGTGGCCAGAGACAAGATCCCAACTTGGCCGCCATTTTGAGTGTCTCTGGATCCTGTCTCCTCTAGTCTTTACAAATCTTGAGGCTTATAATCACTGCTTACTGGACCCAGGGAATCTACGGAGATAGCAATCCTGCTGATCCTGCATTTCCTAGTCTCTGCCCAAGTTGCATGGGTCCTAGAGTGGTGGTGAGGATGCTCCCACCTCAGTGTGTTGTATAGATAAGGGCATTTCATGATTGAAAGTGCCTGATCTTAGTTTCATCCACATGTCCACTTTTTGAGAGCATCACTTGTGAACAGAATGACTGTTGGGACAGGACTAGGACAGGCCTGGAAGCCAACACATGCCTCTGTTCTTGGTCAAGTCTTCACATACTCTCCTATTGAAATCATTCTTTGTTCTATCTGAGGCCAGGATACATACAAACAGAGCTTGAAATTGGGGATTTATGATAAATTAATTTATTAAAGATGATTCTCAGGAGAAGGGAATAAGGGAAGCAGGGCAGGGGAGGAGAAGGAGCTAAGCAAGGATGTGGTCTCAGCATGAGTCAATTGCACCACAGAGTTGTCCCCCTAGAGGTTCAAGGATCCAGCCTTTTATACCTCACGCAAGCTAGTCATTGGCTATGGACTGTCCCCAGAGGAGGAGTAGGAAGCATAACCTTCCAGGCAAGGCAGCTTCTGGTCAGTCAAGGGCAATTCTCTGAAGAAGGGGGTAACTGTGAGCCATTAGCAGCCCAATACTCTCAGCAGCTGGATATGGGTGTTCCAACAATATTCACTACAGGGGTCTTGCTCCCTCTCCTAACAGGTAGCTTCCATCACAATGATCCCTGTGTTTCAGACATAGTTTAATAACTTTGCCTAAAAATGGAAAATGTTATACCTCCTTCACATTTCTGCAGAGAGTTCCTCTATTCTTGTATACATTTAGGATCCCAGAAAAATAAGCAGATGGAGGCTCTATGCCCACCCACCCTCTTATCTCCTCTCCAAGTTCCAAATGCTCATGGTACATTTGCTTACAAAGCCCGGCTCCATAAGAAGGGAGAGCTGATAAATATTTAACAACTGGCTCTCCAAAGAGAAAAGCCTTAAGTTGTTAGCATTTGTCACTTTCTGCAGTGTAAATACTCCCACGTGGTCAATTTTAAGTTACCATATGAAGTCAGTGAACAAAGTGTTGGAAATAAAAATGCCATAGCACACAATCATGCAGCATGTTTACCCTAAGTTCACATAAATCACCTCAAAAGCATAGAAATAGTAAAACATAATAAGTAATTAATTTTGAGTATATATTACATTTTTCCTTTTTTATTATTTTTTTAAAATTATATACCCTATAATCGACAGCTTAATAAACTTTAACACATGTATAAATATGTGTAACCATAACCACAATCAAGATTCAGGATACTTGGTAGAAGACAGCTCTAGTATGCCCCAGTTCATTGAAAATTTTCCAATAATATGTAAATATGTATGTGTATATTTTCTCAAAACATTCTAATTCATGTATTCAAGAATATACTGCATGCTAGGTTACAATAATAAGCAAAATGACTAACCTCTGCCTTTACAGAAACAGGCATTAATCATATGATCACACAAACAAATATACAATTAAAAACTTATTTTTAAAAATCTGAGGAAAATGCTATGAAGGAAAGTCACAAGAACAAATTTCTAGAAGTGAAATTACTGAGTCAAAGAGTAGTGTATTTGCAAGGCATTTGGCATATGTTGCCAAATTGCCCTCCAGGAAAATCATTCCAATTTACATTTCTACAAACATTGCATAAGCAATGTATATTTCCTCCTACCCTTGCCAACGCTACAGAGTATCTTTTTTTCAGCTATTTTTATTTTGATATGTTAAAATATTTTTTTTTTAATTTTGCATTTTTAATTACATTTTTGTCTTCCTTTTTGGTCCAGTCTTTTCATTTTTTAGAAATTTTCTATTGGAGTATTCACCTTTATTTTATAGAATTGGGAAAGCTTTGTATAATTTGAGGCGGAGACCTGTTTTCAATTATCAGAGTAATATGTTTTAGAGGAAGTTAGACATACTTCTTTTTTTTTTCAGATGTATTATAATGTATTTAAATATCCTTTGTTAGCAGACATGTGTTTCCTATTTTTTTATTACAATGCAACAACCAGCATTCATATATATACACACACATATGCATTTGTATTTGTTTTTGCATTTGTTTTGATCATTTCCTTAGATAAAATTCATAGAAATTGAATTGCTGATCCAAAAGTCATAAACAATTAAAAAATCGGCCAGCACAGTGGCTCACACCTGTAATCCCAGCACTCTGGGAGGCTGAGGCGGGCGGATCACCTGAGGTCGGGAGTTTGAGATCAGCCTGACAAACATGGAGAAACCCCATCTCTACTAAAAATACAATGGCGCCATCTCAGCTCCTTGCAACCTCCGCCTCCCGGGTTCAAGTGATTCTCCTGCCTCAGTCTCCCAAGTAGCTGGGATTACAGGCATGAGCCACCATGCCCGGCTAATTTTGTATTTTTAGTAGACATACTTCTTTCAAAGAGGAACAGGTTAGGAAAAAAAAAAAAAGTGCATGACCTGCAAGGTCTGTAGGACCTGGCCCAAGTACACGTGTGTAGCCTGTGCCTTCCCTACCATGTTTTCCATCTCACTTCACCCACACTGGGTGCCTTGTGGTTCCTCAAAGTTTCAGTTTTCTAATTTGTGTGCATCAATAATTTAGTTTTATCTCATTTCAAACTAGTTTCATACTTGAGCTCTTACTTTTTCATCTCCTCTTGTTTGGCTGAACTAACAGTTTCTACAAGAAGAATACATGGATTAGAGATATTTTGAAGAGTTTATCTGATAAAGTAATGTGCCTTTGCACATGGAAGACACTTTACTGGGTATGAAATTCATGATCTTTTTCCAAAGTCTCTAGATAAGATGATCCAGAAGTTTCTGACATTTAGCATTGAAGAGATGAGTCCTGTTAAGGTATTTTTGTTGTTATTGTTCTGCATGACCCCTTATGAATTTTTTCTCTTATAATTAAAAAATGACAATTTAGATGCTGTCTTTATCTAGCTGGTATAGTTCTGTTTTACTGGTTTTGCCTGACAGGGAAAGCTCACTTTCAAGCTCCATGCAGAGGTCTTCCCTCAACTCACTAATGTTTTATTCTGTTATGTTGTTAATTATTGTTCTGCATTCTTCTTTAATGCTTACCAAAATCTGCAAGTACATATTTATTTGTGTATTTGCTTCTGTACTATCTAATTAGATAGAAACTTAATTGAAGGAAGTAATCACATTTAATACGCTCATTGCAGCCTATGCAGCACATAGCACACTGCACAGCACATGGTAGATAGCTCAATAAATACATGTTGAATAAATGGGTGAACTAGTATTGTTTCTGTTTCATTGTGTCTTGTCTTCTTCAAGCAAACCAATTATCTTTGTATTCATTGTTCTATATTTATGATTTTTTGCCTTCAGTGTCACTTTTTAGTACATTTCTTTGCATTCTGGGAGAGTATCTTTAGTTTAACATGTTACTATTTATATTTCCCTTGACATAACTTCCCTATACCAACAATATAAAGAAGTATCGAACTTCTTTATGGAAGTATATAACAATATAAAACAATACGTAACATAACTTCCGATTTCAGTGGAGATATTGGTTTTGTTGCTGAGATTTTAGTTTCCATGCAATACTTCCTTCTCATTCATTTCTTTTATTTCACTTTCTTTTCTTCTCTTTTTGTTGCCTTATCACCTTAGCCTGCTCTCTATGACTTTATGCTATTGATTCCTAGAGACTCTGTATTAGTCCATTCTTACAGTGCTATAAAGAAATACCTTAGGCTGAGTAATTTATAAGGAAAAGAGGTTTAATGGGCTCACAGTTCTGCAAGCTGTACAAGCATGACGGCAATATTTGCTTGGCTTCTGATAAGAGCGTCAGGAAGCTTACAGTCATGGTGAAAGGTGAAGTGGGAGCAGGCACATCACATAGCAAGGCCAGAGCAAGTGAGAGAAGGGAGAGGTCCCAGACTCTTTTAAATAACCAGATCGCGCATGAACTAATGGAGCAAGAACACACTTCTCATGAAGGGGACGGTGCTAAAGCATTCAGGAGGGATCTACCCCCGTGACCCAGTCACCTCTCAGCAGGCCCCACTTCCAACATTGGTAATCACACTTAAACATGAGATTTGAAGGAGACAAATATCCAAATCATATCAGACTCCATACTTAGCACTCTATTCAGAATGCTAACTAATTTCTCAGATTTTTTCCCCTCTGGGTCCTATAACAGATCATTTTCAGAAGGGTGCTCGTCCCTTGAATCTTCTAGATGCAATTGCATTTCCTTTTCCTTCAGTAATTTTTTGAAAAACCCACATGTTGGTATTTTTCTCTCTATCCTCAAACAGGGTAGATCCATCAATATGAGGGTGAATAGATTTCCTTGGTTTCTCCCAAATGTTTTTTTTTCAAATCTCTGTCTGAAGGACATGTTAATGTCAGCAACAGCCAGTGCCAGTTTTAGGAAGCCTTTTGTGAAACACTCTACCTCCCTAGTTATCTGTGTTCTAAATCATGTATCATATGAAAACAATAATTCTATAGGTAGAATTTTATTAGGTTTATTTTCTGTTCTCTGTACAGCCAGTGGTGTTTCTCTGGTGGTTACACCTCTCGGAATTGGTTACCTCATTTCCATTATAAATTTCATCACCACCATCATCAGCAACCATCAATGTTTCATGTGTAGTTAGTGTCTGGGATTCACAGTCTCTGCCTAGAAGTGGAAAGACAAGGTAACAGAAGCAAGGTGGGGACAGAGGAGAGGGATGGAAATATAAAGTTACAAAAAGAAGATAATTGTTCTTTTTTCATGGAGAAGCGCTCAGGAAGGCCAGTGGGCAATGGCTCTGGAACTCTGGCATATTCATTAAGTGTACACTTACGCACTACTTCTCAGGTTATCTCTGTTTTATAAGAGACATGGAGAAGTTCTTTATGGCACTGGACTCAGACAGGATTTCTTGACCAAGACCTCCCACAAAGCACAAATTATGAAAAAGCGATGAATTTTATTATCACATAGAAAGTCAAACTTCTGTTTAATTATAATCTCCCTAATTAAAGTAAAAAGACAAACCAGATAGTGGGAAAAGATATTTGCAATATGCATGCCTGACATACATAAAGAACTTCTGCATGTCATTTAGAAATAGATCATCAGCCAGGTGTGGTGGCTCACACCTGTAATCCCAGCACTTTGGGAGGCCGAGGCAGGTGGATCACGAGGTCAGGAGATCGAGACCATCCTGGCTAACACGTTGAAACCCCATCTCTACTAAAAGATACAAACAATTAGCCAGGCATGGTGGTGGGTGCCTGTAGTCCCAGCTACTCGGGAGGCAGAGGCAGGAGAATGACGTGAACCCGGGAGGTGGAGCTTGCAGTGAGCCAAGATTGCGCCACTGCACTCCAGCCTGGGGAACAGAGTGAGACTCTGTCTCAAAAAAAAAAAAAAAAAAAAAAGAAAAAAAAAGAAAGAGATCATCAACCCAACAGAAAAATGGGCAAAAAATATGAGCAGGCAATGAACATAGGAGAAAACCAATGGATCAAAAAACCTAGGATAAGGTGTTTAACTTCACCAGTTATCGAAGAAATGCAAACAAAAACAATGAAGCACTAGTTTGCACCTATCACTTTGACATTTTAAGTCTTATAACACCAAGTGTTTGCAAGACTACAGCTTAACAAAAACCTTATTAACTGCTTATTAAAGTGTAAATTGGCATAGCATTTAGGAAGGTCATTGGCAATGTCCTGTAAAAACTGAGTTGCACTTAACCCTGCAATCAACAATTCTACTTCTAGATATACACTCTAGAGCTGTGCTTTGCAAACTAGAGCATGCATCAGAATCACCTGAAGGGCCTGTTAAAAGAGTCCTGGGACCTAACCCTAGAGTTTCTGATTCAGTATGTCTGGGGTGGGGCCTAAGAATTTGCATTGCTAACCAGTTCCCAGATGATGCTACTGGTCCAAGAACCACATTTTGAAAATCAATGCCCTTGCAGAACTCTTACACATATGCACAAGGTATATGTACAACCATGTCTATTGTAGTAGTATTTTTTGCAGCACCAGAAAACAATGTAAATATTCATTGACAGAGAAGATAAGTACACTGTGATATAGTCACATGCTGGAAAATAATTCTGCAATTGAAATGAACAAACTAGATTTCCATGCAGATTGAGAGTCACAGCCTTTCTAACAAGTTTTAGAATCAAATTGTTACAAGCTATTTTGGTTACATCACTTATTCATTCACAATTTCATTGATTTGTGTTTTCTATCTTTTGTTTTGTTAAACTGGTCAGAATATTTTCTATTTTATTGTTTTGCCTTTTTCAGAGAACCAGCTTTTAAAGGTATTTATCAGTTCTTCTGCTTTTCTGCTTTCTAATTAATTAATGTCTGCATTTTATCATCATTAATTTCTTTTCTTTATTTGATGTTCTTTTTAGAGCTTATTGAATGGAATCGGGAGCTCATTTATTTTCATTCTGTCTGTTTATTAATGGCAGCATTTAGGGCTACTGATTTCCCATTTGGTAATGCTTTGGGGCCCATTCCACAAATGCTGCTATGTTATTAATTATTCCTATTATTCTAATTATAGTTTGAATTTTCTCTTTGACCCAAGAGTTTTTAAGCATAGCATTTTTTAAATTCCCATGTATTTAGAGGTTTTTGTTATTACTTTAAAGCTTGTGGCATTATGAAGAGTGTGGAATAGTGTGTGTGTGTGTGTGTGTGTGTGTGTGTATTCTATATGCAATAAAAAAGAACATATATTCTCTATTTAGAGAACACAAAGATCCTTGGATACTTATTAATAATTTTTATTGATTTATTATTCAAATCCTCTCTATCATAATTAATGGTTTGCATAATCTTTCAAAGACTCAGATAGAGTCTGTACAATTAAACAGGAGAGTGTAACCACTGATATTTCTTCAGTTGATGCCCGTGCTTCTTTGATCTCATTTCTATTTTCTGCTCTATGGGCTCTGCCTGCCTATGGGTGCCAATGAGGGCCATTGTTACGGACTGAATTGCGTTACCCCGAATTTATATATTGAAGCCTTAAAACTCAGTGTGACTATAATTTGGAGATAAGGCCTGTAAGGAGGTAATTAAGGTAAATGAAGTCATAAGGATAGGCTTCTAATCCAGTAGGACTGTGGCTTTATAAGAAGAAGAAGAGACACCAGTGCTCTCTCTTCACATGTGTACAGAGGAAAAACCATGTGAGGACACAGTGAGGAGGTGGCCATTTGCAAGCCAAGGAGAGAAGCCTCAGGAGAAGCCAACCCTTCTGGCACCTTAATCCTGAACTTCCAGCTTCCAGAATTGTGAGAAAATGAATTTCTGTCATTTAAGCCTTCTGGCCTACAATATTTTGTTATTGCAGCCCAAGCTAACTAATACAGTTACATTAACATTAATAACTCCCCTTTATCAGCACTTGACCATACATATTCGTAGAAGACCTTAGGTTCCTCTCCAAAGTCCTCCTAGCCACCCAATATTTCTGAGTCACAGGGAGTATCACGTGGGCTTGTTTCCTGTAGGCACTGTACAGCCCTGAAATCTCTTTCTGGGCACGAGAGTTTTCCACCAACTTCTGCTGCTGTCCCAGCCTCTAGATGGACACTCCAGGCTCTTGGAACAGATTGGCGGGGTTCCTGTCTCTGTTTCACTAACAACCCCGGGGCACCCAAGCCCCTAAAATGACCAGGATTTGGTGTAGTTTGTAGATAGTATCCACTTCATAGAGAACCAACTCAGAACACAGTCATGTGAAATAAAATAATAACAATAATGTATGTAATAATCATACACGTTTTACTATTTTAATATAAAATATGAACAATAAATATTTATGTGAAACTAGATATTATTTTGTATTATTTACTTTTCTACAACAAAAGGCTATTATTTAAACAAAACAACAATAGGACTAGCTAACAGTGGCACTGAGCAAAAATCATAGGACCAATAAAATAAATATGTAATAAAATATAACATTTCTATATTTTTTTCTGTCTTCTGATAGAGCAACTTATTTAAACTCTTTTTTAAGAAAACCTTTTAAATCAATATTCAAATTTTATAGGCTATATTGTGTATTCTTAACATACATAAATGTAGGACTTCTGAAAAGAAACAGATAATACAATTGGAGTTATTAAAGAGACATTACCTATATTTAATAAAAAATAACAATGAAATTTTTCTTTTTGTTCCATGATACAATAGGGTATTTTTACCCTTGATTTTTCATTGCCAGTAATGCTTTTTTGAACTCCCTGGAACCTTTAGGATATTTTTTCTTTTCTTTTATGTAGGGGTAAAACTGAATATAGTCAAACATAAGAGTTACTTTGACTTGTAGTTCTGTTCTTATCAAATGCACACTATATGGATTCTGATATCGGTTCAGTGTGATGACATCAAGCTAAATATACCCTCAAGTCTCAGTGAAAGTGTTTGGCATGGGTTACTTAATATAATAAAAATATTTTACTTACTAGCAGCAGCAGGTTTTTAGATTGATAGGAATTAGTTTCCAGCTCTCCAAAACAAGCCTGTATTTACCAAATGGATGGACATTTGTGGAGATCTGGAAACTAATTCCTACAAGCTGTTGCTGGTTTTCAGGATAAGATGCATTATTTGATACATGGTAGAAAGTATGACCATTGGTAAGAGCTGAAAAAAATCTGTGCTACACTGTAAGGGGTCAACACCAACATCTGTTAACAAAATTTTCCCTTTGGTTCACTCACAGGACATTATAATTGTGTTTAATTGCTATTTTAATCAAGAAAGGAAATTTCACTCAATTTCAGGTAACAAGGGAATTACATGATAATACATGTTTGTTGGTTATCTTGAGTTAATTCAGCAGGTACTATTTTCAGCTAAGCTTTATTGTATTGTTTGGAGATGAAAAATTATTTGATTGATTTAGAAGTACGTATCTGTCTCTTTCTGGATTTGGGAGATGCAGTGTCCATCTGTTTTCATGTCTCCTTCATCATCAGGCACAATTCAACATTTTTTTCACATATCACATAATATGCTATGTTTTGATTCTTTATCTCCTTAGTCCAGTTACATGTGTCCTTACACCCTTCATTAAAATTACACAGTCAATGAGCCTTTTGTTTTCCCAGTGATGTCTAGGTTATGCTGGCATTTGTACTGTAGCTGTTCTCATTTTTATTATATGAACTCTTAGAAAATGTAATCACACTACTCACAATATTAAAAAATTAAACAAGATTGGACATGCAAATTGCTAAAAGAAAGGCCTCCATAAGTCTGCTCTTCCGAAAAGGAATAAAACAGTCACAAAAATGTTTAAATCAAAGTTTTCAGAACTCTAAGATTAACCAAAGCCCTGCAACAACGTGAAGACCATTCATTTGACGAAAACTGCTTACCTCAGTAAGAACAGCAGGGTTCATGGCACTTTAACTTGACCTACTCTCATTCCTGTCTTTCCATCTCTGCAGTAGCCTTGAAAATCAGCAGCCATTCAGTCAACATGTACCGCGTTTGGAGCGTCTCAAAAAGCCCCACCCTAGAGCGTTGTCACTATGTGGTCTACCTCATAGTTCCCTGGAGAAACCCCATTTGCAACATGCTGTCATTACTTAACTCAGATCTCACCCTATAGGAAAAGTCCTGTCTTCAGAAGGTTTGTCAAAATAATCAGTGGCCATAGTAACAATGATATATTATATAGTTTCAAATAGCTAGAAGGATAATATTGAATGATCCCAAAGAAATGATAAATGAGATGAATATGTTAATTATCCTGATTTGAATATTCTTCATTATACGTATGAAAGCATTGCTACGTACCTTATGAATATGTACAATTATTATTTGTCAGTTAAAAAGTTTTTAATGAAAAAGCTTTAAAAAAAATCAGTGTCAATTATTTAACAGCACAGTTTTCCAAAGCTGTAATAATACCAGTTGAGGTAAGCAAGAACCTGCCCAATAGTTAAAAGGGAGATCTAGGGACCAATATGCCAGAAAGGACCTTGAAAATCTCTAACATATTTCTGGGGACCTAGAAGGATGCATGCCATGCAATGCTATATGCATTGAAGAAAAGACCTGAGAATACCCCAATCCCTCCTCACTGGCTGATCTTGAGGCCCTGAGCTAGTAGAAAGTAAAGTCGAAGGTAAAGGTGTAAACTGTCTGAGTGTTGAAAGACATGATTTTACAAACACAGAGTCCCTCAGCAAAAATTGGAAGATGTATCGGCTCAAGGCATTAAAAAAAAACTCTGACTGGCCAGGCGCAGTGGCTCATGCCTGTAATCCCAGCACTTTGGGAGGCTGAGGTGGGCAGATCACAAGGTCAGGAGTTTGAGACCAGCCTGGCCAACATGGTGAAATCCTGTCTCTACTAAAAATACAAAAATTAGCCCGGTGTGGTGGCGGGCACCTGTAATCCCAGCTACTCAGGAGGCTGAGGCAGGAGAACCACTTGAACCCAGGAGGTAGAGGTTGTAGTGAGCCGAGATCATGCCATTGCACTCCAGCCTGGGTGACAAGAGCAAGAGTCCATCACAAATAACAACAAAAAAAAAAAAACAAAAAAATCTCTGGCCAAACATCATCTAATCACTAAACTAATTGAGCAGAAGCTTCACAAACCACAAAGAATACAGACAATAGCAACAAAAGCATGAACAACAACAAACCCTAAATGATTCCCAAAATTACCACATAATATTATCTAAGGTACCCAATTTTCAATGAAAATTGTGAAACACATAGAGAAATAAGAAGGTGTGACCTATACAAAGAAAAGAAAGCAGTTAATGAAAATTATCCCTGAAGGGGGACTAGATGTTGGACTTACCAGACAAAGATGTTCAATTTTATAAATATGTTCAAAGAACTAAAGGAACTATAGCCAAACAATTAAATAAAGTGTGACAGCAGTGACTCATTAAGTAGAAAATATCACCAAATGAATAAAAATTATTTTTTAAAAAGAGCAAAAATACAATTATTTGAGTGAAAAAATACTATCAGGTTTCAACAGCAGACTTGAGTGGGCAGAAGAATCAACAAACTTGAAAATCATTCAACAAAGATTATCTAGCCTGAAGAATAGTAAGAAAAAGATGGAAGAAAATGAACACAGCCTTAGAGACTTGCGAGACACCATCAAACACATTAAAATACGTATAATGGGAATTTCAGAAGGAGAGGAGAAACAGAAATCTTTAATCAACCCATTGAAGAAGCTGAACAAACACTAAGTAACATACTATCAAGGAGATACTATAATCAAACTGTTGGAAGCCAAAGTCAAATACAGAATCTTGAAAATAGCAAGAGAAAAACAATTCATTACATAAAGGAAATCCTTAATAAGATTAGTAGCTGACTTCTCAACAGAAACCATGGAAGCCAGAAGACAGTGAAATGACATATTTAAAGTACTAGAGGGTGAGGGGAAGAGAATGTCGTTAACCAAGAGTTCTGCATACAGCAAAATTACCCTTGGAAAGTGAAAAAGAATTTAAAACATTCTCAGACAACCTAAAATAGAGAAAATTTATCAATAGTAAATCTGCTTTACAAGAAATAACAAAGACAGTTCCTCAGGCTGAAATGAAAGGACATTAGATGGTAACTCTAATTCACACAAAGAAATAAAGAGCACCAGTAAAGGTAATTACATAGACAAATGTAAACCACAGTATAAATATACATTTTGTAATCTTTTCTTCTGCTATGTGATTTAAAAGACAGTTTCACAAAGCAATTATAACATTGTATGGGTGGGCTTATATCAAGATTTAATTTGTGATAAAAACACAAAAGAGTACAGATGAAATCAAGCAATATTGACACCAAGTTTCTAGATATTAATAAAATTAAGTTAATATTAATCCAAAGTAGGATGTTTTAAGTTAAGATGTTAATTATAATTCTCAGTGCAACCACTAAGAAAAGAACTCAAAAAATATGGTTAAAAATGGAATTATAATTATATACTAGAAAATATCCTTTTAAAACAAAAGAAGGCAATAATGGAAGAACAGGAATGAAAAGTCATAAGGCATATAGAAAACAAATAGCAAAATGACAGCCATAAATCCTATTTTAACAATTATATTAAATGTAAATGGATTAAACCCTCTAATTAAAAGTCAGAGGTTGGGAAAATGGATTTTAAACAAATATGATTCATCAGTCTGTTGGCTATAAGGTTCCACTGTAGATTCAAAACACAAACAGGTTAGAAGTAAAAAGACAGAAAAAGATACATCATGCAAATAATGGCCAAAAGAAAGCAGAAATGTTTGTATTAATATCAGACAAAATCCACCTTAAAACAAAAATTTTTACTAGAAACAAAGCAGGAAATTTTATAATGATAAATTTTCAATATATCTGGTAAGCATAACAATTATAAACATATGTGCACATAACAACAGAGCCCAAAAATATATGAAAGAAAAACTGACAGAATAAAAAGGAGAAATAGACAATTCAACAATAACAGAGACTTCAGTACCCCAACTTCAATAATGGATGCAACAATAGACAGAAGCTCAATAAGAAAATTGAAGACTTGAACAAACTATAAACCAACTAGATCTAAGAGATGTATATAGAAAGTAATCCACCTGACAACAGCAGAATACACATTCTTGTCAAGCACACATGGAACATTTTCCAGAATAAACAATAAACATAAAGCAAACCTCAATAAATTTTCAAGGAATCATACAAGGTATGTTATCTAACCATAATAAAATAAAATTGGAAATCAGTAACAGAAGGAAACTTGAAAATGTACTAATATGTGAAAATTAAACATGCTTCAAAATAACCAATGGATCAAAAAGTAAATAACAGGAAAATTAGAAAACACTTTGACATACATGTAACTAAACACAACAAATGAAAACTTTTGTAATGCAGCAAAAGCAGTGCTCACAGGGAAATGTATAGCTATAAATATCTACATTAAAAAAGAAGAAGAATCTCAAATCAATAACCTTACCTTCCACCTTAAGAAATGAAAAAAGAAAGAGCAAACTTAACTGAAAGCAAGCAGAGGGAAGGAAATATTGAAGCAGAAATAAATGAAATAGATAACAGAAAAACAACAGAGAGAATCAATGAAACAAAAAGTTGGCTCTTTGAAAAGATCAATAAAATTGACAAACCTTTAACTAGCTTGACCAAGGAAAAAGAGAGGAAACTCAAATTACCAAAATCTGGAATAAGAAAGGCTGAAGTGGGAGGACAGCTTGAGCCCAGGAGTTTGAGGCTGCAGTAAGCTAAAGTTGTGCCATTACACTCCAGCCTGGACAACAGAGTGAAGCTCTGTCTCTAAAAAAATGAAAGAGAGGATATTACTACCGATCTTAGAGTAATATAAAGAATTATAAGGAAATATTATGTACAATTGTACACCAACAGATTAGATAGCCTAGATAAAAGGAACAAATTTCTAGAAAGACACAAAACACCAAAACTGACTCAAGAAGAAACAGAAAATCTGAATTGCCCTATAACAAATAACGGGATTGATTTACTAGCTTAAAAGTTATCCCCAAAGGGAAGCCAAGACCCAAATGGCTTCATTAGTGAATTCTAACACACATTTGAAGAACAAATAATGCTAATTTTTTTTTTAAAACTCTACCAAAAAGAGGAGGGAACACTTCCCAAATCATTCTATGGGGCAGTATTTCACTGATACCAAAACAAAATTGATATCACAAGAAACTAACACTACAGACGAATATTCTTCATAAATATAGATGCAAAATTTCTTAATAAAATATTAGCAGGCAGAATCCTGCAACATGTAAAAGTTGGAATTTATCTCAGGAATATAAATTCCCTAGTGGAATTTATCTCAGGAATATAAATTCCCTAGTGGAATTTATCTCAGGAATATAAATTCCCTAGTGGAATTTATCTCAGGAATATAAATTCCCTAGTGGAATTTATCTCAGGAATATAAAGTTGTTTTAACATCCAAAACTCTATCAGTGTAATCAATTAATGTGCACATTATAGAATGAAGGACCAAACCCTCTTACATGGTCATTTTAATAAATGCAGAGAAAATATCTGACAAAAACTAATCCCATTTGATGATTAAATAGATAGCAACAACATTTATGAATAAAAGAGAACTTCCTCAACCTGATAAAGATTACCTATGAAAAAACCACAGTTAACATCATTCTTAATGGTAAAAAACTAAATTATTTCCACCTAAGATCAGGAACAAGATAATGATATCCACTGTCACCACTTTTCAATCAATCTTGTACTGAAAGTTCCAGCCAGGGCAATTAGGCAAAAAAATGAAATGAAAAGTATCCAGACTGGAAAGGAAGAACCTAAATTATTTCTATCTGTAGATGACATTATCTTGTATATAGAAAATCCCAAGGAATCCACAAAACACTACTACAACTAATAAATAAGTTCAGCAAGAGAGGAGGATACAAGGACAACATACAAAAGTTAATTTTATAAACAATCTGAAAATGAAATTAAGAAAACAATTCTATTTGCAGTAGCATCAAAAAGAATTAAAAACTTAGAATTAGATGTAAAAAGTGCAAGACTTGTCCAGTGAAAACTGTGAAATACTGTTGAAATAAATGTATAAAGGACTAAGTAAACGGAAATGCACTCATGTTATGTGGCAGAAGACTCAACACTGTTAGTCAGGCAATACTTGCCAAATTGATCTATAGATTTAGTGTAAACCCTATTAAAATCCCAGATGACTTTTTTGCAGAAATTTGCAAGCTGATTCAAAAGTTCACAGGAAAATATGATGCATCCATAATAGCCAAAACAATCTTGAAAAGGAAAAATAAAGTTGAAGACTTCACATTTTTATTTCAAAACTTACTGTAAAGCTACAGTAATTAAGACAGATTGGTAGTGGTATAAGAATAGATATACAGATCAATGGAATACAATTGAGAGTCTATAAAGAAATTCTGACATTTGCGATCAATTTTAAACAAGGATGCCAAGACATTCAATAAGGAAAGAAAATCTTTTCAACAAATGATACTGGAACAATTGGTTATTCACATTTGAAAAATGATATTGAGTTTCTACCTCATACCATACACAAAAGTTAACTCAAAATGGATCATAAACATAAATGTAAGAGTTAAAACTATAAAATTCTTACCAGAAAAATAGAAGTAAATCTTTGTGTCCTGAGTTAAACAAAGGTTTCTTAGATATGACACCAAAAGCACAAGCAACAAAAAAAGATAAATTGGACTTCATCAAAATTAAATACTTTTTACAAAGAATATCATTAAGAAAGTAAAAAAGGCAATCTATAAATTAAGACAAAATATTTTCAACTCACACATCTAAGTTTCTTGCATCCAAAACATATAAAGTACCTTCATAATTCAATAATAAAAAGACAAATAACCCAATTTAAAAAGGGACAAAGGATCTGGATAAACATCTATCTAACAAAAATATACCAAAAATAGCCAATAAGCATATGAAAAGATGCTCAGCACCATTAGCCATCAAGGAAATGTGAATCAAACCATAATGAGATACTACTTTACACTTACTGGGACAGCTATAATTTAAAAAATCAGAAAATAGCAAATGTTGGCAAAAATATAGAAGAATCAGGATACTCATACAATGCTGGTGGGAATATTAAATATTGCATCTGCTTTGAAAAATGGTCTGGCATTCCCTTAAAAGTTTAAATACAATGTTGCCATATGACCAAGCAGTTTCACTCATAGGTATATACCCAAGAGAATTAAAGCATATTTCTACACACAGATTTGTACACAAATAGCAATATTCATAGCAGCCTTGGTCATAATAGGCAAAAAGTAGAAACAACCCAAAAGTCCATCAACTGATAAATGGATAAATAAAATGTGGTATAGTCATACAATGGAATATCATTCAACACTAAAAGAAATAACGTATTGATAGGGGCTACAGTATGGCCGAACCTTGAAAACATGATGCTAAATGAAAGAAGCCAGTCACAAGTCATATATTGTATTATTCTGTTTCCATGAAATGTCCAGAATTGGTAAATCTACAGAGATAGAAAGTACATTAGTGATTGCCTAGGGTATGTGGGAATGGGATGGAGAAAATGACTTCTAATGAGTATAGGTTTTCTTTTGGGGTGATGAAAGTGTTCCAAAATTAGATACTTATTCTACTAATATATAGTTGACTCTTGAACAATGCAGTGGGTAGGGGAACTGATCTTCCATGCAGTTGAAAATCATATAACTCTTTACTCCCCCAAAACTTAACTACTAATAGCCTTCTATTGATCAGAAGCCTTACTGATTATGTAACAGTTGATTAATATATATTTTGTATGTTACACATATTATATATGGTATTCCCACAATAAAGCTAGAGAAAAGAAAATGTTAAGAAAATAGTAAGAGAAAATATATTAACTATTCATTAAGTGGAAGTGGATCATGGTAAGGGTCTCTATCCTTGATGTCTTCAGGTTAAATAGACTAAGGAGGAGAAAGAGGAGAGATTGGTTTTGCTGTCTCAGGTGTGGCAGAGGCAGACAAAATGAAGGAGGTGGAAGGGGAAGCAGGAGAGGCAAGCACACTTAGTGTAACCATGGAAATACATGACAATTTCTGTCTGACATTTTGCTTTTTCATTTCTCCAAAAATGTTTCTGTATGGTACCAATTATTCTTCCACCATTTGCTTTAGCTTCAGTGCCTGTATCATTCTTGTCACAAAAGAAGTCGTAACTACTCTTGAATAATTAAAACTTTTTTTGTCGGATTGTCTAAAGTTTTTGGCACTGGTGCTTCTACATCTTCTTCCTCATGATCTGGCACTGGTTCAGAAGCACTCATCCTTATCAAGTCATCATCTGTTAATTCCTATGCTGTGGTGTCTACTAGTTCTCAAATTTCTCCAAAATCCATATCTTGAAACCCTTCACCCACCACTTTATTTTTTTTTTTTTGCCATATCCACAATCTCTTTCATGAATTCCTTGACTGACTCTGTTGTAAATCCTGTGAAGTCATGCACAACATCCGAACACAGTTTTCTCCAGCAGAAAGTTATTATTTTATGTTTGATGGCTTTCATCGATTTTTCCTGTGACAACGATGGCATTTTCAGTGGTGTAATCCTCCCACACTTTTATGATGTTCTCTCTAACGGGGTTCTCTTCCATAGCATTGACAATCCTTTCCATAAGGTACCATATGTAATGATTTTTTAAAGGTCCTTATGATCCCCTGATCTGCAGGCTGAATTAGAGACATTGTGTCTGGGGACAAATAGTCCACTTTAATGCCCTTGGTATTGAACTTGTGGAATTCTGGGTGGCCAGAGGCATTGTCGAATATCAAAAGAACTTTAAAAGGCAGTCTCTTACTGGCAAGGTACTGCCTTACTTCAGGGACAAAACATCAATGGATGTAATCCAGAAAAAGGGTTCTCATTGTTTATGCATTTTTGTTGTATAACCAAAAGACAAGCAGCTCATATTTGTCTTTTCAATTCAAGGCCCAGAGGTTAGCAGCTTTGTAGATAAAGGCAGTCCTGATTATAAACCCGAATGCATTTGTACAACATACAGTTAGCTTATCTCTTTCTGCCTTAAATCCTGGTGCTTACTTCTCTTCCTTACTCATAAATCTCTTTTGTTGCATTTTCCCCCAGAATAAGGCACTTTCATCTGCATTAAAAATCTGTTCAGGCAAATGTCCTTTCTCCTTGGTGACTTTCTTGAAGGTGTCTGGGAACTTGTCTGCTGCCTCTTAGTTGGCAGAAGATGTTTCTCCTGTTATCTTGACATTTTAAAGTCAAGCCTTTTTCTTTTTTTTTTTTTTTGGTGTTAAGAAGCACTTTTATTAATACCTTATATATGTCATAATTTTTCACTTGTTCTTTATTTTATATATATATATTTTTTTCATTATACTTTAAGTTCTAGAGTACATGTGCACAATGTCCAGGTTTGTTACATATGTATACATGTGCCATGTTGGTGTGCTGCACCCATTAACTCGTCATTTACATTAGGTATATCTCCTAATGCTATCCCTCCCCCCTCCCCCCACCCCATGACAGGCCCCAGTGTGTGATGTTCCCCTTCCTGTGTCCAAGTGTTCTTATTGTTCAATTCCCACCTATGAGTGAGAACATGCGGTGTTTGGTTTTTTGTCCTTGCCATAGTTTGCTGAGAATGATGGTTTCCAGCTTCATCCATGTCCCTACAAAGGACATGAACTCATCATTTTTTATGGCTGCATAGTATTCCATGGTGTATATGTGCCACATTTTCTTAATCCAGTCTATCATTGATGGACATTTGGGTTGGTTCCAAGTCTTTGCTATTGTGAGTAGTGCCACAGTAAACATACGTGTGCATGTGTCTTTATAGCAGCATGATTTATATTCCTTTGGGTATATACCCAGTAGTGGGATGGCTGAGTCAAATGGTATTTCTAGTTCTAGATCCCTGAGGAATCGCCACACTGTCTTCCACAATGGTTGAACTAGTTTACAGTCCCACTATCAGTGTAAAAGTGTTCCTATTTCTCCACATCCTCTCCACCACCTGTTGTCTCCTGACCTTTTAATGATTGCCATTCTAACTGCTGTGAGATGGTATCTCATTGTGGTTTTGATTTGAATTTCTCTGATGGCCAGTGATGATGAGCATTTTTTCACGTATCTGTTGGCTGCATAAATGTCTTCTTTTGAGAAGTGTCTGTTCATATCCTTCGCCCACTTTGTGATGGGTTGTTTTTTTCTTGTAAATTTGTTTGAGTTCTTTGTAGATTCTGGATATTAGCCCTTTGTCAGATGAGTAGATTGCAAAAATTTTCTCCCATTCTGTAGGTTGCCTATTCACTCTGATGGTAGTTTCTTTTGCTGTGCAGAAGCTCTTTAGTTTAATTAGATCCCATTTGTCAATTTTGGCTTTTGTTGCCATTGCTTTTGATGTTTTAGACATGAAGTCCTTGCCTAGGTCTATGTCCTGAATGGTATTGCCTCGGTTTTCTTCTAGGGTTTTTATGGTTTTAGGTCTAACATTTAAAAGTCAGGCCTTTCGCTAAGATTATCAGACCATCCTTTTCTGGCATTAAATTCTCAGGCTTTAGATTCTTTGCCTTCCATTTGCTTTAGGTTTTCATATAATGACTTCACTTTTTCTTGAATCATATTAGAGTATAAAGGTATGCCTTTCTTATAGCAATCCTGCACCCACAGAAAAGCCACATTTTCAATATGTGATAAAAAGTACTTCACAAAAAGTGCAAGGTTTCATGCACTTTTTTTTAATGCAGTGATGGCTTCATGAAATTGTTTTTCCTTCCTTCCTTCCTTCCTCCCTTCCTTCCTCTTTCTTTCTCTCCTTTCTTTCTTTTCTTTCTCTTTCTTTCTTTCTTTTTCTTTCTTCCCTTCCTTCCTTCCTTTCTTTCTTCTTTCTTTCTCTTTCTTTCTTTGATCTTTACACTGGTTTCATTTATCTTGAAATGGTGAACAACTGCAACTGCTGACCTCAATTGATGGTGCATATCAAGCAACTCTGTCTTTTCTGGTGATGTCATGACTTTTCTCTGACACTCGGGAGCACTTCAAGTACTGGCACGTTTGTATGGGTCCCATGATGTTATTCAAGGTTTATGGTATTGCAATATGAAAAATACATGGAAACCACAAAAGATCATTTTTTAATGTGATATGCAATTTACTGGAGAGACAAACTGTTCACAAGGAGATGAATAGCAGCACATGGTGTTTTAAGCAGATATCCCCAACACTGGAGCTGACCCAGTAGTAACAAGAGGTAAATACAAAATTATTACAGTAGTACAGTATGTATTCTAATTAAGTTTATGCAGTTATGATTTAATATTGTATATTTACATTTCTCTCAAAATACAATATATTGCATGTATTGTATATTTACATTACATGCAAAAGGCAACATGTATGGCCTGTATGTGTATGCATAAGTTTTGATAAATTTAAACTTTTAATAATAGATGAGCATAATTTATGATAGTAAATGATAAAAATAGACTACCATCTATATATATTTTTTGCATTGATTACATACCAAAATTTTACTTAATTTTTTTCCATATTTGTAGGCTATATGATTCATCTGCAAGTTTTTTTAAGCTGTTGCAAATCTCTGGGTATCAAAATGGACTGCTTGGATCCCAGTAACCTGCAGAATTTTTATTACCAAGGTATCCCATCTTCTTTTTTGCTTTCATGACAGAGACCTTTTCTTTTTTTATCTGTGCAGTCTACTTGCTAATTTTTATTATTCATACATTTTTAACAGCAATATTCATAAATGAGTTTGGTCATCTTCCTTGTACTCTGATTTGAGTGGTGGTGTTATTTTTGGCTTCCCGTGGAAGCTCTTCTTATCTTGCTGTGCTTTGAGACAGTTTAAGTATTGGAATTCTTTGTTCCTTGAACATTTGAAATTATTTACCTGAGAAACCATCTGGGCCTGGTGATTAGGGTATGTTTTAGTCTTAATTTCTGATTATTCATCTATTTAGAATTCTTATTTTCTCTAGGGTGAATTTTGGTAATTTCTGTGTTTTCTAAGACACTTAATTATTTCATCCAAGTTTCAATTTAATTTGTACCCAGGTTTGCCAAACATTCCCTGAAACTTTTTTGAATGTCCTCTGTACATTTCATTAATTCTTCTTTCTAATTTTTTATTTTTTATTTCTAATATGATTTTTTCAAATTTTTAAAATTTGTTTTTTCTTTTTCAGTCTTGTAATTCATTAATTTCTGCTTTTACTTTATTATTTATGCTTTCCATATGCTACTTGTGATATTTTTTCCTAACTTCTGGAGCACATTTTTTAAAATTTTCATTTGTAGTGTCTAATATATGTGTTTATGGCTTTATTTTTCTGTGAAATCAGCTTTGGCCATCTTACATTAATTTTGACATGCAGTATTTTATTATTGCTAAGTCATGGAGTTTGAAATTTCAGTTTCAATTTTCTCATTGACCCAAAAATTGTCAAAGAGGAAAATTCAGGGTTTTCCATCTATTATTACATTATGAGATAATTTAATTACTCTAATAAATATAATACTCTTTATTGATCTATGATAAATAGTATTCATCATGCTGGATGTATTAGTCAAGATCTTGGCAGTAAGACAATATGCCGAAAAATATTTAACTAAACAGAATTGAACAAGGAAACTAAGCATAGAGATTGGACGGGTTAAGGGAACCACAAAAAGATGGTGAGGTGTCCAGGGAATAGCAACTGTGGGAATCTGTTAATACCCGTAAACCTGAAGGAAAAAAGGGAGGGAAAAATATCACTGGAGCCTGTGAGAGTCATAGCCATGCCGGAAGGTCTGCCTAGAGGAGCTGCAGTTGAGGAGGAACACATCCACTGCTGAACACTGCCACTGCTGAAACCGCAGGGGATGAAAGGGATAGAGGGGACAAACACTCCAAGCATCCTTCCCTTCACCTTCCTTCCTCTGCCCATACCCAATGGCTGAGCACAGTCTGAAGACAGAGGATCTGAGAGCCTGAAAGATGTGGTCTGTGGAGGTCAGCCACAGAAGGACACAAAACAGGAACTGAAAAGGGAGGAGAAAAACAAATCTGGGAGCAAAAACTGGGAATAACCAGCACCTCAAGTAAATATCATTCTACTCGTATTTAAACATCAGGAATAGATGTAGACTGTGTTAATGCTCTGTGGTCTACTTACGTGATTCATTCTATTTCTAGCTTTCCTGATTTTGAAACATTCTTGCATTCCTAGTACCCTGAACCCTACTTGCATACCTGCATATTCTTTTCAGTATACTTTTGAGTGGTAGCCTCTTT
Source organism: Homo sapiens (assembly GCF_000001405.40). Lineage (NCBI taxonomy): Eukaryota > Metazoa > Chordata > Mammalia > Primates > Hominidae > Homo > Homo sapiens. Next base: position 40,801,242 of record NC_000003.12, on the reverse strand, counting down.
ATTTAGAATTTTTATATCTATACTTGTAAATGAGATGATTGGTTCAGCATTTTCTTTTGGGAATGCCAGTTGTCATAGTTTAGTACCAGGGTTAAATTTGCTTTGTGAAATCAATCAGAGGAGCTTTTCACATTTTTATGTTCTAAAATAATTTATACAATAACAAAAAATGATTCCTTAAAAGTTTTTTTTTTAATTACTCAATTATATTCCTACCAGGAACTGGTGACTTTTCTTTCAGTTAATTCTTGGACAATGTTTCTGGGTCTTCTATAATTATTGGTCTGAACAGGTTTTCTAATTTTGAGTCAATCTGGGTCACTTATAATTTTCTAAGGAATGGCTCCTTTCCTGGATATTTATTTTCTCCTGGTAGATCCACATTTTATTTACCCAAACTTGGGGGTTAAATCGTCTTTGTAAAGGGTTTTTCCATCCCCCGTGGCTGCCCATAGGATTGTTGTAGTTGCTGCGCGGAGAGCTCCTCAAAGGCTTGGTTAAAACAGTTAAAACTCTTAAGAGGGGTTTTATCCTGCAGATAGGATTGTTCCAGCTTCTCTGCAGCTGTAGAAAAATGCCACATCCTGTGGAGCTGACCACATGAGAATGTGCTTGAGCTGTCCTTCCAGAATGATTCACCATGTAGTTGCATAACCTCAGCACCTGCCTACCCTGGAAACTGACCTCTGAAAACTGGCTGTGATTTAGCCCTCCTGCTCAACAAAAGCAACAAGGAAGTATGTGAGAGGAGGAGAAAGAAAGGGAAGCAGGGAATGCATGCAAGAGTGAGCCCTGCTCTAAGAAGGATGTGCCTTCCTTGACAGAGCTTTCCTTCTGGCCTTGGCTCTGCCACTTTGGATGTGTCATTGTGAGTAACCTTGCTGGGCTTTAGTTACCTAACTGTGAAATGAGAGGCTCTGAGGCCTTCCTAGATTTATGTTTCTATTAACAGATTCCCCCCAGGATCATACCTCTCTCAAGAAACTGATGGAATTGCATAAGTAACAGTGTCTGAGAGCTGAGATCTTATTCAGGAGGGACAAAAAGGCCCTTCTGCTCCCCTTGTATCTCCCCACCAGCCTGCCTTGAACTCAAAGAGCTGCTATGTGGGGTTCAAGTTATCAATAGCCTGAGCAAGAGTCTTGGCCCAAAGAAACAACCCTTTGAACTGTTTAACACCTTAATGTGCACTAACGCATCCAACTGGCAAGGTTCTGAGCGGACAGGATGTTTTTGATGGGGAGGGAGAGGTCTAGTGCATGGACCACTGGAGAGAGCCAGCCTGGAATGACAACCAAAATTGCCAGGGATGGATGGGGAGGTGTGCAATTGGCAGGCAGGTGACAACATAGTGTTTATTGAGTGTGTGGCCAAGATGGAAGTGAAATACAACGCTGTCTTAGCTTGGGCTACTATAACAAATTATCATAGACTAGGTGGCTTAAATGATAGACATTTCTTACACTTCTGGAGGCTGGGAAGTCTAAGAAGGTGCTGGTAGATTCAGTTCCTAGTGAGACTTTCTTCCTGACTTATAGACATCCACCTTCTTGCTGTGTCATCACGTGTTCTTTCCTCCATGTATGAGCATGGAAAGAGAGAAAGATTCTTTCTCTTCTTGCAAGGGCACTAATCCCATCATAAGAGCCCCAGCCTCGTGACCTGTTCTAACCCTAATTACCTCCCAAAAGCCTTACTCCCAAATACCATCACACTGGGGATTAGGACTTTAACACATGAATTTTGGGAGGACACAAACATTCAGACCATAATGAACACAAATTAGTCTATAAGAGTTTGAGGAATGTTTAGCATCAAAGACTCTGGCAATGTAGCGTGAATAACATGGTCTATAGAAGCCAACAGAGCTGGGTTTCCATCCCAGTTTTGCCACTCACTTAGCAAGTTCCTAAATCTCTGTGAGCCTCTTTTCTCATTTGCAAAATGGGAATATAATGCCTATCTTTAGGGCTGATGAGAGTTAAGTGAGATAATGTTTAAAAAGTACTTAAGCACAGTGACTGGTACAAGTGAGAATTTAATCAACATATCTGCTATTAAAAAGAATCCCACTTTTGACCATCTCTCTCTAGAAGCCATCCTTAATCATTTAATTAATCACAAGAATTTTTGTGTTCCTGCTGTGCTGATCACTCTGGGGTTACAAGGAAAAATATTCCCTGCACTCAAACAGCCTCCTATCCAGTGGAGTAGACAGATTTGCACACAACCAAGTAAAACATAAAGCAAAACTGGCATGAGAACCAACTAGAGGTGTCCCAGCACACTGTGGAAAGGCCTAGGAAGGAATGATGAGCTCTCAGAGTGGGAGTGGGGGAGCAGGTCAGGCAGCATGTGAATTAGGTTTTACCAACTGATAAGGTCATCTAGTCTGACACCTTTGCTTTACAACTAAGGACCCAGACAGGTTTAAAAAGGTTAAAAATTCTCCACTCACATATTGACCACAGACAATGTGCCAGTCATTGTTAAGCTTGACTTCTTCTTTTTCTTTTTTTTTTTTTTTGAGACAGACTCTTGCTCTGTCACCCAGGCTGGAGTGCAGTGGCATGATCTCAGCTCACTGCAAGCTCCGCCTCCCAGGTTCACACCATTCTCCTGCCTCAGCCTCCGGAGTAGCTGGGACTACAGGCGCCTGCCACCATGCCCAGCTAATTTTTTGTATTTTTAGTAGAGACGGGGTTTCACCATGTTAGCCAGGATGGTCTCAATCTCCTGATCTTGTAAGCTTGACTTCTTAAACCTCACAAGAACCCTATGAGATGGAGATTCTTGCCATCCCCATTTTATGGATGAAGAAACCGAGGTACAGAGAGATGACATAACTTGTCCAAGGTCATATAGCTCATGGGTGACAGAACAAGAATTTGACTCCCTGTAGTCCTCTCCAGGACCAACACAGCTGCCTCTCTTAGCAGCAGAGCTGGAGCTGAAGAGCCCAGCTCGCGACTGAAACACTATGCTTTCCCATTCTCCTACACAGCCACTTCCAGCAAGTCAAATATTTCAGAAGGCAATTCTGGGTGAGCTTTCCAGGCTGAGGACAGCCTAGAAAAAGAATAGAGGACAGCAAGAGAAAAAGCATGGAGACCTGAATGGTCACGTTCTTGGAAGAGTGCAGGGATTACAACTGAAGGGTGGAATGAAGTTAATTAATAACAGTAGTGTAACACTTGCACCATTACAATCAAACCTCAGGTGATGAAGAAGCAGCAACAGCAACGTTCTTATACATTTTAGAAGTAAGAAAAGGCAAAGAGTGGTCTCTCAGGCATTAGTGTCTCCTCTGTCATCACAGAAACCATAGAGATATAAAGAAACCCTCAACTCTAAACCTGCTCCTCTCTTGGGTTCTACCATCCACCCTCCTGCTACTCAGAAACAGGGGAGAGGTAGGAGACTCATTTCTCCCTCATTCCTTTGCCAATTCTACTTTTAAAATATTTTTGGCTGGGCACCATGGCTCATGCCTGTAATCCCAACACTTTGGGAGGCCGAGGCAAGAGAATCACTTGAGGCCTGGCCAATATTGCAAGACTCCGTCACACAAAAAATTTTTTTGAAATTGCCCTTGTGTTGTTCCAGCTTCGTTAAGAAGCAGATGCCAAGGTGAGGTTAAACATGCAAGGATTTTTGTTAAGGAAAATATCTATGAGAGAAAATGTGGAGGAAGCCAGGAGAAGCTCACAATGAGTGCGACCTCGAATGAAGAAAAGAGGGAGAGAAGGTTGGGTGGAAGTGTCACACTGTTGTGCAGTGCAAGGAATGTTCCGCAAAGCCACTGGGGAGTTTTAAGCCACAAACACCATTAGGGGAGCTCCAGGTCTCCCAGAAACATCCCCGTACTTGTATTACTGCCACTCTTGGTAACTGGCTGACATTAGCTCATGGGAAGCATGGCTTCAACACAAACGTGAGGCTGGATTTAGATCACAGCAATAGTGCCCATGGTCCATTATGTGCCCTGTAACTGGGGAGCTGTGAGTCTAGACTGATGCCCAGGTACATAGCTCCTCATCAACTCTACAACTACTGGCCCAGTTCAGACCCTTCCATTCTCTGTAGAACCTCAGCTGGTCTCCCTGTTGCTAATCTTTATCACTCCAAGCCTTTTTCCACACCACAGTCAGAAAGACCCTTCTAAAGTACAAATCTAACATGTCAATCGTCTGCTTAAAGCCTTCAATAATGATTTTGCTAATTCCCTTGAAATCTATAAATGGAGCTCTTGCGTTGTATAAGAGATTGATTGAATATTTAATCAAACAAGATGCCCTTGAACTGGTAACATACTTTATTCCAGCACTCTAGTCTGAGTGAGGTAAGACTCTATAGAGACTGAAAATACAATTTAGCTGAGACACTTACACATTACCTTTACTGAGAGTCATTGAACGTCTTGCTGATCTTGTTGGGGAATTTAAATCTTTGTAAAATGTGACTTGGCTAAGCTTATCAACAACTGATTATTAATGATATTACTGCAAAAACACAATCAAACTCAACATACTACATTCTGAGTTCTTGATTGGGAATTTTACTGACCTTGGGATTTTCTAATACTTTATGAACATCCTGCCATCTAGAATATTGGCAGGGGGTGGAGGGTACCATCTTTTGGGAATGTATTAACTGACTTTGCCCATTCATGAGGTAAACCAATAATTAGCTCACGGCAAGATGGCAGGAAGTTCCTGCCACAAAATATAAGAATGACAATGTAGCTCCCATTATTCATTCTTCAGGAACACAGTGTAAACCTTCATTCTCATCTCAGTAGTTAAAAACGTCTGTAGCTCCTGGGACAACTGGAACACTACAGGTAGCACTGATCACAAGCTTTTATCTAAAGAAAATGCCATAGATTTAATTTTTGCTGTGATCTATGCAATGCTGAAATCCTTTGACTTAGTGACACACCTAGAGGAGGAATTCCTAATATAAAACTTTGAAGGTCACAGCGTGTCCCAGATTTAGATATTCTCAGGGTGATCATTTTGCACAGTTAATTCTGTGAAATCCAAAATTGGTTCATAATGTCACTTGAATATTATTTCTAATAAAAAGGATTTGAGTCATTCTTAAATATTAGGGCCAGTTTATATCTGCCCCCAAAGCATCACATTTTCTCCAAAAGACACTCACCATGTTAGTCTAGCCATCATACAAGTGGTCCTTCTAGGAAATGTCCACAAGAAAGCTTGGAGAAACCCTAGGCTTGATGTCCCATTATTAATCCCAATATTGCAAACACTCACAAGGCATATATCTTATGCCAGTGGACTTATGACACTGGCATCTAATATTTTCTCTGATCAAGAACTCATAACAACCATTTCAGATAAACAGCTTTTTGATCATAGCAGATTCTTATTCAAAATTCCTCTGATTTATTTAAAATTGAGGAAGAGAGGACCAAGACTCCTAATCCCCCATTCCTTGGCCACTTGCTTGCACCTACTTCAGGTTCCTAGAGGAGAGATAAGAAAGAGGTCAGGGTGAAAAAAATGCAAGTTTTCTCTTGCTTTGTCCCCAAAACCATATAGGAAGAGTCCAACCTTGGTAGCTGAGCTGGACCACAAGAGGGTGACAAGGACAACCTTTGTGCATCTGACCAAGGCTACACTAAAAGTCAGCTGTGATAGTTTTATGTGTGATATCGTTAGGCTTTATGTCCCCACCCAAATCTCATCTTGAATTGTAATCCACAGGTGTTGAGGGAGACACCTGGTGGGAGGTGATTGGATCATGGGGGCAGTTTCCCCATGCTATTCTCATGACAGTGAGTGAGTTCTCATGAGATATGATGGTTTTATAAGGCAGTTTTCCCTGCTCTTGCTTGCTCTTTCTCACCTGCTGCCATGTAAGATGTGCCTGCTTCACCTTCTGCCATGATTGTAAGTTTCCTGAGGCCTCCCAAGCCATGTGGAACTGTGAGTCAATGAAGCCTCTTTTCGTCTCAAGCAGTTCTTTGTAGCAGTGTGAGAATGGACTAACACAATGTGTCAACTTGGCTGGGTCACAGTGCCCAAATATTCGGTAAAGCATTACTTTTTATGTTTCTGTGAAGGTGTTTTTGGATGAGATTAACATTTAGATTGGTGGACTTTGATTAAAATGGATTGCCCTCCAAATGTGGGTGAGCCTCCAAAGAGTTTAAGGGCTGAATAAAATGAAAGACTGAACTTCCCTCAGCAAGAAGAAAGTCTGTCAGCAGACAGGCTTCAGTCTTGAACTGAAACATCAGCTCTTCCTGGATCTACATACAGCCTTCCGGCCCACCCTGCAGATTTTGGATTTGCCAGACTTCATACACACACACACACACACACACACACACACACACACACACACACACACACACACACACACACAGAAAAGGAAAACCCAAGAAACACAGACCCACGGAGTGGGACCCTGAGGCTGTCCCAGAGCAAAGGGACACTTCCCAAGCAGGCATTTCACAGTCAAGGAGGTTCTACCCCCAGTGTTGTGGCCTAATTATATGCTGGATCCATGTCATCCGGATGTCCAGAGCCCCCAAGATGTCTCATGCTGGAAGTGTTTTATTTGCCTCTTTAGATCCAATATCCACCTGCCTTTACCAGCTCTCTGGCCAAGACACTGATATCTGTGAGCCACTTTACAGGGTTTTCTTACTTCCAGCTGGCCACCAGTTGGGTCCAGCCTCTCATGCAGAGGTCATTGCTCTTCAGGCAGCCATCCCCATGGAGCCTCCCTGTCTTTCGGTTCTGAAAGCCTCACCCTCTCCTTGCTCCTGTGGGGACGGAAACTGAACCTGCTGTTTCTAACTCCAGGTACTGCATCATCCCTTGTTTTCCTGGGGCTGACTACACCTTTGTAAATAATCTCTTTTCAAAACCCTCCTTGAACTACCCCGTTTAAGTGTTTCATCTCTTTTCTGGCAAGACCCTGATTGACATACCACCCCTATTAGGATTGTCAGATTTAGCAAAATCAAAAGACAGGATGCCCAGTTATAACTGAATTTCAGATGAACAGTAATTTTTTTTAGTATAAACTGTTCCCAATATTCATTGTTTATCTGAAACTCAGATTTAACCAGGCACCCTGTGTTTTTATCTGGCAACCCTAGCCTTGCCATCAACTATGAAAATATTTTGGGAATCTTGGTGAACTTCAGCTTATCCCTGAAATGAATAAGGTTAATGACAGTCACAGAATATTAATGCTCATGATGCAGATACGGTCCTAATTTGTAGGACTGTTCTCTGAATTGTTTAACTTCCCCTTTCTCTCTCTCTCTCTTTCTCTCCGTGTGTGTGTGTGTGCACGCGCATGTAAGTAGAGAGAAAAAGAGTGTGTGAGAAAAAGTGAGAGCAGAGAAAATAATGAGAGATAAGCCTGGAAGGGAAGTTGATGTTGGCTCATCAAGAACCTTAAATCCTGGGCAGGCAACAAGAGGCCTCTCCACACTATAAGATGTTCTCAAACTCTTGTATGCATGATAAGAGTTCTGGCCCTCACTGCATTATCCATATTTCCTTACCTATCTTTCATGGTTGATTCTGATGAATTTAGCTCTCCAAGGTGGTTTTGTCTTTTTAAAAAAATCTGAAATTTATATCAAAGGATGAAATTGGACTCTGGGAATCTTGCTAGTTCCACTAACTGCAAAACCACATTTGGATACTATGCCACATTATATTTGTAGAACATATTCTTAATAATAAGATGAGATAAGGAAGACTTGATTTAATTTCCCTTTTCTTATTTTTTTCTTGTAAATATAAGAAAGAAAAAGAGAAAAGAAGGAATGAAGGAAAAAAGGAATGAAGGAAGGAAAATAAGGCATTTATAAGAAGTTTTAATAGCTCAAATAAGTGTGCAGAAAAAATTAAGTTTTGGCTTTTGTAATCTACGTTTAAAAATAAAAACATTATGTAATCATCAAAATAAGTGATTAGTTTTTGCAGCCTCCAGTTATTATAATTTCACTGGATATTTTATAAGTTGTTCTGGGAGATATTCCAATGCTTCCTCCGAGATTTCATGAAGAAAAAATTTGCCTCATGTCTAGAAGGTGTTTGATGAAGTATTATAGTGACTGTCTTTTCCGTCTTTGACTAGAGAGGCACCTATGTGGGTCTGTCAAAAAGGCTGTCACTTGAGCAATGAGCATAAGCAGCTCTCTGTGCTTTCTGAGTTGGATTTGAAATTAAATAACTTAATGTTCCCATTTTCCACGGCTCTCAAACAGAGACTTCAGAGATAGTTTGAACAGTCTATTTCAGGCAACAACTTCTGCTTTCAATGACTGGGCAAACATTACATTTTGCCCTTCCTAGGCCAAATCCTAGAAAGGATAGAAAACATAAAAATAATATATTACATATCTACATAAACACATTAAAAAATAAAAAGAGGGGTTTGCAATGGACAAAAAGCTATGAGAAACTCACCAACAACAGAAAGCAGAGGATCACACTGAAAAGGAAGACAGGAGGCAGGGTATGCAAGACAGTGTGGCCGCAGAAAGGGAAGGCAGAATGAGGACCAACATAGTGGAATCCAGGAGCAAGAAGGGGGACCCTTAGCTGGGATACTGCCATCGAGCTACCACATGGGGTACCCCAGACATTCTTCGCCACCACCAGGCCTAAGCGACCCCGTCACAAACGTGAGTGCAGGAGCTCCAAGCAGATGTTCAGACCACCAGGCCTTCATGAGACTGGCCACAACACCCTGTCTCATGTGAGGTTGTGGTTATCAGGCCCCCACTAGAAACCACCCCAGAAATTTCCTCAGAAGGCCCTTCAACCTGTGCATGAGCACCAGTTTACTTTTGTCTAAGAAGTCCAGCTTGCAATAATTTTGAAACTTTATCTATCAACATTCCTTCTCTGTGCCTCCTGGCTTTATGATATGTAGATTCGGGTCATTTACTCAAATGTTAGCCACAATTATGCCAAAGACAGAGCCTGCTGGCAACTACTAGAAACCTTTCTCCAGGTTCATGTGGAGGCAGGAAGCAGTGCCCTTTGAGCCAGGTTGAACTAGCTGTCAGTCCATCTTACTTGTCAACATTTTTGTTTAATCTGCTTACTAGCTGTGTGATTTGAACCAGGCACTTGGTCACTCGGAGCCTCAGTTTCCTCTTCCTACCTCATAGGATTGATATGAGGATAAAATGGGATAATATGCTTTGCACAGTCACTAGAATATAGAAGGAGATCAATAAATGTTCAGTTGTTATTACTATTTTGAGCATGTGGGGTAGTCAATGGTTTTCCTGGAATTTAGTCTTCCTGAAGCCCTCCTGGCCCATGTCTTACTTCTGTCATATACCTTGGCTGTGCCCCTTCTTCTAGCTTTTCCTTATATACTCTAGAGTAGAATTTATCTGAAAGCGTGATGTACAGGCACATTTCTTTCTGGAGGTGACATATTCTTGGATTGTAATAATTTTAGATTTAAAGTCTCCATTTTTTCTTATGTCATATCACCAGTTAGATTTTCTAGCCACAGGATTGTATCCATTTTTGGGGAGTGTTTTGGAAATCTGCCTTCCGAAGTCTAGAATCCATTTTCTTACCATCCTCAATATCTCGTTTATGAATCCTGGGGTAAAAGAGTCATTTTATGCAAAGCTTTTATCGCTTCCATTTTACCAATTAGTTTTTTTGTTGGTGGTCATAATCAATTCCAGAATAATCTTTCTTCCCTTGTGGCTTCACCTGCCTGTCTAGGAGTGGAAGTTGTCAGCAGGGCACTGTAGGAATGTGCCCTGTTTTCAGCAGAATGAGGCTTGTGCAGAATGCTGGAGAGCTGACACTCCAGCCCCAGCCCCAGCCCCAGCCCCAGCCCCAGCCCCAGCCCCACTGCTAAAACCCCTAAAACAATTGTTCTTCCCACATTTTAGTCTCACCAGAATAGTCTCCACTGTGTTTCTCCACATGGATCCATGAGTTTCTAGGTCATCTTCTATAGTGTGATTCTGTCTGCCCTTCTTCTGAACACAGTGTCCTTCTAGTTGTATTTCAGGTGATTTATTTACCAGAGCTGAGTATATTTTATGAGACTCTTGTTCCCTCTTTACATTAAAATTTTAGGTCATCTTGATTTTCCCTGAGCTTTATTCCTCCCTCCCTTGGTCAAGACACAGTCTAGCTCCCTCTTTAAGCAAGTCCTTATGAAACACCTTTCTTCTTTTCTTCATGAAATGCCCCCTATCCCTAGCCAGGAACTCCCTGCTGGGTCATCAAAGGTCAGAGTCCAGGAAAAAAAATGCCTTCTCCTTGCTGGTGGCTGGAGTCAGCTGTTCACAGCCCACATGATCCAGTTATTACTTAGGTATGACAGGTAGAAGAAGTAAAAGTGCTGAGCCTTCAAGCCCTTCAGTTCTTTTTTTTTTTTTGATGGAGACTCACTCTGTTGTCAGGCTAGAGTGCAGTGGTGTGATCTCGGCTCACTGCAACCTCCGCCTCATGGGTTCAAGTGATTCTCCTGCCTCAGCCTCCTGAGTAGCTGGGACTACAGGCGCATGCCACCACGCCCAGCTAATTTTTGTATTTTTAGTAGAGACGGGGTTTCACCATGTTGGCCAGGATGGTCTTGATCTCTTGACCTTTTGATCCACCCACCTTGGCCTCCCAAAGTACTCGGATTACAGGCGTGAGCCATGGCACCCGGCCAAGCCCTTCTGTTCTTTTATTGAGATTTCAGACCCCAAGGCAACATTCCAAGTTAATTCCGAAAGGATCCACATGAATCTGCAGAATGAGGAGCAGCCTGTCTTTTTCTGGCAAACTCTCAATGAAATCAGCCTCAGCAGACGTTAATGGACCCACCATATTGCCTCAGCACTCAACATTCCCCTGTACACCAATGACTTCTTAATGTGAACACCTGCAACTCTTTGCCTGAGGACTTTGATCAGTCCATGTGGGAACAAGCAAGAAGTGTTAGGGACCCCCAAGAGCAGCCATCAACCAATAACAGATGAAAACTCCAGCTTTCCTGCCCTTCAGGTGGCACATTTCAGCAGCCTATCCCACACTATTTCCCAAAGACCCTCCATCAGCCTCACCCCCAATTAACCACAGTTGGTAACTTGCTCAGCAAGAATAAATTTCCTTGCCTCTCTGTCTTCTTTGCTTCTTTACACTCCCAAATAAGCAACTGCATTCACATAAGTTTGAGGGTCTGCTTCTGCAGAACCCAGACAAAGACACAAGCTGACATGTGTTATCTGTTCATGCTTGGTTCATACCAAGCAAGCCAGAACCATGGTTGTATACTGTATTAGTTTCCTATTGCTGCTGTAACAAATTACCATAAATTAATTGGCTTAAAACAACATAAATGTATTGTTCTGTAGGTCACAGTTCTCACTGGGCTAAACTCAGAGTATTGGCAGGGCTGTTGTTACCGGACGCCTAAGGGAAGAATTCATGTCCTCGCCTTTTCCAGCTTTTAGGGGCCACATGCATTCCTTGGCTTGTGATCCCTTTCCCCTTCTTCAAAGTCAGCAGCATAGCATATTCAAATCTCTCTCTCTCTGATGCTCTTGCCTCCTTCTTATAAGGACTCTTGTGATCATGTTGGGTTCATCCAGATAATCCAAGATAATTTTCCTATTCACAGATCCTGAAATTAATCATACCTGCAAAGTCCCCTTTGCCATAGACGATCACATATTCTCAGATTTCAGGAATTAGGACATGGATTTGGGGAGAGGGGTTGTTATTTTGCCTATCAACGATATTCAAAGGTCCAAATTACAACTTTGAAACTGGAACTATTGCCACCATTTACTCTGCATGGTCCATGTGGAACGTGGATTAGTACCCTGGATCCAGGTCTTCTCCCAAATTCCTCTCCACAAGGGGCAGGTGGGCACTGTATTCCATCTTGCCCAGAATAAGGCTGGCCTAGCTTGCTGAGAGTATGCTGATTTCACTCACCTTCTGAGGGTTGATTTTTTCCACCTATAAAATGAAAATATTTCAATCTAACTTCCAGGGTTGTTAAAAGGTTTAAATGAGATAACAAGTTAAAATTGCTTATTAAATTATTTTTGTCTTTTGAGGTTATATATTATTTTGACTAAGTCTACACTTATTATGTAGTGGTAAAAAAAATTAAGTATATAATTTAAGGCTCAGTAAATATACCTTTGCCTCAATTAGCTGTTGTAGGCATTAGGGATACTGAGATTTCCTGTCTAATCACCACACTCTGTTCTGCAGCTGCCTCTCCAGAGGACCCAAAGACAATTCCTTCTTCCTGATCAGATGACCTCTTGTCTCTCCTTCCAGGGAAGAATTAACTTCATTATCTGAGTCAGGAACTTAAAGCAATGGGGACTTATGTGCAGCTAATCACATGGCATGGAAGAGTACAGAGTCAGTCAGGATCTACATGCTTGGGAAGGGATGCTACCCAGATTAAATAGATTGTTCCCCTCAGCATTTCAGGGTCTTCTCTAGTGACTGTGTGGCAGAGGACACAGATTTGCCCCTCCCTCTGACCCAGAGCACAGAACTGGTACCTACAAGCAGAAATTGCAGGAAGGTAGCTTTCAGATCATTCCAAAGAAGGATTTTCTAGCATGTAAGTCTGTCTTATAATGATGTGCTTCCTTTGGAAAGTAGAGCTTGGCCATCCACATTGCTCAAGCTGGTGGCTCAGCAGGTATCTTAATCTATTTTGCATCACTATAAAAGAATACCCAAGGCTGAGTAATTTATAAAGAAAAGAGGTTTATTTGGCTCACAGTTCTTCAGGCTATTACAGACATGGCACCAACATCTGCTTGGCTTCTGGTGAGGACCTCAGGAACCTTACAATCATGGTGGAAAGTGAAGAGGCAGCCAGCATACCATGTAGCAAGACAGAGAGAGAGTGGGGAGGTGCCACACCCTTTGTAAACAACCAGATTTTGCAAGAACTCACTCATTACCACAAGGAGGGCACTAAGACATTCATGAGGGATCTGTCCCCATGACCCAGACACTTCCCACTAGGCCCCACTTCCAACATTGGGGATCATATTTCAACATGACATTTGGAGGGGACAAACATCCAAACCAAACTATATCATTCTTCCCCTGGGGCCCCAAATCTTATGTTCTTCTCACTTTGCAAAATACAACCATCCCTTCTCAATAGTTTCCCAAAGACTTAACTTGTTTCAGCATCAAATCAAAGTCCGATGTCTAAGGTCCAAAGTCTCATCTGAGAATCAAGGTAAGTTCCTTCTACCTATGAGCATGTAAAGTAAAAAAGAAGCTATTTACTTTCAAGATAAAATGGTGGAACAGAAATTGGGTAAATATCCCCATTTTAAATGGGAGAAGTTGGCCAAATAAAAGGGGCAATAAGCCCCATACAAGTCCGAAACTCAGCAGGGCAGACATTAAACCCTAAAGCTCCAAATAATCTCCTTTGACTCCATGTCCTGCATCCGGGGCACACTAGTGCAAAAGGTGAGCTCCCAAGGCCTTGGGCAACCCTGCCTCTGTAGCTGCAGGGTGCAGCAACCATGGTTGGTCTCACAGGTTGGAGTTGAGTGCCTGTGGCTTTTCCAGGATCAGATTAAAAGCTGCTGGTGGCTCTACCATTTTTGGGTCTGCAGGACAATGGCTCCCTTCCCACAACTCCACTAGGAAGTGCCCTGGTAAGGATTCTGTGTGGGGGCTCCCACCTTGCTGTAGGCTTCTTCCTAGGCAGCCAAGCTTTCTCATACATACTCTGGAATTTACATTAAAAACTGCCAACCCTATTTCATTCTTGTATTCTGTGCACCTATAGGCTTGCCACCACATGGAAGCCACCAAGGATTACTCTCCAAAGTGGAAGCCTGAGCTGTGCCTAAAGCCCTTTGAGCTGCAGCTGGAGCAGCAGGGATAGGGAGGAAAGCCTCCCAAAGTGGCTCAGGGCAATGGCACCCAGGGCTTGGCCCCTGGAAGCCATTCAGTCCACCTAAGCCTCTGGGCCTATGATGGGAAAGGTTGCCTCCAAGATTTCTGAAATGCCTTTGAAGCCTTTTCCTCACTGCCTTGGATATTAGCACTTGGTTCCATTTTAGTTACACTGATCTCTCCAGCAAGTGGTTGCTCCACAGACTGCTTGAATTCCTCTCCTGAAAATGATTTTTCCTTCTCTATCACATGGCCAGTCTGCAAATTTTCCAAATTTTTATATTCTTCTTCTCTTTTAACTTTAAGTTCCAAATTTAACTCATTTATTTGCTCCTGTATCTGATTGTAGGCCATTAGAAGCAGCCAGATCACATCTTGAATCCTTTGCTGTTTGGCAATTTCTTCAACCTGATACCCTAGGCCAGGGGTCCCCAACCCCCAGGCCACAAACCAGTACCAGTCCATGCCCTGTTAGGAACTGAAGGGCAGGAAAGCTGGAGTTTTCGTCTGTTATTGGTTGCTGGCTGCTCTTGGGGGTCCCTAACACTTCTTGCTTGTTCCCACATGGACTGATTGAAGTCCTCAGGCAAAGATTGCAGGTATTGTTCATGTGATTAGGTTGCATTATATGCCATGGTGGATGCTAAATAAGGAAGATTATTCAAGTGGGCCTGACCTAATCTCATGAGTCCTTTAAATCTGGGTCTTGAGATTAGAGACAGGGGACATAAGAGACCCAATATATTCATATAAGAGGGAATCATTGCAAGGGAGAGTCTCCACTGCCTACCTGAAGATGAAGGGGTCATATGGCATGCAGCAGGCAGCTGGCCTCTAGGAGCTGAGAACAAGTCCTGGTCAACAGCTAGCAAGAAGATGGAGACCTCAGTCCTGTAACTGAGGAACTGGATTCTGCCACTGAGTTCAATGAGAATGAGCTTGGATTTCTGCCCACCCCTCCCCGCCACCCTGAAACCTCCAGATAAGAAGGCACCCCTTAAAGTGGGACCTGAGCAAGGAACTCTGTCAAGATGGGCCAGGAATTTTGACCTACAGAACGATGAGCTAACAAATGGGTGTTATTAGGTTGGTGCAAATTGACGGCAGTTTTTGCCATTAAAAGTAATGGCAAGAATTACAATCACTTTTGCACCAACCTAAATATTTTAAATCCTTCGGTTTGTGGTAATTTGTTATGCAGCCATAGAAAACTGATACACTGACCCATAAAGCAATTCTAGACCTGTTTGCACTTGTTCTCACCAATGGTCACCAATGACTATCAAGGAGGAGCCGTTACCACTATAAGGAGAACCAAGTAGGAAGAAAAGCCTTGGGTATGAGGCAGGATTAGGGGATTGAAATGAAGAGGAAAGCGAGGCAGAGTAAGGCTGTGCTGGCTAACTGGATGAAACAGCTGCACAAGCAGAGGAACCACTCGGAACCCAAAGCAGTCGTCGGAACGCTTGGCAGCAGCTTGGTGGGGTGAGTCAGGAAAAGGGGGCTTCTTTCTTAAGAGCAAGAACTATGCTTGAGATCACTATTTGAAGGAAGAGACGCGAATACAGGACTTTTGTGAGAAAATATACAACTGGGATGACTCAAGGAGCTGAAATTTTTGAGATGAGTATAGCAATAGGAAGGTAATAGCTAACCTGAAGGAGAGAAAGATAAAGAAGAGGAGGAGGAGAAGAAGGAGAGGGGAATGGGGCTATAAGGAAAACAAAAAAGAAGGTGTCCACAATAAAAATGCCTATACAGGGCCAGGCATGGTGGCTCACGCCTGTAATCCCAGCACTTTGGGAGGCCAAGGCAGGTGGATCATGAGGTCAAGAGATCAAGACCATCCTGGCCAACCAATATGTTGAAATCCCGTCTCTACTAAAAATACAAAAATTAGCTGGGCGTAGCAGTGCATGCCTGTAGTCCCAGCTACTCGGGAGGCTGAGGCAAGAGAGTCGCTTGAACCCAGCAGGCGGAGGTTGCAGTGAGCTAAGATCATGCCACTGCACTCCAGCTCGGTTGACAGAGTGAGACTCCATCAAAAAAAAAAAAAAAGTCCGTATTAAAGTCTTTAAGCAATTTCTATTAATTTGTGTGTTTGGGAAGCAATTCAAAATAACACAAATACTTTTTTTAAACTCAATTGCTAGTGTACAAATTTTTGTTACTGCATACTAAATTAAAACATCCCTTAACACCAAAAAAAAAAATTATCTTTCTGCTTTAAATAAATAACTTTGTAGAGCAGTGGTTATCTTATTCCGTAACAGTCAACAAATCCACCATTTTGGTGAATTAACACATTTTCCCCTTATTAGAATGAAAGATCCCAAAGACATAAAAGAAGCAGGCATTAAAAAGGTGGTCTCCTTAGAATCTCTCAAATACAAGTCTTCCCCAGTATTAAACAACAAAATATCACTTAGGTCAGGATTTCTAGAAACAGAAGCTGAGACAGAAATTTCAAGGTACACAATTTATTGAAAGAAGCTCTTCAGGAGAAGGGGAACAGGATGGAGTGAGAAAGCAGCTAATCAAGGATGTGGTCTCAGATGGATACCAGCCTCAGTCTAGTCCCAAAAATGGGCTGGGAGCTAGCCTTTTGTAGCCCTATAGAAGTTAGTTATGCTGCATTTTGGGGCTGAGATGCAAAATCTCTGGTTCAGCCAAAGGCAATTCTCTCGAGCCACTCATAGGAGCTGGGGGAGGAGTGCGCAAGCAGGTAAAGGAAATCTGAGTGGGGTCTAACTCCAACTGTGAGCAGAGTTGGAATCTTTTCCCAGGAGTTTCCTCAACCTCCAGATAAATCAGAGGATAGAGACCAGGGATATCCAATTCCATATGCCAGAAGCATACAGGTGTCCAGCCCCAGCAAGACAGCTGTGACACCAGTTTTAGACCTGATCTTTGATTGTTCCCCCTTCCTGAGGGCCACAGTCATCACAGTTCTGGCCCTGACTTGTATGCATTCCTGTTAACTCCCAGTCCTCTCTACCACCTTAACCTCGGCTTAGAGTCTCTTGGCCGCACTATATCCTGGTGAGTCCTCATCTCTGCTGGAATCAGGTTTCAAGAGGCTGTAAGAATCTTTAGGCTTAGGAAAGAAATTATAGAACATTCGAATTTGAGGGACCTTCAGAGTCTCATGTAGTCTAACTTGTTCTTCGCAGTAGGAAAGGACGTTGCTACATGCTGGTTTAGTCTCTTGCCATAGAGTCCAAGAATTTTGTAAGCACAGACCAGCTCAGATGTCCACTCCTAGTATAAGTAACTGTTGTCATAGTTTTAAGGTACATGGAGCAGCCTTGTCCAGGCAGGGTCTGTGGGTAGAGCAGGCAATGAATATATCCTCCTCTGACCCAAAGGCAGCCTATCCATTGTCAAGCCAAGAGCCAATCAAATTTCCTCCTTCAAAGATATAAACTGAGAGATATATAGAGAGATTATGGTTAGCAAAAATGGGTACTCCCAGCACTCCAAAGAGATTATGGTGTAGAGAGAGACCAGAGGAGGTCATATGGGATTTTAGCAATATTTACAAGTCGGGTACATTTATAGCTTAAGGGGTATTCATAGAAAAACATTTATAATTATGGAGGCAATCATGAAAAATTTATGCAAGTTTCTGTTTGCTTGTACTTATTCAGATAGCAGAAAACCGGGTTCCTGGGCCCCCAGATGGGCATTTTGGTTAGGTCTTTTAAATAGACTGCTACTTCCAAATGACAATTAAACAATTTCTCAATTTCAATAAATCTAGCCTGCCTGTGAATTGAGTGAGGAATGGTGGAATTTGTCTAAGGAACTCAATGGTTTAATGCCTTTTGCCATGGAGATTATAGCTATTGCAGCATGGGGACAGGGCTGGCTTGAAAAAAGATGAGCCCTCATTGAGCATTCTGTTCAGGTAGCTGCCCATTATCCAGGGGGTGGATGATCCAGTTTGGGGATTTTTCATGCCTCTGGCTTCTCCTCCCTTCTACTGTCTGCCCTTTGGCCACATTACAGATCAAATTAGCATGTCTTTGAGAGGATAGAAGGGGAAGGGACAGGTAGAATTCAAATTGGTCAATTTTGTAGCTTGTTCACTCCTCTAATACATGAGATCAAAACCAAAGGCTAACGTGGGGTTTTGGATTATCAGTGGATTATATTTAATCTATACCAGACCTCCCCTCCATTACTAGAGAAATTGGAGTCTGATGGGGACTGTCTGTATTTCATATGGATGCCAGAGCTCAGCACATAGAGGCTTGTCCAGAATCTCAAACACATACATGTTAGAAGTTTGGAGCTGGAAGGGGACTTATAGATGATCCAGCCTTGGAAAATCGAAGCTCAGAAATCTGCAGTAATGTGCTCAAGGTCATACCATGAGATGGTTGCCAGTAGCTAGTGAACAACTTGAGAGGGGACCTGAAACCAGTCAATTTTAAAATGATGAAACTGGCAGGTTGATAAGTGAGATATTAATTAAATGTGCCCCTTCATGATCCCTGGTGGCTTCTTGTTGGGACTCTCCACCAAATAGAAACTAAAATCAAGATCATCCATTTCTGCAGACATCCCCCCAGCACTGAGAGCAGAGACTCCTAACACTAAAGTTGCTAAAGAACACAGCTCTGAGTTTGAGACTAGACAGACCTGATGCAAAGAGGTAGCAAGAGACAGGTTTTCCCTCTGCCTGAGGAGAGAAGAGTTTAAAGATCAAGAATGAGGAGCGATATATTCCATCGTACACACACAGAGGTTGTCATCATCACCATCATCATCATCATCATCATCATTATCATCATCATCAAAGGAAGGAGCAAGAAGTGGGAGAGGGTTCCTCATGAGGGCTGAGGACAGCTGAGAGAGAAGAGGAAGGCCTTTGCTTCTCTTCCAGAGGTTTCTGACAGTGGCAATCTCATGGAACTACCTCATTGGAGCCAGCAGAGTGTTAGAGAGCTGGTACAGGAGAGGTACAGGAGACGGGCATCAGGCTGTCTTCAGCCCCCAAGTGGTGTGGAGGAGACTCTGCAGGTCCCACATAGCCAGCAGAAAGAGTCAGCATGCTCTTGAAAGTTGCCAGATGAGTGAGGTAATTCAGGGAGACAAACACCAAAAAAGGGTGCAGCTTATATGCTGGTTGGGATGGGTAGAGGAAAGGAAGCATGACTGATTTGATTCTAAGGGAACTTTTTGGAAACCAGACCACCCACTTGCCACACCCAGAGTGTGAATTACATGAGCAACACTCCTCAGCAGGCTGCCCACGTCCAGTCCACCTGCATGGAGAAGCTGGTTACCACGCTGCATGCAGGCACCCAAAGTAGAAGAGGTCAAGGTGGCTGCTCCCTCCCACACATCCAGTCACGAAGACCTCCATTCACCACCTGCTCCTCAGAGACTAAGTTAGGACAAAAGCACGGGGAGAGGCAAGAAATCCCACAGTCATTTTGGGCTAGACTGTGACCAAATTGCAAATTGCAGATCCTAAGTTAACCCTATTAATGACTGGAGTCATTACATAAACTGGATGATGTTTCTTGCCACCCAGTAGAACTGGGGCTTATATTCCATGGGGAGAAAGAAAAGGAGTTTCGTCGCTGTACTTGGTGTCTGGGGGCTGCTTTAACTGTGAAATTCCATATCCAAGACATTCCCTTTATGGGTGAGCTGTCCTCTATCTCCTAAAAACCAAGCAAGAGAGATAGAACCACACACTCAACCTCCAGGGACAAACCGGTGGGAGGAAACGGATATTCAGTGGGCGCCTATTATGTCCCTGCCCTGTAGTAAACACCTTCGCCATCCTTAGCATCTTTTCTATTTGTAATATCTCTGCAAAGAGGAAGAGCTCATCCTTGTTTTAGGCAAATGCAGCTAGGACCTATGAGCTACATTAATATCCGGTCACGGTGATGCCAAAGCCCTTTCCTCTTCCGCCAAGCTGCCTCGGGGCAGAACTTAGAAAGGCTGAGAAACATCCTCATTCCTCCCTCCGCACACTCCCACCCTGAGTGCTTTAAGAGTAGGACAGTCAGCAGCTGAGCACACAAATGCAGCCCTGTCTGGGAACAGGGAGCCCAAGGGGATGCAGCGGTGGCCTTTGGAGGGGTCAGTGACAGCTGTGTAATCGGGGAAGTGCCTTGTCCAATTGGAAGCCCACCCTCCCTTTGAACTATGCGCAATCCCCTCTAGCCGCCGGCCCCCGGCTCCCTCCTCCCAGGCTCTGGGTTCAGTTTTTTCCTTGGCAAATCACACCATTCCGTTGGGAGAGTGGCTTGCTGAGTTTGGCAGTGTTGACACAGCAGTCTCTGGACACGTTCCGGGAAAGCAGGCTACAGCATGTGAGATGAATTTTCTCCTGAACTGTGTGGTTTCCAATGTGTTAGAAAAACAAACTTGGAGAAGTCTGTTTGGCGTGTGTGCATGTGTAGACCCCACTTCCGGAGTCGAAAATGCTGTTGGCCTTCGCCCCCGTTACTTTAAAAAAAAAAAAAGAAAAGAAAAAAGAAAAAAAAGTCCGTCCTCCCAGCGTCTGGTTCCCTGAAACCTGAGGCAGCGTGGACAATGGGAGCTCTTTCAAGTCGCAGCCCCAGCGGCCACGTGACTGCGCCTTTGTGCTGGGAGTGGAGGCAAGTGGAAGCTGCCTGGGTGTCTGGACATTGGGGCCCTTTCAGTGTTGCTGAGCTGCTGGGCCTCACCTCTCCACCGCCTGCCTCCAGGCCCTTGGCTACCCTTCTTCCTCCCAAACATCCAGTTCCTGTTCCCAAAATAACTGCACACAGGAAACTGCCTCGAGGTGGGGCCTCTGCAGTGGGTGAATTCTTAGTGCCCCTGCAGGGATCTCCGGACCTGGCAGGGCCAGTGAAGACAGCGACTGCCCATCACTGCTATGGTTCACAAGCTGTGATGCCAGGAGGGCCGGCAACACCCACTCTTCACGCTCCTCCCATCCCATAACTTCTGTTTTTCCCATAAAAGCAAGGCCAGGCAGCAGCCAAGTCTGACTCCTTTCACTGCTTTTCCGTCCTTCAGGAAAGATGTTCAAGTACTTTTGACCTTCAGATGCACTGGCCAGTAATGCCTTCTTTTTCGACAGAGACTGTGGTTACCTGGCCACAGGGCGATGAAAGCACTTCAGCTGGAAACTACTGCTCCCTCACCTCCCATCTTCCCATGAAACAAGCCAAAGAAGCCCCCTTTGTTGCAGAATAGAGAGGTCCCTGCTCCTCCTTGCCAGGGAGAGAGGAGGCAGGGCTGACTCTGGAATCAGAGTCCTGGAGGGTAGTCACCCTCGGCACTCTAAGTGATAGGACGCCCGCAAGGGGGTCGCTCGTCTAGATTTCATCAGTGTAGCTAAAGTAGGTGTTATCCAATTCTCTAAGCCAGTGGTTCTCAACCCCAGCGGCACACCAGGATCACTGGGGACCTTTCAATACTTCTTTACCCAAGCAACCTCCAAACCAAGAAAATAAGAATCTCCAGGGGGTAGGACCAGGCACTGGTATTTTTAAAAAACTCCCCAGATGGTTCCAGCATGCAGCCAAGTTTGAGAACCACTGGCTTAGCAGTCCTTCTCAAACTCTAATATATATGTGAACCACCTGGGATCTTGTTAAAAACATAAGTTCTGATTCAGCCTGAGATTCTGGAGGCCTAACAAGGAGTGCTGACTCCACCGATCTATGGACCACACCTCAAGCAGCCAGGCCTAAGAGTCTTTAATGATACCCTGTACCTCTCCCTGGTTGAATGGGCAGAAACAACAAGGAGATAGGATGGGAGGGCCTATAGAGGACTTGTGGACTTCTAGGTCTTGAAGGGATTGCTGAGATAGAAGTCACATCCATGCATTTGGGAAATATCTTCAATGGTGGAGAGATCTGGTTGTCAGTGTCTGAATTCGGGATAGAGTAAAATATAAACTTCACCTTTCAAAGCTTGGATAAGAGAATTGACATGGGAGGAAATCACCTCCTACCTTCTAGCTCTTTGCCTGACGCTAAGGATAGTGACAGTCTTACGCTGACCCACTGAGTGACATAAAGCCCTATTTGGGATTGTCAAAAACCGTCTGGCCTGAAGAGGGCCATGGGATCTCAGGGAGCTCAAGCAATGAGGGGGATGAGGCAAAGGTGGTTCCTCCTCTCAGGGTGTCTCGGTGTTTCAAATACAGCTGACGTGCTCTGTCTACAACAGGGAAATCCTTTTTGTTGCCTATTTCCTTTCTGATTCAGAGCTAGTCAGTGCCTTCAAAAATACAAATAACATCAGAGCCTCATAACAGGTTTCTCAGAGTTACACTGCCACAACATCCAGAGCCTTTGAGCCACAATAGCAAACCCTCTGGTCTAAAGAACCAAAGCAATAAGGCACTGACACAGGTGGGATTTGGGACTCATAGTTCTCCCCAAGCCTCATTTTCTCATTGGCAAGATGGGCCTAACAAAAGTATATACCTTTTCAGATTATATGAAAATTAAATAGTGTGTGTAAAGCACATTGCACAACAGTTGGCAAATAGTAAATGCTCAATAAATGCTAGCTGCTATAATAATAATTACTATTATTAAAATAATATTCATCTCATAGAACGTGAAAGCTAGCATAATGCTTAGTACATAGAAGATGTGCAATAAACAGTTGCAAAATCTAAGCCAAAGATAAGTTTTTCTTTTATGCTCTCTTTTGCTTTCTTAAGGTATCTATCAGCCTTTAGTTGGTTTCCATCTTCCTGCCCCTTCTTTAATCACCCTGCAAATGCAGAGAGAAGGTTTAGAATGCAAATTCCCCCTGGAAGAAGTGTGACAACTGCCTGCTTTACAGAAAAGAGATCTTCCTGGTGGTGGGGGGAGGAAAGGATAGGACTTGAGAAAGGGGCGCTTATTTACAGAGACCCTGTAAGTGAAGAGGACAATACCAGGTGCTTTATAGACATTACCTCAGTCAATGCCAGTGTCCTTTCCTCCTTACATACAAAGGAAGGGGCAGCATCTGCTTCTTAAGCTGAAATACCTCCCTTTGCATGATAACACCCTTTGCACACATCCATGCTCTCAGAGTATGGTTTGAGGAATCATTTCTTCATCACTGGAAGTTTCTGCCTTTGTTGGAAAACACGTATTTCCCCCTTAATTCTTGGAGGAGTAAGTCTGGAGGAGTAAGTCCAGCAGGCTCAGAGTGCCTCTTTGAATTTAAATACACAGGAAGACTTCTAGGGAAAGGATGGAGATAGGCAGGAGCCATGGCTCTGCAATATGATAGCACAGGGCATAAGGAATTGCAGTGTTCCCTCTCGGAGTTCTCCTTCATGAAAACTGTGTGTAGGAGGGATCTGCTTTCTGCCAAGCGTGGTCTCTGCATGTCTGGAGACATTTTGGGACGGGAAGTAGTGGGGCAGACCTTCTGAAGACCACAGAACCTCAAGGGAGGAAAGCCATCTGTGATGGCTCATTTTATCTCAATCTGACTTGGTTAAGGAATGCCCAGATAGCTGGTAGAACATCACTTTGGGGTTTGCCTGTGAGAGTGTTTCAGGAATAAATGAGCATTTTTATCAGTACACGGAGTAAAGAAGATTCCCCTCACCAATGTGCCATCATCCAATCCATTGAGGGCCCTGCTGGGACAGAAAGGCAGAGGAAGTCTGAATTTGCTCTTTGCTTAGGCTGAGACTTCCATCTTCTCCTTCCCTCAGACATCAGTGCCCCTAGTTTTTGAGCCTTCTCACTCAGACTGGGACCTATGCCACTGGCTCTCCTGGTTCTCAGGCCTTTAAGTTTGGACTGGACCTACGTGACCTGGGCTTCTAGTTTGCAATAAGCAGATTGTGGAACTCCTCAGCCTTCATAATGGCATGAGACAATCTTCCTAATACATCTTTTTCTGTATATCTAGATATAGTCTATTGGTCCTAGTTCTCTAGAGAACCCTGACTACTACTCCATCTGCAGGGTGGGTCATGCTTGGCCTTGATTATTAGAAGCAGTGTGATGTGGAGTGATTATTAGAAGCAGAGTGATGCAGAGTTCAGTGTAGTGGCTGGCCCTGGGTCTGGCCCCACCCAGCCCCATGGATTCATGTGATCGCTGGAAGAAAGAGTGCTACGAGGGAAAATGGAAAGGGCTGTTGAATGAAGAGTGGTGAGGCATTGGAGCACGAGCAGCCCAGCTCTGGCTGTCCTTGGCCTCTGTGTGAGGCAGAGTGGAGAGGTGCCTTCATCTTCTCCATGTTGCCACAGGCCATTATGCATTTTGTCATATGGAAGGCTCTAGCACTTTCTCTGGCTAGGGTGGCAGCTATCAGTGTAGGGCAAAAGCAAAACCTGGAAGAGGTGGCCATGCCCAGAAAGCATGGCAGTGCACAGGACAGGCTGCGGTGCCCAGCAGGAGGGAAGGATGAAGGTGCCCACTATGCAGAGAAGGACCCACTGGAAGTGGGAGTGGTGACCAGGAGAAACCCCAGTGACCAGTAAGAGGAAAGAACAGCAGTGCCCTGCAGAGGCCCAGCCTGGACCATAAGCCAGAGAAAGAGACAAAGGAGCCTGGGGGAATGCTGTGTGGCAGCTGAATGGACTTGGGCTCAAGCTCCCAAAAGACTCCAATAAATACAATATGGGAGGCTTTGACAGGACCTGAACTCCTGTCATGGCTGGTGGTGAGTGGAGTGATTTCTGCTGAAGTCTCATTTTTAACCCTGGGGTTCCTGGAATGCTGAAATATTTGTCACTACCCTAATATCATTGGGATGAAGCCTCTTTTCTGTACATGGGGGTGAGCACAGCACTCACGCCTTTATCCTCCCCACCCCCTCCCTCCCTTTCTCCTTTATCTCTTTGGATTTTTGTCTGCCTCTGTCACCATCCCTCCATCTCCATTGTCTGTCCCTCTCATCCCTGCCTCTATCCTATTCACCCTATTTCCCATTCCCTACACTATTGCCTGACTCATGGTAGGCATTTAACAATTTTTTTAACTTCATATTACGGAAATTTTCAAACATACACAAAAGTTACAGAATAATATAAGGAACCCTCATGATCCCATCACCGAGTTTTAATAATCTTTCATTGACATCCTCACCCACCCCTCCCTGCATGTTATTTTGAAACAAGCTCAGGCATTGTATCATTTTACCCCTAAACATTTCAGAAAGTGTCTCTAAAAGATAATGGCTCAATTAAAACATAACAATACCATTAACACACTCAATAGTTAGCAATAATTTCTTGCTATTATCAAACATTGAATCAGTGCTTCAGATTTATTCAACTGACTCCGCTTTATTTTTTTTTTTTACCATTTGTTCATTCAGATCAGCATCTAAATGAGATTCATACATTGTGTTGTGTTAATAAGTCTCGTTAGGCTATCGTCACCAAATATTTTTTGGCTGACCACATCTCTTCTCTTTCTGTTTCTCTGTGTCTTTCTATTTTTCTGTCTTCCCTTCTATAAACATCTTGGTTTCTGCAGGCTTGGTTTCTGTCTGTCTATGTCTGTTTCTGTGTAACTTTATCTCTCTGTGAATATTTTTCTGTCTCTCTGTGCCTTTATCTGTATCTTACTCTCCTCTCTCTCTTTTTCTCTCTCCCTCCTTCCCAAGTCCTTCTGTCTTTGTGTCTCAAATGCGCGCACACACACACACACACACACACACACACACACAGCCAGGATATCCTGTAAGGGAGTCCTGCACACACCTGTGGCTGAAAGTGTATGTACTTGGATCTGAAGAAATAAACAAGGTCCCTAGCTTAAACATGAGTACAGCTTTATCGACCTTCTGCTTTTTGTGCTACATCCCTTCCACTGGCTTTCTCGAGACTCTCTTGTTATTGAGTCCTCCTTCAATAACCTGCACATAAGAGACAGCACCAAAACAAATTAACAAATGTGATGGCTGAATGTCCTGCACAGATGTCCATGGTGTTTATTA
The DNA here is from genome assembly GCF_000001405.40 of Homo sapiens. Taxonomy (NCBI): domain Eukaryota; kingdom Metazoa; phylum Chordata; class Mammalia; order Primates; family Hominidae; genus Homo; species Homo sapiens. The sequence continues at coordinate 40,775,383 of NC_000003.12, read as the reverse complement.
CTTTATCTGTTGTTCCAAGTAAAATTCCTGAAGGATCACGGATTGGTGAATTCCTAAAACACTGTTTGTAAAGAAAGCTGAATAGAATGCTTGTCGACTAAGTGCTACTTCACATCAATCATAGGGATGGCTCTCAGTTTTGAAAGAAATCTTTTACAAAGTCTTCGATTATTTGTTAGAGCTGGAGGCAACAAACCCAGTGTTTTTCCATTCTTTTTTGTAGTGGAATTCTTTTTTGAAAAAAGTCTTACATAAAACCCAAATATATAAAATGCATAAAAACAGAACTTGGTAAATGTGGGTTGGTGGGTGGAGGGTGAATTGCTATGAAAAATAACTTAAACAAAGCAAAATAACAAAAACTGACCCGACCAAACTTATTTTGCAAAGAAGTGTGCATTAGTATAGAACCAACAGCAGAATTCAGCACCTCCTACCTTACTCCTTGCAGGCAAGTTCAGAATTTCACAGAGACCTTGAGTCTAGGGCTTTTAATATTTTTCAGGTAACCATTTTGGAAAATGAACTGAGCCAAATAGTCATTTTGGAGGTTTCAAGTCCCAGAAACCTTGAGCCATGGCCCCTTTGTTTCCCAGGGCAGAATCTGTTGATTGACTCCTTGGCAAATGACTATTAGCAGAACAACTTTAGAGTCCAATTATCAAGGTCAGAATTGCAGGATCTGAGTCTGCCTCTTATGAGAGTTGCCTGTGCTTGTGGGAAGGTGAGTCCTGTATGTTTGGATACAGACTGGAGAGTCAAAGATGAGAATAGTGACTCTTTTTGATTAGGAACAGTTGCCATGAACCCACTTTGAAATGGAAATTCCAAGTGATGGGAAGAAGCACGCTGGATGAGAGGCAGCTTGGATGCCTGGTCTGCAGCTACATACCTGGGACCCTAGAGAACCCACAGACGAAGCTGTAAACCTAGAAGAGACTCAAAGTGCTTGCTGTCTGCATATGTGCATCACCAGGGGTGCTGCCAATGAGAGCTGCTGGGGAGGCAGCAGTCTGGTTCACACTGAAGGTTGACTGTAAGTAAGCTCAGGGGGAATTACTCCATACAGCTGACAGATGAGAAAATTTACTCAGCTCAATATTGGATTGAGTTTTGGGGACCAGTGAGGTATACTAGAAAACACATGTACTTCAAGGCTAGAAAGACTGAGTGCATATCCCAACACCATCACTTTCTAACTGAGTGACATTGGGACTATTACTTAACCTGCTAAGCCTTGGTTGCCTCGTCTATAAATAAGGATGATGCCACTTACCTAGTTCACAGCATGTTTGCACAGTTGACTCTCAGCAGCCTTGGAAAACTGGTCTTGCAATGCCTGCTAGTCAGTGAAGAAACTAAGATCCAAGAGGAGTCCCCTTCTCAATCTCACTTACCTGGTGAGTGTCCCAGATGAGCAGATCTTCGCTTCAATCCTGGTCCACGATTTATCCACCACCCCATGCTGCCTCTTGTCTAATCTTCAGTTGGACAATGAAAACACAGAGGCCGAGAACTGCAATAAAGAACAGCCAAGATTCAAATTTACAGAGAAAGAAAGTATATTGGTAGTTGCCTGGGGCTGGGGTGGGACTGGACATTAATTGTAAGTTGGCACAAGGGATCATATTGGGGCATGAAAACCTCATAAAATTGATTTATGGTGATTGTTGTACAACTCTATAAATTTACTAAAAATGCATTGAAGTATACACCAGAAATGTATGAATTTTATGATATGTAAAATATACTTTGCTAAAGCTGTTTTAAAAAGCCAAGATTACAAAATATATATTTTCTTGGAAAGAATTATCTATTTTACCAATCATATTTGGAAGTAATTCATATTAGTTTATTTCCTTTAAAATGTGTGTCCTGTAATTACTGATTTGAAAAAATAGAAGGGACAACTTTCCTCTACAGTAACCGTTCATTAGCAACACAGTTAATATCGGCTCCATTTTATTCTCCTCATTTGTAAGACTACAGTTTGGCAGCCATGAGATTGGTCAATATTAGAAGTACCACTTGTTAATAGCAGGTACAGGGGGTGGCACATTGTGGGCTCTCACTAGTAGCAGGGTTAGAGATCTGGAAACTCCTACATACCCTAAGATCACAGGATAAGGAATTAGCAGTCCGCATGGCTGCTGTGACAACTAGCAATACTGTATGAAGGCATGTACCACCCTGACACTCAATAAATCAAGGCAATTAGCATTTTTATACCAATCCAGGGCTACTGAGTCCACTGGACTTCAGTTGTGCAGCAGAAACCCTCACTCTCATATCCCCATTCTAGCTGGATGAATTCTAGCCTTTTATTTCAATTTAATTTTTTTTTGAGACAGGGTCTTGTTCTGTTGCCCAGGTTGAAGGGCAGTGGCACGATCTTGGCTCACTGCCTCCTGGGTTCAAGCAATTCTTGTGCCTCAGCCACGCGAGTAGCTGGGATTACAGACAAGCACCACCACGCCAGGCTAATTTTTTTGTATTTTTAGTAGAGACAGGGTTCCACCATGTTGGCCAGGCTGATCTTGAACTCCTGGCCTCATGTGATCCACCTATCTCGGCCTCCCAAAGTGCTGGGATTATAGGTGTGAGCCACTGCACCTGGCCAAATACTAGCCTTTTAGAAGGTTGCATTCTTGTCAGTAACATATGGGAGTGTTTCATCACTAATTCTCGCCAATGAAGGATGAGAAGGGGAAAATTCCAGCAAGGTTGTATTTTGAGGAAGAGCAACACTTGCAGGGCTGCAAATGTGAAGTTCATAGTTAGTATTTTGTGGTGGCTGATTCCATTTCTTCATTTAATTGTAATTGAAAATGTGACAAAGCAACTCTTCGTTGTTGTTGTTGTTGTTTTTGAGATGTAGTCTCACTCTGTCACCCAGGCTGGAGTGCAGTGGCGCGATCTCGGCTCACTGCAAGCTCCGCCTCCTGGCTTCACACCATTCTCCTGCCTCAGCCTCCCGAGTAGCTGGGACTACAGGTGCCCGCCACCACGCCCGGCTAACTTTTTGTATTTTTAATAGAGACGGGGTTTCACCATGTTAGCCAGGATGGTCTCGATTTCCTGACCTCGTGATCCACCTGCCTCAGCCTGGGATTACAGGCGTGAGCCACCGCGCCCAGCATTGTTGTTGTTGTTGCTTAAAGGAAGTGATTTTTGTGGTTTGGTGACCCTGGTACATTTTTCAGAGTGGCCTGGCCACACATTGGTACTGGTTGGTGCCTTTGGTTGGAACAGCCAGTTTCAATGTTGGTATGTGGGATAGCATATTACTGCAGCCCTGGGAGATATAAAGTGTATCTTCAGGGTCTTAGAGGCTAACACTGAGAAGCTGTAAGCTTTTCTTTTTCTTGGCTTTGATAGCAATGACCATTGACCTAACACCAGGAATCCTGTGTCTCCAGTGGAGAGTGAAACCAGGATTAAAGTGGAAAATCTTGGGGGCCCAGGTCACCACATGTACACTCCAGGGGTGCCTGTTGCATTCCTTATCTGTGAATGGAGCCTGCTGGGCTGACCATGGAGGACCTGAGGGAGGGGGCCGAGAGGTCAGACTGGCTGATTGGATGTCTGTGTTCCAGATTCCTGCATCCATGAGTCTGAGACATTCTTGCTCCTCACTGTATTCCATATGGTTGCCCCTCTGCCTTTATGGGGATACTCCTGACATTTATTGTCTCCTGCATGCCAGGCACTGTGTTGAGCTGTTGCACTACTGTTAACTTACTCAGTTCCCACTACAGCCAGCTGAGGTTTGTCTACCTTTCTGTCTATTGAGGGTCTCAGTGGGGTTGTGTATGTACACATGCAGATATATGTGTATGTGTGTGAATATACATACATGAATGTATATTGCGTGTATATGTATACATGAATATTCCAAATTGCAACAACTCTACCTACTTTATTGCCAGAAATTCTCATAACTTTTTCTCCAAAATACAAAGTGCTCACTGCTTTGGCCTGCGGAAGGGCTGGATGGCGGTAGCCTTACTTGAAACTGAGCTCAGCAACTTCTGGCTCCCAACATCCTTGCCAGCCTCTGGCTTCAGTTACTTCAGTGTCTGCCAGGCTGCTGGGGGGAAGGGAGAGTCAGCGATCTGTGGTGCTTTTTAAACCTTCTGGCAGGATCACAGGAATTTGGTTTTTACCAAACCATCCCCTCCCACTGGCACTGAGATCTTACTCCTCAACCCCACATTTACTGCTAAGCTGCCTGCTTCTGAAAGCTCAGGTGGAGACCCTTCTTTATTATCCTGAGGATTTCCCATGGTGAGAAACAGGACACTCATCCCTCTGTATCATCCTTGGTGAGGGGTGCTCCACAACTGACCGCCTGAGCCCCTAGTGTCACAGCTCATACACAGGTTACAACAATTACAGTACACAGTGGTGGCCATTTGGTCTGGCACGTGCCCTTGGGGTGGTGGATCTGGGCATATGCTATATCTGGGACCAGCAGTCCTCTCCAGTGAACCCTCAAGGAATGCGGTTTACTGATACAGATGTCCTAAGCCCTCAGGGAGGCAGCCCTCTCTTGTAACTACTTTCCTATAATTCGATTTACCTTTGAAACTCGATGTCAAGTGAGTGACCAGCATCCCAGTCCCTTTCTCCCAGAGTTTTCATGGCCTCTGGGAAAATTTTTGCAGCAGAAATTTATTAGGAAGGGAGATCTGCCCTCCTCTAGGAGGCATCATTTAGTCCCTAAATACTGAGTGTACTAGAAAAGAATACTGTACTCCACTCACCCACATCTTTTGATTCTTAGGCCTTCAGTCACCAAAATTTAGACTCTCGGTTAGAAAACTTTAGCTCAACGAGGTTAAGTTACTGGCCCAAGATGTTATGACTTATCAAGGGCTTTGCATCAGCCTGCATTGATTCTAGGACCAGCTGTGGCTATAAAGAAAAAGAAACCTCAGATGTGTTTGGAGCTCTTGGTACTATTCAGCTTCCTGCAGAAGCAGGGGAACAAGGATTTGAGGGCAAGTTGTTTATTCAGGAAATGATCTCAGAAAGCACCAGTCAAAAACTAGGGAAGTAAGAGAAGCAGAGAGAACAAGCAGGGTACATAAATAAGCAGGTTATCACGGGAGCAAACAGGGCTTTGAGGAAGCGCTGGAGACTGTAAAGGGTAGATCCTCAAACTCGTGCATGCGTCAGAATCACCTGGAAGGGATATTGAAACTGACTGCTGGGCCCCACCCTCAGAGTTTCTGATGAGTAGGTCTGAAGTGAGTGGGACCTGAAAATCTGAATTTCTTTTAGGTTCCCAGGTGATGCTGATGCTGCTGGCCCTGGGACCATACTTTTGAGAGTAACAGTGAAGCACATGCCTCAGAGTGGTCCTGCCTAGGGGTAAAGAATTGCATATTCATCTGCCACTTCTCATCTCTCATTGGCTGAAGGCTGCTCCTGGGATGGTTAACTCCTTGGTGCCTTGTGTACCCACCATGCATAGCCCTGTAGCCAGAGGAAGCACTCAGGCACCGCTGTAAGGAGCCACAGAGCGTCAGAGAACAGAGAGTGCTGGGGCCACACCACCTGAAGGAATGGTGTATCTCTGTGGCCCCAGGTCATAATATCCTAGTTAGGGAGGCAGAAAGAACACTAAATCATAGTGACAAAAAAAGCACTAGTGTTCCAGCTGCTCTTGCACTCATGGTTGTGTGACTTCAAGCAAATCTCTTACCCATTCTAGGACCCCAGCTAGAAGATTTCCAAGGTCATGCCTGTCTTGAAAATCTCAATTTTCTGTCCACAAAAGCCTTGCAGCCTGACAATTAAATCCAAGTTATCACATTCAGTCACAGCCTGTGAAAACGTTCAGCCCCAACCAGAGTTCTGAGAAAGCAGAGGTTTGAGAAAGCACCAATGTTCACATTTGTTGCCCCTGCCCAGTCTTTCCCTGCAAGGTGCTACTTTGCTCAGGCAAGTGTTGCCCCCAGAGTGCCAAGCAGTGTGCTCCACTGCTCTCAGGCTCCCTAGGGTGGGCATCCTGGGTGGGGCTCTCAGCCCACTGGCCCACAGGCACCAGGCTCACTGCCTTCCTCTAAGTCCTTGGCAGGTGTATCAAACATTAATGAGCCATGTAGTCTCAATCAAGGAGGGCTATAAAACTATGCATTTTCTTTTAATGAGTTATGCAGTTAAAACAATAAGCTGCTTAAGCTCTTCATTTGGGGTAGGATGATGCATTAGGGCAGACTTAATTGTTCTCCTACCTCCCGCCCTTTCCCTGAACAGCCTGGCAATGACCACTGATTGCTGGTTGAACTTTCTGGGCACCTGGTCATAAAAAGTAAACCCAGGCTTTCCCATGGTACTGGAAAGGGCAGCTGGTGTAGAGGAAATCCATGAGGCTCACTCGCAGATAAACTAATGTAGTGGGCATCTGTGGGTTTATCTTCTAAGTAGCCAGATGCCCTTTTGTCAGAAACAGTTCCCAAATTTTCCTTGGAAATCTCACACCTCCCCCTTCTTAATCCCAAAGGTTTGAGACAGTGAGGCCCACCTGATCCCAGCCAAATCAGCATATTTCATAACTCCAGTCCAATGACTAACTCAGAGATGAGCACATGACCTAAGTCATCACATCAGAGTTTATCCTGGGACTTCTACTGAGTCAACCAGGAAAGAGACACTTTGTTTATGCTAAACCTGGAGCTGTAAGGATGAGCATGTGAAGTTTCCAGGAGTCACCATGACAGAGAGCCTGCCTGAGAATGAATGCAATCTGAAAGGCAGCGGAGCCAAGAGCAGGGGAGAGGCAGCTTCTTAGGGACATTTTTCAAGGGCCTTGATCCAATTGTCCCTGATAACTGTGCCTACCCTTAGGCTTTTCAGGGATGTAAGCCAACAAATAACCTTTTTTCCTCAAGACATTCTGTGTCTTGCATCTGGAAGAATTGGGTCTAGCATATTTGTGTTCACGTTATACCCACTCCTGCCACAGCTAACTGCGTAACCTTAGGTAAAATCCTGACTCCCACCCTCCAAGACCTCCACTCCTGCTGTGCCTCTCAGGGGCCTCTTCCAGTGGGGACATTCCACAATTTGAGTCCCAGGGCTATATCACCCTTCAAAGAAACTGCAGAAAATCCCAGGATTAAGATTCTGGATCTGTTAATTCTCTTGGTACAGCCCTTATCTCTGGAAGGGCCATATCATCACCATGCTTGACTCATGAAAACTCAGAGGTGCTTTGGAAAATCTCATAGCAACCTCTTCCATTTTTAAGATTTCCCTTACAACTCCGAGTATAAAATCTCATGCTGCCATAAATACCTTTTATTGCTTGTCTTCAAATCATGGCGTGGAAAGCCATCAGAGTAGCAGGAATTCATTATTTCAGTGAATAATTGGAAGGCCCAGACCTTCACTGAACATCACTGTAAGAGAAGGGCAGGGGACTTGGAGTTTTTCCATGCCCATCCCCCATGTGGTCCACCATCTCTCCTGCTCCCTCAAGTAGCAATATCCTGTCCTCTTTCAAGGTTCACTTGCAGATAGCACCTTTCTGAATCCAATCCATGTTCTCCTGGGCAGGACCAGATGTCTTCTTTGTTGGAGGTCCTCTTCCTCTGTCTCAGGAATCCAGAGAGTGAGTAGGGAGTCCAAGGTCACGAGTACAGCCCTTCAAGGTCATCCTGTGACCTAACCTGCCATCTTTGTGTTTCCTTTGTCCCAAAGTAGACCTGGCCACCTTGGTAGACCTGGCTGTATGTGTGTGGGTGTGTACAAGCACATACACATATGTGTGGTTCTTTTTGCTAAGAGACCTGAGCACAGTGCCTGAAGACCTTCCCACACTATCAGAAGGTTAGGAGAAAGGTATAGGTTGGGGTCATGCTTCTCATAAAAGTGCTATCTGTTTATAAGCATGTGATTGGTTGCCACTTGGATGGGAAGTTACTTCGTTCCTCCTGCCCCATGAAAGTGGCTGAAAGTTCCTTGCCTGACACCTGACCTGCTGCCAAGCTCTCTTGGGTCTCCCAAGTTTTGTGATGACAGGTCCCTGTGCCAGGTCACCCTTGTTAATTCCCTAACATTTCAAACAGAAATGCATCCCAGGTTGTACTTCCTTTCAAAACATGTGTCACCCTAATCATATAGAAAACTGGTGGACACAAGGTTTGATCACATTTTTATATCCAAGCTCTGATTTTAAATCCAAACTAAGGAGACACTAATGTATGGAAACTTGAGGACCCTCAAAATCACTTTTTCCCTTCTTTGTAACTTGACCTTTAGTCTCTTCCAATTTTTTTTCCTCTTAACCTTGAAAGATCTTCTAAGTTCATGTTAACTTAATTTAACATGTTTAATAACTATATGCCGCTTCTGTCTTTTTGGGAGGAAGAAAGCTTGTGAGTGTCCCAAGCTCGTTGTCCTATGTTTAGGGTCTTCTCCACCATTTTATTTCTCACAATAGAAGCCAATAAGCCATGCAGGTAGGGCACAAGCCAGTGGTCAGGGCTTGGTCACCCACACTCTCTAGACTTTCAGTTGGAAGTTGGCCACCCAAAGAAGCAGAAACAGAGGAAAATTTCTTTTGATGATGGTGGGGGTGGTGTGAATGCAGAATTCAGAAGCCAGTGACCCATTCACATTAGCAGGGGCATCCCCCATTACACACCTATTTCTGTGGCACAAAACTGGCTGTGGTTCTGTCAGTGAAGCTACCATCTATCCACATACAACCCCAAGCCTGAGTCTCTAGAGCTCTCAGGGATCCTGTCAGCTACCCAATATTCTTTCAGTGAATTTCTTTTCCTGGTCATATCACTCAGAGTCTATTTCTGTCATATGCAACTAAGAGCCCCGGTCGTGAACCTGCTACTGCTTTCTCTTCCTGCCTCCCTCAACAAAAAACCCCTTCTGTCCATTGCTGGCACAACCCTTCATGATCTGGTCCATCTCCCCTGAGGCAGCACATATATCCTCAGCATCCCCTCTGGGGTCCCACCATACCCAGACGTATCTCACATCACACCAAATTAGGAACACTTACCTGTCTGTTTTGTTGCCAGAAGTATCACCCAAGTCATTGATAGAGAAGAGATGATACCTTCTACCCCATGCCCATCCACAAACTCAACCTGTTCTGCAAGGCTTTTCTCTGTGGCACTGAACTGGGGGCAGCTGGGCGTTTGTGTCAAGGTTGGTAGAATCGTCTGTACTTTATAGCAACTCAAAAGAGAAACAGAAGTGGCTTGGCTTACAGACCTAAGAACTCTGCTCAGAGTCCTGAAATGAGTCCAGCTTACTCACAACCCAACAGTATTCAAGCCAAGAGTCCCAAGAGATCCTCTTATTACATTTTTGGGCAAAGTGAGACCTACCAGGAAAGTGGTTTACTCTGAGTCACATGTCGAGTTAGCAGCTGCTGATTTTAGAACTTTGGAAACCCTCAACTCAGTTAATCAAGCATTTGTCACACCCTATCAACCCACTAAAATCCTTTTCTTCTTCTTCAAGCCTTTCTTTTTCTTCATTTAGACAGATCTATCAATTAAATTCTCTTCTTTCCAAGGGCCAAACACATCTCTTTTCATAAAAATAATTTTTTAATAAAAAAATCTTTACTAGAGATTATCACATGTATTTTTCTTTCTTATCAGCCTTTGCATATTCTTTTTAGGGCCCGATCAAAGCTTCAGCTTTTCCAAAGAAGGAGCAAGAATGGATCTTCTAACCCAATATCCTCAAGATTGGGAAGAGTGTCCGGAGTCAATAAGGGAGGCTTAGCTAATGTAGAAGCCTGGGTGTTCCACTAACCACTAAGCCTCACCAATTCAGAGACCCAGCAAGCATTTGGTCAATCTGATCCACATAGATGGATGGGTTTGATAATTCAAGCTAAGAACCACCTGCTCTGATTCTAGAACTCTCTGAGGACAATAACTGCTTCTGGTTCTTTAGAGAAATTTCAGGAGGAGACTGAGGATAAAGAAGGGATGGAATGGGAGGAGGGAATGAAGAAGCAGGCCAAAAGCCCTCAGCTTTTTCTTTTGGCATCTGGAAAGCATGTTACAGCAGTGGTTCTCTGCAAGATAAGAGCTGGGACACAAACGAGAATCTTACGCAGGCAAGGCAGGGACTCCTAAATGCTCCTGATGCATAGGCATCCCACCCTCCCAGTGACAGTGAGAACCACCATTCTGTGGTATTGGCCATATCCAAGACTCAAAATTCTTCATTCTATTCTTGAACTGTTCATCTCATGAACAGATGAGTCCAGGGTAGAATGTCCAGGGCTATGAACCAATTCACTTTCTTAGATCAAGAGTGAAAAGATGTCTCCATCCACCCAACTTTGCAGTTGATCTTTCCAATTGCTTTGGAGAGTTTCAGTGGGAAACTAAACGCCTGAATTACTGGTTAATGTATTGTTTGTGTTCCACTTGCTCCCACAAAAGACTCAAAAGAACTTACAATAAAAGCACACAGGGTAGTTTGGGAAGACTGCAATAAAGATAAGAAAGATACTGGGTATTACGTGGACAAAGAGGATCATTGTTTCATTTACTAAGGAAGAGAGTTGCTTTAATCAGGAGCTTTGAGCTTCCTGAGATGGGGGTAAAAGTGAAACCTTGTGGGTCCTTTAGAACCTTATTGATCAAAAAATGTTTTATCAAGGGAGATAAGCTTTAAAAGATCAATAAATATAGATACAACTAATTCTTTTAAATGTTGGCATACTCTATAGTACGGATGGCTCATAATTTATTCAATCAGTCACCTATTGATGGCTTTCAAGTTGTTTCAAGTTTTGCTTAATTTTTCTTTCTGGACCACTTGAGCAATACTTCAATATCTACGATACATTATCAACAGAGAAAAGCTAGAAGCAGAGACACTTATTAACTCCATTTTTAAACAATAGGCATAAAAAAATTTACATATATGTATATGTGTTTGTACATGTTTGTATGGCCTGCAGAAATATGTGAAAGGAAACACCAAAGTTCCCAATATTTGCTATCAAGTAGAATTAGGTTTGATCATAAGCAACAGAGACTGGAACAACAGATGACATAAACAAGATAGAAGCTCATTTCTCCATATAGCAAAGAAGCCTAGAGCCAGGCAGTCCAGTATAGTGGCTCTACAAAGTCACCAGGGATAGGGCTTCTTCGGGGTCACCACTGCAAAGTCCCATGATATAGTCCTCATCCTCATGGCCTGGCTATTTTCCTCATGGTCCAAGACGGTTGCTAGAGTCCAGCCATCATATTGACATTCAAAGAAGCAAGAAGGAGGAAAAGATGCTAGAAAGAAAGTCTCGCTTTTAAAGGAGGGCTTAAGAAGCCCCATGTGACAATTCCACTTACATTTCATTGCCCAGAACTTAGAAAGATGACCATATGATATTGCAAAGGAAGCTGGGAAACGTAGTCTTTTATTTGGGAAGCAATGTACCAGCTAAAAATATGGGGTTTGTTAAACTAAGATGAAGAGTCAGAATGGACACTGAGAAGTCTTCAGCAATCTCTACAAGTTAACAGTTGATTTGAAGTATGAATAAGGAAGTGACATTGTCAGAGAAGCGAGGAATGGAGAAGCAAGCAGGTGGAAATGGTTAAACTTTTTTCTCTATATATGTGTTACTTTGTATTACTTTGTTAGTTGTACTGAGTAATATTTTTAAAGTAAGCTTGGAAAAGTTTAAAATTTTTTTAAATGTTTTAATTTTATATTTTTAATTTTTGTCAGTACATACTAGGTGGATATATTTATGGGGTACATGAGATGTTTTGATACAAGCATGCAATGAATAATAATCACATCATGGAGAATGGGGTATCCATCACCTCAAGCATTTATCCTTTGTGCAGCAAACAATCTAATTATATTATTTTAGTTATTTTTAAATGTTCAATTAAGTTATTATTAGACTATAGTCACTTTGTTGTGCTATCAAATACTAGGTCTTATTTATTCTAATTTTTGTGTCCATTAACCATCCCTACCTCCCCATGCCCCACCACACCTCTACCCTTCCTAGCCTCTAGTAACCATCCTTCTACTCTCCATAAGTTCAATTGTTTTGATTTTTAGATCCCACAAATAAATGAAAACATGCAATGTTAGTCTTTTTGTGCCTGGCTTATTTCACTTAACATAATGATCTCCAGTTACATCCATGTTGTTGCAAATAACAGAATCACATTCTTTTTTATGGCTGAATAGTGACATTTTCTTTACCCATTCATCTGTTGATGGACTCTTAGGTTGTTTCAAAATCTTGGCTATTGTGAATAGTGCTGCAACAAACATGGGAGTGCAGATATCTCTTCGATATAATGATTTACTTTCTTTTAGTTCTATAACCAGCAGTGGGATTGCTGAGTCATATGGTAGCTCCATTTTTAGTTTTTTGAGGAACCTCCAAACTGTTCTGTATAGTGGTTGTACTAATTTACATTCCCAACAACAGTGTATGAGAGTTCCCTTTTCTCCACACCCTCACCAGCATTTGTTATTGCCTGTCTTTTGGATACAAGCCATTTTAACTGGGGTGACATGATATCTCATTGTAGTTTTGATTTGCATTTCTCTGATGATCAATGGTGTTGAGCACCTTTTCATGTGGCTGTGTGTTTCCCATTTGAAGTGTCTATTTAAATCTTTCATTCATTTTTGATTGGATTATTAGAGTTTTTTTCTTGTAGAGTTGTTTGACTTCCTTATATACTCTGGTTACTAATCCCTTGTCAGATGGGTAGTTTGCAAATATTTTCTCCTATTCTGTGGGTTGTCTCTTCACTTTGTTGATTGTATCCTTTGCTGTGCAAAAGCTTTTAAACTTGATGTGATCCCATTTGTCCATTTTTGCTTTGATTGCCTGTGCTTATGGGGTATTGCTCAAGAAATTTTTGCACAGACCAATGTTCTGGAGAGTTTCCCCCCAATGTTTTCCTGCAGTAGTTTCATAGTTTGAAGCCTTAGGTATAAGTCATCAGCCAATATTGATTTGACTTCTGTATATGGTGAGACATATGGGGTCTAGTTTCATTCTTCTGCTTATGGTATCCATTTTTCCCAGCACCATTTATTGAAGAAACTGTCTTTTCCCCAGTGTATGTTCTTGTTACCTTTGTTGAAAATGAGTTCACTATAAGCATGTGGATTTGTTTCTGGGTTCTCTATTCTGTTCCATATGGTCTATATGTCTGCTTTTATGCCAATACCATGCTCTTTTGGTTACTGTAGCTCTGTAGTATAATTTGAAGTCAGGTAATGTGATTCCTCCAGTTTTGTTCTTTTTGCTTAGGATAGTTTTGGCCATTCTGGGTCTTTTGGGGTTTCATATAAATGTTAGGGTTGTTTTTCCGTTTCTGTGAAGAATGTCCTTGGTATTTTGATAGGAATTACATTGAATCTGTAGATTGCTTTGGGTAGTTATGGACATTTTAACAATATTGATTCTTCCAATCCATGAACATGATATATTCTTCCATATTTTTGGTGTCCTCTTCAATTTCTTTCTCAGTCTTTTTTTTTTTAATCCAAAATGTGTTTATTGAGATGGTTTCCCACTCATCTTGACTCAGAGTGCTTTTAGTGCTGCTTCCTCCTGAAGGAACATCCTTCTGTAAGCCTTGCTTTTCCTCCTGTAGGCTGGCAGAGGACAGTGGAGCAGCCAACACACAAAACTACCGTTTGTGCATGGCTAAAGACCGTGGTGATTTTATAGCATCCTGGGCATTTCACATCCATGAAGTAGGAATTGGGGCTCTGCACCAGGCCTTTCTTCTTGTGTTTCCTCTTCTCCTCTTCTGGAGAGGGATGAAGGAGATCCTTTGCGAGAGGCATGTTCTCGTGTGGGTAGGTCGTCACTGCCGGAAAAGCCTTTCTCAGTCTTTTATAGTTTTCATTATAGAGCTCTTTCACTTCTTTGGTTAAGTTAATTGCTAGATACATAATTGTATTTGTGACTATTGTAAACAGGATTACTTTTTAAATTTTTTTCAGATTCTTCATTCTTGGCATATAGAAATGCTACCGATTTTTATGTGTTCATATTGTATGCCACAGCTTTACTGAATTTGTTTATCAGTTCTTTGTGGACTAAGAATTTTGTGGAGTAAGGTTCTTCCAAATATAAGATCATATCATCTGCAAACAAGGATAATCTGACTTCTTCCTTTCCAATTTGGATGCCCTTTATTTCTTTCTCTTGTCTAATTGCTCTAGCTAGGACTTCCAGTACCATGTTGAATAACAGTGGGGAAAGTGGGCATCCTTTGTTGTGTTCCAGATCTTAGAGGAAAGGCTTTCAGTTTTTCCCCATTCAGTGTGATACTAGCTGTGAGTTCGTCATATATGGCTTTTATTATGTTGAGGTATGTTCTTTCTATACCCAGTGTTTTGAGGGTTTTTATCATGAAGCAATATTGAATTTTATCAAATGCTTTTTCAGTATTAATTGACATGATCATATAGTTTTTGTCTTTCATTCTGTTGATGTGATGTATTACATTGACTGATTTGTGTATGTCATACCATTCTTGCATCCCAGGGATAAATCTCACTTGGTCATGATGAACGATGTTTTTAATGTATTGTCGAATTGGGTTTACTAGTACTTTGTTGAGGATTTTTGTATCAATATTCATTAGAGATATTTGGCCCACAGTTTTCTTTGCTTTTTAAATGTCTTTTTCTGGTTTTGCTATCAGAGTAATACTGGCCTTAAAGAATGAGTTTGGAAGCATTCCCTCCTCCTCTATTTGTTGGAATCGTTTGAGTAGGATTGGTATTATCTCTTCTCTAAATGGTAGAATTCAGCAGTGAAGCCATTGGCTTTTCTTACTGGGAGACTTTTATTTATGGCTTCAGTCTCTTTACTTGTTATTGAACTGTTCAGGTTTTGGATTTCTTCATGGTTCCATCTTGGTGGGTTACATGTGTCTAGGAATTTGTCCATTTTGTCTAGATTTTCCAACTTATTAGCATATAGTTGATCATATGGTATCAGTTGTAATGCCTCCTTTTTCATGTCTCATTTTGTTTATTTGTATCTTCTCTCTTTTTCTCATAGTCTGGCTAAAGATTTGTCAATTTTGTCTGACTTTTCAAAAAACCAACTTTGTTTCATTAATCTTTTGTACCGTTTTCTTCATTTCAATTCCACTTATTTCTGTTCTGACTTTTAATATCTCTTTTCTTCTACTAGTTTGGGGTTTGGTTTGCTCTTGCTTTCCTAGGTCTTTAAGATGCATCATTAGGTTGTTTATTTGAAGTTTTTCCTCTTTTTGATGTAGGCACTTATAGCTATAAACTTCCCTTTTAGTACTGCTTTTGCTGTATCTTATAGGCTTTTGGTATATTGTGTTTTTTATTTTTTTTATTATTATACTTTAAGTTTTAGGGTACATGTGCACATTGTGCAGGTTAGTTACATATGTATACATGTGCCATGCTGGTGCGCTGCACCCACTAACTCGTCATCTAGCATTAGGTATATCTCCCAATGCTGTCCCTCCGCCCTCCCCCACCCCACAACAGTCCCCAGAGTGTGATGTTCCCTTTCCTGTGTCCATGTGATCTCATTGTTCAATTCCCACCTATGAGTGAGAATATGCAGTGTTTGGTTTTTTGTTCTTGCGATAGTTTACTGAGAATGATGATTTCCAATTTCATCCATGTCCCTACAAAGGACATGAACTCATCATTTTTTATGGCTGCATAGTATTCCATGGTGTATATGTGCCACATTTTCTTAATGCAGTCTATCACTGTTGGACATTTGGGTTGGTTCCAAGTCTTTGCTATTGTGAATAATGCCGCAATAAACATATGTGTGCATGTGTCTTTATAGCAGCATGATTTATAGTCCTTTGGGTATATACCCAGTAATGGGATGGCTGGGTCAAATGGTATTTCTAGTTCTAGATCCCTGAGGAATCGCCACACTGACTTCCACAATGGTTGAACTAGTTTACAGTCCCACCAACAGTGTAAAAGCATTCCTATTTCTCCACATCCTCTCCAGCACCTGTTGTTTCCTGACTTTTTAATGATTGCCATTCTAACTGGTGTGAGATGGTATCACATTGTGGTTTTGATTTGCATTTCTCTGATGGCCAGTGATGATGAGCATTTTTTCATGTGTGTTTTGGCTGCATAAATGTCTTCTTTTGAGAAGTGTCTGTTCATGTCCTTCGCCCACTTTTTGATGGGGTTGTTTGTTTTTTTCTTGTAAATTTGTTTGAGTTCATTGTAGATTCTGGGTATTAGCCCTTTGTCAGATGAGTAGGTTGTGAAAATTTTCTCCCATTTTGTAGGTTGCCTGTTCACTCTGATGGTAGTTTCTTTTGCTGTGCAGAACTACAAACCACTGCTCAAGGAAATAAAAGAGGATACAAACAAATGGAAGAACATTCCATGCTCATGGGTAGGAAGAATCAATATCATGAAAATGGCCATACTGCCCAAGGTAATTTACAGATTCAATGCCATCCCCATCAAGCTACCAATGCCTTTCTTCACAGAATTGGAAAAAACTACTTCCAAGTTCATATGGAACCAAAAAAGAGCCCACATTGCCAGGTCAATCCTAAGCCAAAAGAACAAGGCTGGAGGCATCACACTACCTGACTTCAAACTATACTACAAGGCTACAGTAACCAAAACAGCATGATACTGGTACCAAAACAGAGATATAGATCAATGGAACAGAACAGAGCCCTCAGAAATAACGCCGCATATCTACAACTATCTGATCTTTGACAAAACTGAGAAAAACAAGCAATGGGGAAAGGATTCCCTATTTAATAAATGGTGCTGGGAAAACTGGCTAGCCATATGTAGAAAGCTGAAACTGGATCCCTTCCTTACACCTTATACAAAAATCAATTCAAGATGGATTAAAGACTTAAACGTTAGACCTAAAACCATAAAAACCCTAGAAGAAAACCTAGGCATTACCATTCAGGACATAGGCATGGGCAAGGACTTCATGTCTAAAACACCAAAAGCAATGACAACAAATGCCAAAATTGACAAATGGGATCTAATTAAACTAAAGAGCTTCTGCACGGTATATTGTGTTTCCTTTAAGAAATTTTTCAATTTCCTTCTTAATTGCTTCATTGACCCACTGATCATTCAGGAGTATATTGTTTAATTTCCAATTTATCTTGTGTTTTATTTCTCATTTTATTCCATTATTATCAGAGAAGATACTTGATATTATTTCAAATGTTTAAAATGTTTTAAGACTTGTTTTGTGACCTAACATATGGTCTACCCTTGAGAATGATCCATGTGCTGAGGAAAAGATGTGTATTCCACAGCCATTGAATATGTTCTGTAACATATTACCTGCACTACAGAATATGTTCTATACTGCAGATTAAGTCTGATGTTTCTTTATCAATTTTCTGTCTGGATGATCTGTCCAATGC
This sequence comes from Homo sapiens, assembly GCF_000001405.40. Lineage (NCBI taxonomy): Eukaryota > Metazoa > Chordata > Mammalia > Primates > Hominidae > Homo > Homo sapiens. The sequence goes on along the minus strand of NC_000003.12, from coordinate 40,757,948 downwards.
TGAAAATGGGGTGTTGAAGTCTTCAGCTTTTATTGCATTGGAGTCTATCTCTCTCTTTAGCTCTAATAACATTTGTTTTATATATCTGAGTGCTCCAGTGTTGGGTGTATATATATTTACAATTGCTATTTCCCCTTTCTAAATTAACCCCTTTATCATTATATAGAGACCTTCTTTGGCTCTTCTTATGATTTTTGTCTTGAAATCTATTTTGTCTGATACGAGTATAGCTACTCCTGCTCTTTTTTGGCTTCTATTGGCATGGAATATCTTTTTCCATCCCTTTATTTTCAGTCTAAGTGTGTCTTTATAGGTGAAGTGTGTTTTTGTAGGCAACAGATCAGTAGATCTATTTTTTAATCAATTCAGCCATTCTATGTATTTTCATTAAAAACATTTTAATAAGCATAGTAGGGACAATTTTTCCATAGATCTTTATATAGAACTCATGGAACAGCTTGATAAGCCAACAGCTTCACCAGGCTTAAAAAGGCAGGAAAGTTAAAAATGAAGGGCTGAGACCCTTTTAGGATCCTCATGGGAACCCTCCATTGAGGCACAAATGCATGTGGAGAGGCTGGTTATGAAAGGAGCTGAAGTTTGAAACAGAACTGAGTGTAGGGAGGGAAACACTGGCTACTCATAATCTGAACTCAAAACTTCTTGGGAACCATTTGTCTTTCCTCACCTATAGGTCTCAAGAAGATGATCAGGGCAGCAGAAGTCCTTCAAGACAAACTGGAAAATGTGGGGCTTGGGAATGTTACGATACCAGGTTCAGAGTTCATCACCAAACTCATTGGTGTCCCAGAGAAAGCAAGTCAGATGGACATGTGTGACCCAGTTCCCCATTTTACAACTGAGAGCAGTCTAGGGCATGAAAGGTTTCACCCAAAGGCCCCAGCTATTGGTAGCAGAACCTGTATTAGAACTCACACAACTTGATTCCCAGACAGCACCCTCCTCCCTGCTCTGCTCCACAGTCCCTTTTCCTCACAACAATCCCCAAGAACATTTCCATGGAGAAAAGCAAGAACACTAATTCTTGGGTTCTTGTTCTGAAAACTGTGACTTCCCTATGGGTCCAAAGTGGAACCAAAGGCTAATTGGTATTCTCCTACTGGTTCCCATTCAGATGCTCCACTTCCCAAAAGATAATAGAGTATGTGGTAACCTGGGGTTCCAGAAACAACCCTTTATTAATTTCCTAGGGCAGCTGTAACAAAGTACCACAAACTAAATATGTCAAAGTCATCAATTTTCTCACTGTTCTGTGGGCTCAAAGCCTGAGATCAAGATGTCACCTGGGCTGTGCTCCCTCTGAGACACTGGGTAGAATCCTTCCTTGCTCTTTCCTAGCTTCTGATGGTGGCTGCCAACCCTTGGCGTCTCTATGCTTTGCAGCTGTGTCATTCCAGCCTCTGCCTCTCTTGTCACATGGGGCTCTCCCTGCATGTCTCTCTTCTCCTCTTTTATAAGGACACTAGTCATATTGAATCAAGGACCTACCCCAGTCTAGTAGGACCTCATCCTAATTTACATCTTAACTACATCTGCAAAGACCCTAGCTCCAAATATGGTCACATTTAGAGGTACTAGGGTTACAAATTCAACATATCTTTTGTGGGGGCCATAATATAACCCATATCAGCCTCCTTTAGGTTTTTCCCTAAAAGCTTTCTGGGCCCGCAGCATCTCAGTCAGGCAGGGCCACTGTATTAGTTCATTCTCACTCTGCTAATGAAGACATACGTGAGACTGGGTAATTTATAAAGGAAAGAGGTTTAATTGACTCACAGATGAGCATGGCTGGAGAAGCCTCAGAAAACTTACAATCATGGTGGAAGGAGAAGCAAACACATCCGTCTTCATGTGATGGCAGCAAAGAGAAATGCCAAGCAAAAGGTGGAAAAGCCCCTTATAAAACCGTCAGATCTCATCCAGGCACGGTGGCCCATGCCTGTAATCCCAGCACTTTGGGAGGCCGAGGCGGGTGGATCATGAGGTCAGGAGATCAAGATCATCCTGGCTAACACAGTGAAACCCCATCTCTACCAAAAATATAAAATATTATCTGGGCGTGGTGGTGGGTGCCTGTAGTCCCAGCTACTTGGGAGGCTGAGGCAGGAGAATGGCGTGAACCCAGGAGGCGGAGCTTGCAGTGAGCCGAGATGGCACCACTGCACTCCAGCCTGGGTGACAGAGCGAGACTCCGTCAAAAAAAAAAAAAAAATCAGCTCTCTTGAGAACTTACTCACTATCAGAAGAACAGCAGTATGGGAGTAACCACCCTTATGATTCAACTACCTCCCACTGGGTTCCTTTCATGACACATGGGGATTAAGGGAACTACAATTCAAAATGAGATTTGGGTGGGGACACAGCCAAACCATGTCAGCCACCAAAGGGATCACACTTCAAAGGAGTCCACTGTGGGCATAATTATAAACAGAAATACTTAGAATTTCAATAATAATAATGAAAAAAAGAAAGGTAAGGTGCTTCAAGATGTGCCCCACTCCAAAGCATTGCCCCCCAGGGCAGTCACCCAGGGGTGGACCTGACCTCTTCCTCAACATTGTCAAGGAAACACCAACAGCCTTGTCAGTGTGCACAGGATCCTTCCTGCAGTCAGAGGCAGGACAGGGACAGTGTCTCCTTGCTGTGAACAGAGTCCCTCTAGCTGTCTTGGTACAGAGGGTAGAGTTTCCCAGCCCTGGCAATCCTGAGGGGTGAGGAAGAGAATGAAGTCAGATCAGGGAGTGAGGGAATTCCCCCAAGCACCACAGCATACAGGTTTATGAGATAGAGTGAGAACTCTCATGCCCTGAGCTCTCGAGCAGTTGCCAGACTAAACAGCATGGGCTGTACTCCTAGCCAACCACATGGCTTTCCCCAACCGTGGGCCTCAGTTTCCTTGCCTTCCAACTAAAGGAGTTTGGTCTCTAAAGTCCCTTCCCAATTCAGTAGTTCTGAGCTCAGAGTAAGAGCAGGAGTCTCTTGGGGGGATGTCTCCAGTGGGTTTTGCTGGAAGCAGAGATAGAGAGGATGATTCAGGTGCACGGGAAGGAGAGAAGCAGGACAGAAAGGGAAGGGGCCAAAGACATCTGGTCTCAAAATATTTAGCCATGGCTTGAGTCTAAGGGGGCTTTGGAACATAAATCCCACCACAGAGGCAATTAAGGGCTTTATAGCCCTTTAACATCAGTAAGTTGTCCTCTGTGGGCTGCCTTAGATGAGGGTGTGCATACCTCCTGGGTGAGGTGGCCCAAGGTTAATTCTCCAGAGAAAGGGGGCTGCTATGAGTTATCAGAGCCCCTCACAGTAGCTAGAGGAGGGGAGAACCACAGCCACCATTGCCAGGGAAATGCAAACATTAATTCTCTCAGGCCTCCACCTAGAGGAGACTTGCTGAGAACAGAAGAGAGATCCTGCTTTCTGTAAAGCCCTCCCCATTCACTCAACTTATTTTATGGAGCCCCTGCTACCTGCTAGGCACTGTTCTGGGTGTTGGAATATAATACCTGGCTTCCCTGAAATCACAACAAACAGTCTGGTTTTGGTACTTCTCTCAAGAACAGCTGGATTCCTGCTCCAGTGAGACCCTGCCCATGGAGGAGCTAACAATCAGCTGTGCTGGGAAGCATCTACAAGGCTGGGGAGGATGAGAGGAGGAGCAGCTCAGGTTTGCACATGTTGGGTCGTGAAATGCCTGCAGCACATTCAAGCAGAGATGCAGTAGCCACACTGGTACAATTCGGAGGCAAGTCTGGCTCCACTCTCCAGGAGTTTCTGGCCAGGAAGCCTGCTGTGCAGCCAAATGTAGCCTCCATATGTTTGAGCAAATTCCACTTGGCAGGTGGAGAGGGAACATTTGCTGGGCAGGCAGTCTTTTGCCTTCAAAGCCTCATGTGCCTCCCTTCTCACCTTTTAACTTGCATCTCTACTCATCTCTGCTGCCCCTACCACAATGGGAGCTTCTCCAAAGGGCCTCGGTGCTCACACTTGGGAAGCCTAGGACCAGCTTTCATGCCCCTAGAGGCTGGAGAGGAGGTGGTGTGTGGTGGGGACTGTGAGCCTCAGAAGCGGGGACAGATCTGGGTCCTGCCAGGAAGTGGACATCCAGCAGTGAGGGAGGGGCCACAACAGAGGGGGGCCACAGCCCTGTGAAGCCAGAAGGAAGTTAAAACAGGTTGTTTAATGTTCCTTTTTCAAAGTTCAAAGTTATTCCTCATCATAGAATGATAAAGGGGATGCTTTGAGAAGCAGAGAAAGTGGCCCAAAGCCAGCATCATGTTAGTGAGAGGTGGACAGGCTTGGGGGACTGGAGAGGATGTCCCTCATAAAGCACCCACTAGCATGAAAATAAGATGCCCTTGCTGGGAAAATGAGATGCTATCTAGTGGGTTCATGCATGGCAACAACTTCAATTGCAAACTGAATGTGTGGATGGCTCCAAGCCAAAGTATCAACTTCAGCCAACTATCACAAGCTCACAGCTCTGTCTCTTTCTCTCCACCTCTCCCTCTTTCTATACACACACACACACATATGTAAAATGTATGTGTATATGTGTGTGTATATACACAACCACACACACATACATATATGTGTATATGTGTATTTTTTTTCTCTAAAATATGGAGAAGACTACTTTCCATCTTGCGGAGAAAGACCCAACAGCAAGACTTCTATATGGTCACTGGTGCATATTTTAAAATAGTTGTGTCATACCAGGGAAAAACAAAAGACTAGACAGAGAAAGGATATGGTATTGGCCCCTGAATTAACATTTATTGGGCACTTAACATGTTCCAAGCACTATGCCAAGCCCTTTCCTTGCATGATCTCAGTCCCGCAACAACCCCCGATACAAGGCTTATTTGCATTCCTCCTTTTACAGATACAGAAACTGGAACACAGAGAAGGGGGCTAACTTGTCTGAGATCACACAGCCAATACATGTGAGATTCCAAAACTCAGTCTCTAACCACTTTATTGTAGACACAGATTCCAATTTAGCCCTGCCTCATACAGTCTTCAAAAGTGTGTCAAAAAACAACTTTTATAAGTGAAGTCCAGGGATAAGCAGAAGAGAAGGGCTGGGTAGAGAGGGTGTGAGGATGGAGAGGGTGGAGAGAAAAAATGACCCTAGAAAAATGAAGCCAAGCTGAGGGACTGCATTCAGCCAGACGACTAAGCTCTAAGCTTCCTGGGAATGGATGCAAAGGATAGGCAGGGAGTGGTCCAGCCCTCACCTAATAAGAGTGTCATAATCCAATTAGTCGCAAAAGAGGCTTTCGCAGCCCCAATTCTGGGGAATCCATGGATTTGTTCTGGAGTCTTCCTTATTTAAGGAGCATGATTCAGAGCCACTGTTGTTGAGGAGGAAGAAGAGAGTAATGATGCTTGTTGTGGCTGGTGTCTTAGCCCATTTGGGCTGCTATAATAAATTACCATAGACTGGGTGGCTTAAACAACAACCATTTATTTCTCACAGTTTTTGAGGCTAGGAAGTCTAAGACCAAGGTGTCAGCAGATCTGGTGTCTGACCTACTTCTTGGTTTGCAAATGGCTATCTTCTCGTTGTATATTGTCATGGCAGAGAGCAGAGAGGGAGAGCAAGCTTTCATATCTTTTCTGGGAAAAAAGGAACTAATCTCATTCATAAGGGCTCTGCCTTCATGACCTAATAGCCCCAACGGCCGAGCCTCCTAAAACCATTACATTGGGGGTTAGGATGTCAACATATGAATTTGGAGGAGACACAAGCAGTCCATAATAGTTGGTGTTTGTTAAGAAAGCCTGCCTTGCTTCAGGTGCCTTGGTGCAGGATTAGGGAGTGGAAAGTGGCTACTGCCTGAGGCTGCAATTCATGAGCACTCCATGGACATACCTGTCCACATGTATGTCCCATTGGAATAAGACAGCAACTTAACCTTCTCCCACTTCCCTCTGATCTCTCCCGCTCTGCCCCTTCTCCAGCCCACACCAACACCCCTGCAATGTTGGTGTGGTCTGGCATTTTAGGTCCACAATGTTATGGACATGTGCTTAGGTCATTACTTATCTAGGCAGTCATAAACTGTACTGGATTATTTCTTCACCTTTACTCCTCCCACATCTCCTTGCTTCCTCCTGGAGACACCTTCTCAGGTTTTTTCAGGAAGGCACTTTACATAGTATGTATCTGTGACTTTGTATCTCTGGGCATGCCTTTTTTTCTATTCACATTTAAATGACCATTCAGGTATATATATATTCTAGATGTACTGATATTTTCCTTCCACACTTCGGAGACATCACTCCATTGTCTTCCTGCTTTCCAGGTGGCCATTGAGAAGTTTAATATCTATTTTAAATGAAGTATTTTGCATGAAGCTGCATTCTGTCTCTGGAAACTTCTCTGTCTCTGATGTGTTTAAATATCAATATAATATGTCTAAGGGTGTGTGTGTGTAATTCTGTCCCGTTTGGTGCACCATCCACCTATCTAATCAGAGGCCTCAATTATGTCATTAATTCTGGAAAATCCCCAGTCATTAGTTCCTCAAATATGTATTCCCTTCCCTCCATAGACTCATTTCCCTTTTGCTGGAAGTTTTAGAAAAAAAAAGTAAACACTTCCAATTCTAACCTCCATATTGTTTTCTCTCATCTTTTCCCATCTCCACGCCTTTCTGCTACCTTCTCTAAGATGAATGACCTACATGTCTGTCTCACTAATTTGTGCTGCTGTCGAATTCCCTATGTTCTTCAACCCGTCCATTAAGTGCTCTATTTTAACAATTCTACTTTTGTCTCTATTACCTCCAATTAGTTTTCTTTTTTTTTTTTTTTTTTTTTTGAGACAGAGTCTCACTCTGTCACCCAGGCTGGAGTGCAGTGGCGTAATCTCGGCTCACTGCAAGCTCCGCCTCCCGGGTTCACACCATTCTCCTGCCTCAGCCTCCCGAGTAGCTGGGACTGCAGGCTTCCTCCTCCATGCCCGGCTAGTTTTTGTATTTCTAGTAGAGACGGCGTTTCAACGTGTTAGCCAGGATGGTCTTGATCTCCTGACCTCGTGATCCACCCGCCTCGGCCTCCCAAAGTGCTGGGATTACAGGCATGAGCCACCACAGCCGGCCTAGTTTTCTTTATAACCGCTTATTCCTACTTCCTGATCTCCCTGAGGATATTCATGATGTTTTTTTAAATTATTATTCTATTTGTTCCATTATTTCTGCTCCTCCTGCACAAGTTGCTCCTTTTGTTGGGTGTCTTAATAGCACACACACTCCTCTCAGATGTCTCCCTGAGAGTACCTACCCTGCCCACTTTGGGACTGTCAGCTGACAGCTAGGACTGCCACCTGGCTGGGAATGGAGAACACTCACCAGTGCTCCTCCAGGGCACCTCTTCAGGGTAGAGTCTGTAGAGCACACTCTGGGCTTAACCCCCAGGCAAGCTTGCCCCCCAGAGGGGACCACCCTCTGCTGAAGTGGATGACCCTCAGGGCTGGGTTGGGGGACCATCCACTGCTCTGCTATCACTCTAGAATCTCTCTCTGGCAGGATCCCTTCCTGCCCTGTGGGAGAGGGACCCAGTGGGCAATCCTCCACCCAGGAAATGTGGGAGAAAAAGGGCATTGCTGCCACCTGTGGCCCCAGACCTGCCACTGTTACCCCACACGGGGACCCTACCACCTTCAATGTCCTAGGGTTTTCTCCTACCATCTGTGTTGGTTCCTGAAATCCAGACACTTCTTTTTTGTACCTGTGGCATTTCTGGTTTTGGGCATGAAAACAGCAGCCCATGCTGGTCCAGAACCTGCCTCCGTTTCTGAGGCTCCACTCTTATGCATAAGCATGACCCTGCCCTCCAGGCCCTTCTCAGAGAACACAGCCTCCAACAGCCAGTTGGAGCTGCCCAACCTCCACCCAGGGCCCCCCAGAACAAGAGACATTTATGAAAACAAGCTGGAATTTCCCCAGGGCTTCTGACATCTTTGAATGAAACCAGTCTCCAGAAAGCTGATCTTGTCCCCAGCTCCCACTCCCTATCCTCCATTGGCCTCCAAAGAATTGCTCTGGGAAGCTGCTGCCCACCCCAGCAGTGAATGATACCTCTGAAATCTTACACCTGAGAAATTTCTTTTAGAGTCAAGTACCAAAATCTTTACCCTCCTAAAAAACAGATATATATTGTGTTCTGTCTGATAAATAAGAAATGTATGACTGATTCTTTTTCCCTTTCTACTTGGGCTGTCATAAAGTTCAGAGCCAGAATTGAGGCAAGATTCCAGCACTTACATGGAGACACTGATAGCCTGTGTATTTGAATTTCTTTCCTTCCTATTCCTGACTTCTTATTATTAGGTCTTGTTGGCTTTTCTGCCTATTTTATTTATGCTCTGATTGTCCAAAAAAAAATTAAGCTCACTTTTAGAGACCCCAAAAATAGGAAAGAAAGAGAAAAAGCAAAAGAGGTGATTGTTTATATTCTTTAGACCTGAATTTTTAACTCTAAGCTATATTTTACAATTTTATTGTATGTGTTTCTTTTGTACGTTAACTCAATTCCACTGTGGAATGAGGCTGAGTATATAAAAATAGACACAAAATAAAAATACATAAAGTCTGTGGAGCATGTCTTTGTGAGTAATCCTATGAAATACCAAGACGTTCCACAGATGGCCATTTATTACATTAAGCCTTAATGAAAGTCATGGTCTACCAATCAGTGGAGTGCCCCTGATTTGCAGCTGATCACAAAGCTTATATAAGAATAATAATGACACCTGCTCTGGCCTACTGGTGTTTGGGCAGATACATTTCACAGGATCGAGAAGGTGCCATTGTTTACAACATTTGTCCCTACTGAAAACTAGTTTATTATTCAATGAGGGTGCTCCCAAGCCTTTGTGAGCAAGGTGTGTGCTTGTTAAGGGCAGAATTTGCACTAAACAGCTCATGCTCTTTAAGCAGTGGCTAAAGCAGTGGCTGCCTGGAGCACAGGGCGCCAGTGAGAACATAAACCAGCCCATGGAGGAAAGCCATAACCGCATGTGCAATGATGGGGAGCAGCTCTTAAAGCCACATGAAAATTTCAGGCACCAGTTGGAGCTCTGTGATTTTCCTAGGCACAGATACATCAAGATACCTGGGTGACTCACAGTTGCCCTCTAAAAGCTTGCTTTCTCCTGCAGATTGGCATGGAAAGTACCAATGAGCTGCCTAAAATCATGCTTCATCCCAGCCTTTTTTCATAGCTTTCTGGACATGCGAATAGGTGGAAGCCTGTGTGAAGCTGAGCTAGAAACAAACGCCCTTTGGGCACTAGAAAAATCACTCCTTGAGGAGTTTAAGAGAAACAGGCAGCTACTCCATGCTGACCATGCAGACTTTCCAGGAACTTTCTCAAATGAAATTTCTTCTTCCTCAAGGCTTAGGTTAGGAAAGGCAGCCAGGAAGAGTCCATGGGTACTCAGGCAGGTGTGTAGGGTCTGTGTGTTCTAGGTCCAGATTTGCCCCCATTCACTGGTCTGAGCCTTTCGTTTCTCTGTGCCCTTTCTTATCTGCTAAATGGGGATTATAACCACTGCATGGAAGAAAGGCTTGAAGACTTGAGGAGAAATGGTGAAAAATTCTACTCTTCTCAAAACAGGTCCATATATAAAAATCATTCTTATTGCTTTGAATAAGTGATAGGGGAGATAGAAATAAAGTCCCATGGAAACAGAACTACACATCAGATTCTGAATTCAGTTCACAAGGAAAACTTCTTATGGGAATTGCTCCATAAACTGGAGAATGCTTTCAAAATAAAATCATCCACTCTTTATTGATCTGTCATGTTAGTTTATAATTTGGCATTCTACTTCTCCTTAAAGAGAGGCAGAGGGGTTGTACATCACATGAGGACTTAGACCCATAGAGGTTTGTGGAAACAAAGTGCTATGGGTCTGTGTGCTTTGGAGGTTAAGTGTGCTCAGAATCTGGCAGCAAATCTCTTTCTAGCTGAGCCTTAGTTTTCATATCTGTGAAACAGGAATAATATCCACCAAATAAGGTTGTTGTGAGGGCTAAGGGAAATAATGTAAGAAAAGCACTTCAGACAGTGTCAGACCCATAGTAAATGCTCCATAAATGATAGCAATAAGTATTCTTGTTAGAGTAGGAAGGCCCCATCACCATTATTCTCTCTATCTCATTCTCTCTCTCTTTCTCTCTCTCTCTCTCTCTCACACACACACACACACACCAGGGTCAGGATTAGGGAAAGGCAAGCTGAGAATCCAGGGTGCAAAATCACTCCCAGGTCTGTGCAAATCTGAGAAGGAGTGCCTAATTAAATTTTGCAACCTAGACACTTGCCCTACTCTTGACTCTGATGTACACACACACACACACGTCAAATGAGAAAACGGAGAAATTTAAGGAAACTGGATCTCACAGTTTGCACATGGGAACACTGAAGGTTCCAAGTTAGAGCCTCCTCCTCCCTTCTCCCATGCTCCACTCTCCTGGGTCTGAGTGTGGAGATTCAAAGAGAGGGCAACAAAGCCAGATAATGTGAGCTTGTTCCTGCAATCATGCCAATAATTTGCAGAAGAGAGAGACGGTGACTTCTGGTGCACCTAGAAAGATTTATCCCACTGGAATTCTTCTACTACCTGTGAATGGACCTTACTTTAGAAACTGACCCCACTGGACTTTGAGCAGGACTGGTGCCCATCAAAGGTGCACTCATAGGGCCTTCTGGCCAATCACACAAGGGTCCTTTTGGTTGGTCTCACTGGTTGTTAAATAGTTTGATATTGACCTGTGCAGAAGGTTTCCAGAGCCCATAGAGAAATGCGATGACTTGCCCTCAGTAAGGACAAAAAGCCTAATTCAGCAGGTGAGGGCATCCCTGCCTCTTTACAACTCCTCCTTAGAGCATCTGCTCTTGATCTCAAACTCCACAGCCCTAGATCCAGTGCTCCCTCCACTTCTCATCCAGGAGAAGCTAACCATTCAGCTTCCCACCCTTTTGAAAAGCCTGCATTCTCGTATGCATGGGTGCCACCCATTGTCTCTCCTGCCTTTCTAGCTCTGCTTAGCATGCGGCCTGGAGGTCTCATCACCAGCTCCAGAGTGAGCCCTGATCCAGACAGGGTCATGTTAGGAACTCCAGCCCACCAGCTGATGGTATCAGGAATTAGCCTTACTGCTCTGAAGTCAACCAAATACAACCTTCTCTGATCAAAATCATGACCACCCAGTCCCTAGTGAGGTTTCTGCTATTGTTTGCTGAGAATACACCCATTACCAGGCTTCCTCCTCCCCACTGGGCACATACATAGCCCAAGTGTGAAATCAAGGTCCAGTCCCTAGGGCTTGACCTTGATTTCAGTCTTGGACTGTGCCAACTCCAAACTGGAGGTCTTGCTTTGGCTTCTGCCAAAAGCTGACCCTGAGGCAAAGACCGGGGGAAGGTAGTTTGGTTGGAAGATTATCTAAGGAAGCATAACGAGAGAGTAGGGAAAGGAGGCAGGAAGGGAAGAAAAGTCTAGAAATCATGGGCTAATGAGCAGGTTACCACTGCAGGCACCTGGAACTCAATCTGGCCAGGAATCCTCAGAGAGACAATGTAGAACATATCCCTTAAAACTCAGACACCAAGAAGGGAAGACGCTGAGATATTCATCCACCAGGGCTAAGGATTAATCTTGGGAGAGTTAATTCTCAGAACTCCTACTCTCTCCATGTGCTGGCAAGTTACTTCTGTGGCCAAGAAAGCCTTCAGGTGGAGAGAGGTGCAGGGGCTCAAGATAAGAAGGCACCAGGGTACAAACAGGGTATCAGGAACCATCAACTGAAGCTACAGTTGACCTCCAGGGTGGCAGAAGTGATACAGCATCAGAGTTGGCAGCACCTGCTGTCACGAACAAACTTCCTGGAATAATAAAGTGTTTTTCTGGGCTTGGAAGAGCCCTTTCTACCCTGAGCCTTTATAATGTTAGGTTTTCCCCTCCAACCTCTCCTCTACCACCCTGGTCTTGATTTTTCTCATCAAGAGAGAAAGTGAGAAATTGAGAAAGGACAAAGTAATAAAGTCAGACACAATAGTGGTCTACAGACTTCCCTTCCACATTCCACTTTCATTTCAGGCTTCTGTCTCAGGCTGGGCTCTCCAGAAGATACCCTGAGATGAATAATTGTATGTGCTAGTCATTTGGTAAGGAAATACTCCCAGTGAGACTTTAAGGAAGATGGAGAAGCAAGACTGGGAAGGGGAGGAAGACAAGGAAGGATGTTATCTCAGGCAAAGTCCCTCTGGGGTGGCCTCTGCCTGATCCCATGGGGAGCTCTGGAGTGTAAGTTACATCTCAGAGTTGTCCTGACCCAGAGGCAAGAGAACTGGGTTCTCATCTTCCTGTACTGATGAATCACTGGCTCAGGGCCACTCCAGAGGGATGTAAATTCCCAGGCCTTTCCGGCTTTCCACAGTGTGGGCAAAGTGACCTCTACTAGCCCAACTGTAAGTGCTGGCCATTGAAAATAAAAGTGTGCCTAAACCATGGCAAGGGGATTTGATGGGCCCTGGATGGGGCATGAACATTATCTGCTATCAATTGCAGATAAACTTTCATTTTAACAACAGGTTCTGCTGCTTAAAAAAAAGTTTGGATACTGCTGGATTAAATAATTTCAGGGGTTTTTGTTTAACTCTCAGCGTGAAAGTCTCTAATTCTTCAACATAGAACTTCAGATCATGTGATTTTGGGGACTGGGTGCTAAACTATCCCATTAGGACTGAAAATAGTTCCTAAATCACACCCTAAGAGTGCCTGAAGCAAAGGCCCAAACATAGCTGGTTGCAGCAATTTCCAGCTCAGAAAGATCTAGTCACAAAAATGTAAGAATTACTGAATCTATCCATCAGAGATGACACACAGAAAAGTAGGCATTGCGGCTGGTCCCCACCCCCACCCCCATCACTCTTTCCTTTTCTAGAGATTTTGGCTAATAAAAGAAAATGAGTAGGTGTTGGTTCCCATGTTGCAAAATTTTCTTCATTGGTAGTATGTATTTTTATTTCATTTCCATTCAATAATTCTTCAGAATAACTCTTAGATATGCAAAAATGAGAAATGAAGATGAAATTATGAGATGTTAAAAGTATCTAGTCCTCTCTCACTCTGGGTACAACTTGGAGGTTGAGGTAAATTTTCTTGATCCTTTAAAGGATAAAATGAATATGTGGGGAAGTCCCCCAAACCATCAAAATATTTACCTTAAGTTTAAAAATATTTAGTGAGTTCACCATCTCATGCCTGTTTAATCCAAAGGTCATATTGCATGACACAGTCATGTTTCCTCAGGAAAAAAGAGGGACTTCAGAACCTACATTGGAAATATCATATGTTTTTAGTTCTTTGGAAACATTTCATCACAGGCAAATAGAATGATTTAGAGGAGTTTGTTCATTTTGACTGTGCATGAAAAGTAAGCCTGTTCTTTCTTCATTGCCAACAGGAGATAATACGTGAAACACATAATGGAATGTCAAAACAAATTAATTTCCTGGTCCGGCTTGTAAATACAGTACTTTGTGTAAGCAACAGCAAAAAACCATGAAAAGTGAGATCTTCGTGATACTAATTTCACTCACCCATTCAACAGGTAATTACTGCAGGTCTTCCATGTGTCAGCATTGTCCTGAGTGCTGGGGACATAGCAGTGAACAAATCTCCAAGATGCCTTCAAACCTTGAAATATTCATCCCGTTATTTTCTGAATTTGGCATACATATTGGAAAAATGTTTCCATTTTTAAATCTCTGCCTGCTGTTCTGATAAATATTGTTCTCCCAGGTTCCCAAAAAGAGAATTAATTTGGCGAAACAAATCAGTAGTTGTTTCACTCATTGTTATGGTAATAGAGAAATTAGGTTTTTAATTAAGGCTGAGGAAGGATGGAAGAGTAGTAGGCAAATAAGCACCTACATGGTTTGATGCAGACATGACAAGTCTCCTTTTTTGCCATAGTGTCTAAAATTCTGTCCATTAGAGCATCCTGTAGGTTAAGGCAATTTATCCAGGAGGCCTCAGTTATGTGCATTTTCTGCCTTGGAAAATGTATGCACTATCTTGGTGTGAATAAGGTTTTAACATCAGCCACTTTTAGGAAGGTATACGGCAGGTATCGCTGTTTTACAAAAGAATGAACTGAAGCTTAGAGAGGTTAAGCACCACGCTCCAGGTCCCACAGCATAAGATGGAATCAGGATTCAAATCCAGGCAGTTAGATTCCAGGTACTCTGTGCTTTTAAACTGAATTAACTTTCAACACTTAAAGAAGGGGTCTGGATTGTCCAGTGCATTTATCACGCACCTTTATTTTTTGAAATCACTACAATATTTTAAATTACACAAGGAATACAGGTTATTTGGAATTAGAACACAAGGAGAAAGAAAAAGGAGGAAGAGAACAATAAAAAATAAGAAGAGGGCCAGGTGCAGTGGCTCACGCCTGTAATCCCAGCACTTTGGGAGGCTGAGGCAGGTGGATTGCCTGAGGTCAGGAGTTCAAGACCAGCCTGGCCCAAATGGTGAAACCCTGTATCTACTAAAAATACAAAAATTAGCCGGGCTTGGTGGCAGGCACCTGTAATCCCAGCTACTCAAGAGGCTGAGGCAGGAGAATTGCTTGAACGAGGGAGGCAGAGGCTGCAGTGAGCTGAGATCACACCACTGCATTCCAGCCTGGGTGACAGAGCAAGATTCTGTCTTGAAAAAAAAAAAAAGAAGAAGAGAAATAAAGCAATGCAAAAGAAGCACACAATCTGCTCTATTTCCACTGCCCATAGAACACACATTCCCAGTGGAGGCGATATAACCCCAAGAGACAAAAATTGGTCCCCATGGGGAGGAAAAAATTACTCTTTTTGTATATAAAGCACAGATGTTCATATCATACATAAACAGATAGATATACAGAATATTGGTGGTAAAAATTTCATCTGAGAATAAGATTAGGAAAAACAGTGTAAAAAGGCTTTTTGGAGGAGAAAACTAAAAAACAAAAATTGAGAAATACTGCCATAGATATAGATTTTAACATATTGTCATGTATTTGTAAAAGTAGTTTGTATAGTTTCTCCATCAAGCAGATAGAAGAAAACCTTCCCTACTCTTGCAAACTTGTTGCTAGGTTTAAATAAGATACTGTTGAGGGAAATGACTTTGTGGAGCTTACAGAGCTTTCCTTATCACAAGACTATAGCTTTTTAGATCGTATTGGCCAGCCCTAAATAGGCCTAAATAGATTTTGATCATGGTCTGAGTATGAGGAGGCCATGGAATACAAGATCTCACAGTGAATTCCTTTACCTTGTTCTAGTTCTTGTGCCAAGTCCCCATACCCAGGGTCCAGTTCACAGAATGAATGTGCTGGGAACTGAGGGGGGGACTGTTGGTTTAAATCAGTAACAGGCAACTGGCAGCAAAAAACCTTGAGACAAGGTATAAGGGACATTCATCTGTTTTGACCATGAATTTTATTAGAGATTTTTTGTTTTGTTTGTTTAGGTTGTTTTGTTTTTTTAGAAGAAGATGGGGATTTTCTGTTCAGCTCAAGCCCTCCAACCACGAGGCTGAAAGTGAGTACCTATCTGCAGCCTGGAACTTGGGTATTAGCAGCCATGGTTCTGCACAGAGCCGTTCTCACCTCCTTGAACCATGAGTCCTGCAGAGTGTCCTGAGAGGGGCTGGATGTGTAATTTCACCCTTCCCAGGTAAGTCACTCCAAGTACATAGGCAGTCTTCCTTCCCTGTAGCCACACTTGATGTCAGTCTGGTGTTTTTGGGGGGCCTTTCCCACTGCCCTCACTGCAGGCCATTCTTGGATCCATCTCAGCCCAATTCTGGAAGAGCAGTGCAAGAAAACATTCTGGTGTCTTGTGAAACTTGTTCAGCTGGGAACTTGGCTACAAGGGTTGCTATGGTAACCTAAGCAGCTGCACTTGGGGGAACTGTGCTTCCTGTTGGAGTGTGGGATGTGTTTGTGTTTGCACATGAACGTGTGTAGCACAGAGGAAAGGAATGACATCACTACCAAGAAGGGGCTAGTCAATCCATGTAAGGCCCTGGGATTATCCCATAAGCCATTTCCCTCAAGTCCACTCAAGTGTTCCCCCAGAGTCAATTGCAATTGTAATTTCATGACAGCATGAAGCCAATCCTTTTCAAATTGTCTGCATTAGCTCTATGCTTGTGGAAATCTTCTCCTCAATGTGTGGTTCCTCCAAGTTTTATCGGGATATAGTTGCCTCATAATCTTTCAGTCCAATAAACCTGCAGGTATCCACAGATGGATGAATAGCATGTGTATTCTGCCTGTAAATGTTGTTAATGGCAGGTGACAGGGATGCTGTGACTGCTTATAATAATCGCGTTCATCTTTGAATGTTAATTCACTTGATCTTTTTGAAATTATATCTAGAATTTCTACAAAGCGTATCATCAAACATGATTTACAGATTTTGGATCTCATGCAATGTACTCAGGGTTTGTAAGAAGTTCGTCATTCTCAGTGCTTCTTTGTATAATTAAAGAGCAATGAGTAGTATTACTTAATAAAATTTTAAACTCCCAAATGTAAAAAGTCTGAATCATATGCAACTGAAAAAAAATGTGGAAGAAATGTTACATATTAGAGATGTTTAAAATTAGAGACAAAGTGAAACCCTACACAGATCCCTCTTCTCTCGGGTATTAATAATAACAATAAATTTAATTGGTGATTATTATGTACCAGGCTTTATGTGTTTTACATGTACTTACTCATTGAACCCTCAAGATAACAACATAAAGTAGATATTATTATTATTGTTACTATCTCCATCTTAAAGAATAGGAAATTAAAACACAGAGACAAGTTACCCAATTCACAAGACTAAGAAATGGTGAAACCGGGATTCAAACCAAGTGGTCCGGCTCCACCACCCAATCTGATGACCCCATCTCTGAGTCCTCCCCAAACCAGGAGTCTGCCTGGGGTGGGGGAAGGAACAGAACCTCTGCTCAGAGCCTTCCCCAATACTTTCCTCTGTTGCCCCTCTCTAGCTATCTCTCTCCTCCTCACCCCTCCTACAGTCCCTATTTCCTTTTGGATAGGAAAACAATTTCTTTTATCCTAATGTACTCCTTCAAAAATTATTGGTTAGGGCATACACTTTAGGCTTCTGGTATTCAAGCACTCTAGAACTTTAAAAGTCTTATCTCTCAAAGTTACCGCATCTGCCATGAGCATCAAAAGTCTGTTTCAAAACTCAAAGCTGAGCACTGGCTCATTTCTATCTCCACATTTCAGTTCGCTCCTGAGGAGATAAGCCCCCACCTCATGGTCTAATTTTAGTGGAGGAAAGACTGTAGATTAAAATGTATTAGCAAGAATGAAGATACTTCCATTAAAATTTCAAATATTATTCCTCTACACGTTGTATCTGAGCATAATGAAATTACTAATTGCGTTTGTGAGAAATATAGGAATAAGTAAATGGGATGTGTTAATATTTTAACTATTCAGATCTGCTGCAATGGCATATGTTATTCAAAGTAAAGCTAGATTTGTAAGCACTCTGTGTCAGAGGGCTGTCCCTCAACATCCATTCTTCTATTCTTCCTTTCAGAACAGTCATCCCAAATTTTAGCCACAAAGCTAGATACAACATTTCCCAGGCTCCCTTGAGCTAAGTGTGGCCGTTTGATGAAATTCTAGTTGAGAAATGATTTGTCTAACTAACTTCCAGATCACATTCTTAAAAAAGGAAGCTGCTTGCTCTTCACTCCTTCTTCCCCACTGTCCAAGTGTCAGATACCACAATCTCAGAAGTAAGTCAGTTTGACCATGCTGACAAAACCAACAGCTTGATGAGACAACAATAAAAGAACCTTGGGTCCATGTTTACCCTCAGGTGGTAGAGCTGCCCTGGACCACCAGCTAAAACAAAGACATCTGTAATTATAAAACTTACTTATCCTTAATAATAGAGAATTAAAACATCTACTTTCTTTAAGCCATGGTTATTTTTGGCCTCTCTTGGTAGCCAAGCCAATATCTTGCTCAATACATCACCCAAAATTGGAAAAGCATCTATTTCAAAGCATCTGTTATACACATAGCCTTGTGCTGACCATCGAGGCACAATGAAAAGATGCACAAATTCATATAATATGTTATCAAATGGAGGAAACTAGACCCACACACATTCAGTTACATGAAAACACAATGCAATAAACAATATGACAAAGGAAAGGCCATGACAAAAAGGCACAAGGGGTTTGGACAAGCCCATGGCCTGAAGGATAGGTATTGAAAAAAGAAGACTTGAGAAAAGAGGCGGGACCTGACCTGAAGCTTTAAGGATTGGGTGGAGCCAGGCAAGGCAAAGAGGAGAGGGAAGGGAGACAATCAGACAAACAAAGCATAGTGGAGGTAGAGTCTGTGTAAGACTGTGGCCAACAAGGAGACTGGGGAGAATAAACCAAAAGGAGCATGTGGGACACAATAGGATCTGGTCAGGCTGGACCTTGAATGTCTGCCTATGCAGTGAGGACACCATTCTCTAGGTGTTGGGATGGATTTTCCTCTCCTGGATGCTCCTGCTCCTATAGATGTCGACACCCCTGCAGCTTAACCAAGGTACCTTCCTTGTAAGTTCCAGGGAGTGAATCACAGAAGACTTCTATGGAACATGCCTTACCCACATCCCCTTACTTCTTATCATTTCCACTAATGTCAGCCCTTTTTCAATGCTAGCCCTGATGTCTATTTGTCTAAAGGCTTCTACTGGCCAGTAGAGTCAGCTATGCCACAAGAGTGCCCATAACTGGTACCCTGTTGTTGCACCAATGGGAGGTGGTGGATAAATATGGCAGCTCTCTCATCTCTTGAGTGGAATAACTCTGAGGCGTGTGTTCTACACTAGCATCCAGAGTTCCCAAGAGAGATTAAACCCCAGTTTCCCACAGTAGTAAGAGCCTTAAAAATGCACCTTGTATTGGCTTCCCTCCCTTTCCTGCACCATTTCCCCACTCTCCTCTAGTGTTTCCTAGGATCTTCTCCCAAGTAAACTACCTGCATTAGAATCCTGATCTCAAGATCTGCTGCTGGGAGAACAAAGACTCTTACGACATCCTCGACACCCTCAACTTTCAGAATACCCTATGCTGACTTTATTTACATACCACAGAGGCCAAGACAATGTGAGACTAACAGGATAATACTGAGACTTTGAAGGTCTCAAAAACACAATGCAGAGAGCCAGTGAAATAAACTGCTTGGGCTCAGATTATACCCATGTCACCAACTCACCAACACCTCCTTTGTCTCCAGGTAGATGATCATTTTTCAGCGAGACTGGCCTACCTCAAAAAAGCAATCTTCAAACTCATGTTTAATTGCCCATTCTTCCTGAATCAGGTAACCTCCCCATGGTTGTGAGGAAGCCTCACCCTCTTTGATTGGCATCTTCTCACAGAGGAATCTCTGTGGGGGCAGAGACCAGAGGCCATGGAGATTTAGCCTTTCAGCACCCCCTGTCCAGAGTCTCAGCCCTATACAAGTAATGAGGAGTCCTGGAGATCCCTCAGGAAAGAAGTGTCATGACAAGGCTGCCTACTTCTTCAGCAGACTCAAACCTTCACACTCCCTTCAATGAGTGCTTGGACTTAGGAGTAGAAGGACTCATTTAGACGTGAGCAAAGTATCAATACAGGCTTCATATTGGCTAAATAAAAGAGAGAAATGGGATGGACCCTTAAAGGGAGTGGGTACAGCCCCCATCTCCCCATTCCTCATCCTAAAGACAGGAGAGCCTTCTCTCCCTCACTCTGAGCACTCACAGTCCCTCTGCATCTTCCTCCTGTGTGCCTTCTCTTCTCCTGACCACCAGCCCCAGCCTTACTTGATTTGAGGGAGCAGAAACTTTGCTCTGCCATCCTAACTTTCCTTTTGGTTACTGTGGCCTACAGCTTCCTCAAGTCTTTGTTTCAGTCCCATTAAAGGAAAGAAAGTGGCTTTCAGGGTACCTGTGGGAGAAAAGGAGGAGTAGAAATAAAAAAAACAGGATATATATAGATTCTCTACGTTCTTTGAGGAACAAAAGCATTAACACATTTAAAGTTTCTAATCACAGTGTCTGGTTCATTACAAGGACCTAAGTCATAGTAGCTATTATGGTTTGTGATAGATTCATTGCAAACATAGGCCCAATTCTCTATATTTTCCCACATCCATGCTCCTTTCCAATGTGACTTTGTAGCTCCTCCTATTAAGCGGGGGAGACTACTGCCTCATTCCTTGGATCTGGGAGACCTTCTGACTTGCTTTGGCCAACAGGATGTGGGGAGATGCCAGTGATGGAATGCCAGTGCTGAGCGAGGCCTTCAAGCAGCTTTGCATGCTTTTCTCTCTCAGAAGCCTGTTTAGCTGCCATCATAATAAGCATAAACTGGCCTCCTGGAGAATGAGAGATGATGTAGAGCAGAGACAAGCCATCCCAGTGACTGCCGATGCATGAGAGAGCCCACCAGAGGTCAACAGAGCCTGGGCAAGATTAACAGAACTGCTCAGCCAACCCAAGGACTCATGAACTGGAATAAGTACTTTTTGTTGTCTGCCACTGAGGTTTTCTGGTTGTTTTTTCATGCAATATAATTGTGGCTATAGCTAACTAATGTGCTATGTGTTTTTTATTATTATTTTTTAAACAGGGAGTTGACTAAAGAGAAAAGAGCATTTCTGTGTGCAGGCTGGTTGGAGGCTGCTCAGGCAGACACAGGCAGAGAGGGTGGGGCCAGGAAGGAGAAGATAGCACCTCCTGTCTGTGCAACTGTGGCCTTCCCACAGTTCTGTCGTCTTCAAATTTTTGTTTGCATGCACATCGCAAAAAAGAATCTCAAAAAACAATATAACTGTCACATATTTTTAAGTTCATAGGTAGAAGTTTTCACGATAAGTTTAAGTGATTGCAAGGGATATAATTTTCATTTTACTGCAAATATTGACATTTAAACATACAACTATCAATCTTAAAATATTAAAGAGAATCTGGAGCTCATAAAGATTTCATGCTCATCACCATCCCATTTAAAACATATGAATAGGCTCTTCTTTACTGTTGAGAAATTTTACATTTTCCCTTTTTCTCCTTGAATTTATATTTCTTTTGTACTTCCTCCATGAACCTTTAACATAATTTAATATACTTTTAAAATTTGAAGATATTTTATTGATCATCCTATCATACATTAAAATATATTACATATGTATTCATAATACATTAAAAAATATATTTTATTCTTGTGACCTTAAGGCTCCCCATGCTTTAAAAAATTGCTTCTGGATTGAATTATCATACAACTGATCAAAATTGCATTAAAATGTTACCAATTTTGATCATTTTTTAAACATAAAGTTAAATGTAATTGGAAGTGCATCTCCTAATGAGATGAACGATTTTCTAACTTTTCATATGTATTTAATGAAAGAGAAAGGCATATTCTGCTAAAAATGAATCAGTCCAGAAGCTAGGATAATATTATTCCTGTTAATAGGAAGTAGAAAATGTTAAATATTTTATATGGTAAATTAAAATGAGCAATAGCTATCATTGGATTATTTCATATCATTTCATAAGATGGATTTTCAATTACCTTATTGAATAACATATACTACATACAAATAAGTCACCTAAAATTGGTATCTGTGCATTTTATTTGATATATCTTGAGAATTGTGAAAGTCTTGGCAAATCTTGCAGTTATATTTAAATGCATCAGTACAGCCCAACCTATATGCCTGGACTGTACTTTGATACTCTTCCTTTGAGCTGGAGACCTGACCTAGGATTAGTACTGAAGGTGGCTGAAAAGTATTGCTTACATTTAAACATATTTGAAAAAGCCACGTTCTTTTTTCCTCTGGCATTCAGTGTTTCTAGCTGATGTTCTCTTTGCTTTACTGTCATTGGACTCTCCTTTAAGACGGAAAATATCCTGTCTCTTACCATTCTGGTTACCATATGTCTATATTCAGAACATCCTAATATATGTCAAAATACTATTTTCTAGAATATCTTCTTCCTTAACATAAATTGCATAAGATGGGAAAACATGAGAGCTCAGGAGTTAATGGAATCTTGTCTAAGCAATAAAGAACTCTTCCTCTTATTTTTTTCCATTCTTCCTGAGGTGTGCACACCTCATAGCAATATTACCATAGTCAGATCACGGGTGAGTGAGGAGTATGCCTTTTTGCTTTTTTAAAACAATAAAGTGAGAGGACAAATGGAAACTCAGAGGTGTTCTTAGGCAAATAAAACCAGAAAAGTATGTGGATGAAAATTAAGGGTCTGGAAATCTGGTTGCCTGAAAAACCCATGCTCAGTATTCCTTGGAACTTTTTCACAGGCCCCTATAGGTGATTGCTTTTCTTCCCTAGGTGCTTTCCTGTCTTTACAAATGACGCTTACATCCATTGTTTCATTTGCTCTTGCCACAGTGGGTTGAGGGGGAGGGCAAGAGCTCCCATGTCCATTTTACAGTTGTGTAGACAGAGTTCAGGCATATTAGGTGACTGTTCCAGGGCCGTGGGGCTTTGGCCAAGATTGAAATAATATTGATTATTCAGAAAGAAATGTATCTAGATAGATAGATTGTAAATGATTATGTAAGTCTTGTTAGGGATAAAGATTTTCCACGTAATAAAAATGGAACTAATATAAAATTAAAATATTTCACAGAAAATCACATAATTCTAAATTTAAATGGGAGGTAACATCATGATCTATTTCTTTTTCTAGAAAATGTCTGCTTCCTACCTTTGTTCTTTGGAAGGGCCTAGAAGCAACAACAACTCAGTAGCAGTGGCACCCTTAATGCCCCCCAACTACTGGTTTACAAGAAGTGTGGAGTCTAAAGGGGCATGTAAACAACACAGTAAAGAGGCAACCAGCTAAGATAAGAATATGGAAATTCTACAGGCCAAATGCCCTAATTGCTTCAACAAATAATGGCATACAAGAGTCAAGGGAAATATGTTACAGATAAATAGTCAAATACAATGTGCAGACCTTGTTTGCATCCTACTTTAAGCAAAATAACTATAAAATGACACTTTTGACACAATCTGGGAAATTTAAACAGACTGTATAAAATGATATTCAGTAAATATTGTTTTTTAGGTATTATAATGGTATGGGGTTATGAAAAATACATTCAACTATTCAGGATATATATATTCAAGTATATACAGACAAGATCAGATGATGTTTGGAACCTGCTTTAAAATAATGCAGCATTCTGCCATCCTGTATCTTTTAAGAGGAACATTTAGACAGTTTACATTCAACATTCATATTAAGATGTGAGGTACTAGTCTCTTATTCATGTTGTTACCTAGATAGTTTTGTTGTTGTTGTGTTATTGTTTTATAGGCCCTATGAGTTTTAAGCTTTCAAGAGGTTCTATTTTGGTGCATGTCGGGCTTCAAGAGACTCAACCTAACATGGAAGGATTTATATAAACTCAAGGTAAGTGGAACACAAATGGAAACCAAAAGCAAGCAGGAGTAGTAATATAGTTTGGATCTGTATCCCTGCCCAAATCTCATGTTGAATTATAATCCCCCATGTTGGAGGTGGGGCTTGGTGGGAGGTGATTGGACCATTGGGGTAGATCCTTGAATAATGGTTTAGCAGCATCCCCACAGTGCTGTTCTCCTGATAGTGAGTGAGTGAGTTATCACAAGATCTGGTTGTTTTAAAAGTTTATAGCACACCCACCCCCATTCCTCCTGTTCCAGCCATGTAAGACACGCCTGCTTCCTCTTCACCTTCCACCGTGATTGTAAGTTTCCTGAGGTCTCCCCAGAAGCAGAAGCTGCTATGCTTCCTGCATAGCCTGCAGAACTATGAACCAATTAAACCTCTTTTCTTTAAAATTACCCAGTCTCAGGTATTTCTTTAAAGCAATGTGAGAATGATTAATACAAGTATCTACTCTTATAGCTACTTCAAAGACAAAACAGATTTCAAAGCAACAACAGTAAAAACAAAAAAGACAATGATGGTTACTATGTAATGATAAAAGGATCAGTTCAACAAGAAGATATTAAATCCCTAAATTTATATGCACCAAACACTGGAGCTTCTAGATACATAAAACAATTACTACTATACCTAAGAAATGAGATAGACAGCAAAACAGTAATAGTGGGAGACTTTAATACACCACTGACAGCACTAGACAGATCTTTTTATATATATATATACTTTAAGTTCTTGGGTACATGTGCACAACGTGCAGGTTTGTTACATATGTAGACATGTGCCATGTTGGTTTGCTGCACCCATTAACTCATCATTTACATTAGGTATATCTCCTAATGCTATCCCTCCCCCCACCCAACGACAGGCCCCGGTGTGTGATGTTCCCCATCCTATTAGACAGATCTTTGAAACAGAAAGTCAACAGAGAAACAATGGGCTTAAATGACATTCTAGAACTAATGGACTTAACAGATATTTACAGAGCATTCTACCTAACATCTGCAGAATATACATTCTCATCAGTACATGGAACATTCTCCAAGATAGACCGTATGATAGGCCACAAAACCAATCTCAATAAACTGAAAAAAAAATCAAAATCATGTCAAGTATCTTCTCAGACCACAGGAGAACAAAACTAGAAATCAACTCCAAAAGGAACCCTCAAAACTATACAAATACATGAAAGTTAAATAACCTGCTCCTGAATACCTGGGTTAATAACGAAACTAAGATGGAAATGTAAAAATTCTACAAATTGAATGATAATAATGGCACAAGTTACCAAAACCTCTGGGATACAGCAAAAGCAGTGCTAAGAGGAAAGTTTATAGCATGAAATGCCTACATCAAAAAGTCTGAAAGGGCACAAATTGACAACCTAACGTCACACCTCATGGAACTGGAGAAACAAGAACAAACTAAACCTAAAGTCAGAAGAAGAAAAGAAATAACAAAGATCAGAGCAGAACTAAATGAAATTCCAACAAAACAATACAAAATATCAATGAAACAAAAAAACTGGTTCTTTGAAAAAAAAATTGATAGACCGCTAGCTAGATTAACCAAGAAAAGAAGAGAGAAGATCCCAAAAACCTCAATTAGAAATGAAACTGGAGAAACTTGGGGAAGATGGTGGATAGGTGATAAGGCTGACATACAGCTCCCACTTGGATGGATGGAATAGTATGTGGAGACTTACACCATGGACTTTTGCTCCAGGAACCACCAGGTACCAGGAAAACAAAGAATTAACAGATCCTTTGAAAGCAGCAGCAGGCCTCTGCAAATTCCAGAAGACAGGTGAAAAACTGAGTTCTCAAAGTGTGAGGGGAGAAAACCTGCCTCCAAACACATCCCCACTGGGGAACGCAAAAGTCCAGATTATGGAGGAAGGATTTAACCTTACCTAGAGCTGAAATGGATTTAGTGTGAAATATAAAAGTAGAAACAACAGTGGGAAGAGACTTGTAGGTATTCCCATTCTCCAGCTTGAGCCCAGGGAAGCCATCTCTGACTATATCTCACAGGGGCCCTTGGGAAATCAGCTGGTGGAATTTGAGAAAGGTCACAGGGTGAAAGTAGCTTCTGACTGAACTTTGGCATAATTTTGACTGGGCTCAAACTCTCTTGAGCAGAATCCAGTGGCAAACAGGAACTGCTGAGGAAAGGAGAGCAGGAGAACAGGAGTTGCATCCAATAGTGTGGGCAGTTGGGGAGAGGTGTGGCCTGAAAGCCATGCTTGTTTTCTCAGTGAGAAAACTTATAGCCTGGAGCTAGGTCTGAGTCCTGTGCCCAGGCTGCCTGGAGATAAACTCAGCAGTGTTAGTGAGACTGGCTTTGCCACCTGCATGAGAGCTGGGTGAGGCCTATTGCTACTGGCTTCCCCCCACTTCCCTGGTGACAGAGACAGCCATAATCCCCTCTGAAACATAACCCTATTGGCCCAAGAACCACCCTCCATCCCCCTCAGTGGCCATGGCAAGCCCTGCCCAAGAAGAGTCTGAGCTCAGACCTACCCTACCCTTCACCCACCTGATGGTATTTCTCTACCCACCCCAGTAGCCAATCACAAAAGACATAAGCTCTTTGGGAGCTTTACGACCCTGACCATTGCCTGAGAAACCCAAATGCTTATCCTGGCCAACTCAGGGCAAGCCTATATCCCCCTTCTACAGTTGCAGCTGGTATTCTCTTCAAAGTGTCATCTCCTGGCTGGAGGCCAACCAACTCAAGACATTACAGCAACTCATGACAGAATAACTGCTCCAAGGAAGGAGAAAACAATAGCAAATTCAACTTCCTGCAACATCCTGGCTAACCAGTGGTCCTGAGTCTGTCCATGTGACAACTTCACTACTAGCATAATCAGCATTTGAGAAAGCCAGCACACTAAACATATCTACAACTAAGGACTCTCACAGACTCTATTTAACTCCCCTACCACTTCCACCTGCTCAGGTGCTGGTATACACAGTTGAGAGACCTAAAGACAGATTGCATCACAGGACTCTTTGCAGACATTCCCCAGCACGAGCCCAGAGCCTGGTAGTCCCACTGGGTGGCTAGACCCAGAAAAGCAATAACAATCACTGCAGTCTGGCTAACAGAAAGCCCTATCCCTAGGGGAAGGGGGACTGCACCACATCAAGGGACCACCCCATGGGACAAAATAATCTGAACAGCAGCACTTGAATTCTAGATCTTTCCACTGCAATAGTCTACCCAAATGAGAAGGAATCAGAAAAGTAATTCTGGTTATATGACAAAGCAAGGTTCTAAAACAACCCCAAAAGACCACAGTAGCTCCCCAGCAATACATCCAACCCAGGAAGAAATCTCTGAATTGCCAGATAAAGAATTCAGAAGGTTGATTATTAAGCTGCTCAAGGACATACCACAGAAAGGTGAAAACCAATTTAAATAAGTTTAAAAAATACAGGATATGGATGAAAAATGCTCCAGAGAAATAGAAATCATAAAGAAAAAACAATCACAACTTCTGGAAATGAAAGACACACTTAGAGAAAGACAAAATGCATTGAAAAGTTAGAACAATAGAATTGAACAAGTAGAAAAAATAATTTCAGAGCTCCAAGACAAGCCTTCAAATTAACCCAAGGAGACAAAGACAAAGAGAAGAGAATTTTAAAAAATGAACAAAGCTTCCAAGAAATTTAGGATTGTGTTAAATGGCCAGACCTAAGAATAATTGGTGTTCCTCAGGAGGAAGAGAAATCTAAAAGTTTGGAAAACATATTTGAGGGAATAATCGAAGAAAACTTCCTGGGCTTTGCAAGAGATTTACACATTCAAATACAAGAAGCTCAAAGAACACCTGGGAAATTCATTGCAAAAAGATCATCGCCCAGACACATAGTCATTAGGTTATTTGAAGTCAAGATGAAGGAAAGAATGAATCTTAAGAACTGTGAGGCAAAAGCATCAGGTAACCTATAAAGGGAAACCTATCAGATTAACAGCAGATTTCTCAACAGAAACCCTACAAGCCAGAAGAGACTGGGGTCCTATCTTTAGCATTCTAAACGAAATAACTGCCAGCCAAGAATTTTGTATCCAGTAAAACTAAGCTTCATAAATGAATGAGAGATAAAGTCTTTTTCAGACAAATGCTGAGAGAATTTGCCACCACCAAGCCAGCACCACAAGAAATGCTAACAGGAATTCTAAATCTTGAAACAAAACTTAGAAATACACCAAAATAGAACCTCCTTAAAGCATATACCTCACAGGGCCTAAATAAAATAACAGACCTAAGGTATTCAGGCAACAACAAGCATAATCAATAAAACAGTACCTCACATCTCAATATTAATGTTGAATGTAAATGGCCTAAATGCTCCACTTAAAATGTGGCAGAATGGATAAAAATCCACCAATCAAGTATATGCTGTCTTCAAGAGACTCACCTAACATAGACATGCTCACATAAACTTAAGGTAAAGAAGTGGAAAAAGATATTCTGTGCCAATGGAAACCAAAAGTGAGCAGGAGCAGCTATTCTTACATCAGACAAAGCAGACTTTAAAACAGACAACAGTTTAAAAAGGCAAAGAGGGATATCACGTAATGATAAAAGGATCAGTCCAACAGGAAGATATCACAATCCTAAATATATATGCACCTAACATGGGAGCTCCCAAATTTATAAAACAATTACTACTAGACATAAGAAATGAGATAGACGGCAACACAAGAATAGCTGGGGACTTCAATAATTCACTGACAGCACTAGACAGATCATCAAGACAGAAAGTTAACAAAGAAACAATGAACTTAAACTGTACCCTAGAACAAATGGACTTAACAGAAATTACAGAACATTACCCACCAATGCAGAATGTACATTCTTTTTATTAGCACATGGAACATTCTCCAAGATGGAACACATGATAGGCCACAAAATAAGTCTCAATAAATTTAAGAAAACTGAAATTATATCAAGTACTCCCTCAGACCACAGTAGAATAAAATTGGAAGTTAACTCCAAAAGGAACCATCAAAACCATGCAAATACATGGAAATTAAATAATCTGCTCCTTAATGATGTTTGGGTCAACAATGAAATCAAGATCCTCTGGGACACAGCTAAAGCAGTGCTAAGAGGGAAGTTCATAGCCTTAAATGCCTAGATTTAAAAAGTCTGAAAGAGCACAAATAGACTAAGGTCATACCTCAAGGAACTAGAGAAACAAGAACAAACCAAACCCAAACCCAGCAGAAGAAAAGAAATAACAAGATCAGAGCAGAATTAAATGAAATTGAAACAACAACAACAAATACAAAACATCAATGAAACAAAAAGCTGGTTCTTTGAAAAGATAAACAAAATTGATAGGCCTTTAGTGAGATTAACCAAGAAAGGAAGAAAGAAGATCCAAATAAGCTCAATTAGAAATGAAATGGGAAGTATTACAGTCAATACCACAGACATACAAAAGACCATTTAAGGGTACTATGAAAAGTACTGTGCACTTTATGTGCACAAACTATACAATCTAGAGTATAAGGATAAATTCTGGAAATATACAACTCTCCTAGATTAAACCAGGAAGAAATAGAAATGCTGAACATACCAATAACAAGTAGCGAGACTGAAACAGTAATTTTAAAATTGCCAACAAAAAAAGTCCAGGACCGGATGGATTCACAGGTGAATTCTATCAGGCATTCAAAGAAGAATTGGTACCAATCTTACTGAAACTATTCCAAAAGATATGGAGGGAATCCTCCCTAAATTATTCTATGAAGCCAGTAATACCAAAACCAGGAAAGGACATAATAAAAAAAGAAAACTACAAACCAATATCCCTGATGAACATAGATGCAGAAATCCTCAACAAAATACTAGCCAACTGAATCCAACAGCATATTAGAAAGATAACACATGATAATCAAGTGGGTTTCGTACCAGGAATGCAGGGATGGTTTTACATATGCAAGTCAATAAATGTGGTACAACATATAAACAGAATTAAAAACAGAAATCATATGATTATCTCAATAGATGCAGAAAAAGAATTTGACAAAATCCAGCATCACTTTATGATTAAAAACCCTCAGCAAAATTGGCATAGAAAAGACATACCTCAAGGTGATAAAAGCCATCTATGACAAACTCACAGCCAACATTATACTGAATGGGGAAAAGTTGAAACCATTCCCCCTGAGAAGTGGAACAAGACAAGGATGCCCACTTTCACCATTTCTATTCAACATAGTGCTCAATATCACTAATCACCAAGTAAATGCAAATCAAAACCATGATGAGATATCTCTTTGCTTCTGCTAGAATGGCCATAATTAAAAAGTCAAAAAACAATAGATGTTGGCATGGATGTGAAGAAAAGGAAACACTTATACATTGCTGGTGGGAATGTAAACTAGTACAACCTCTATGGAAAACAGTATGGAGAGTCCTTAAAGAGCTAAAAATAGATCTACCATTCAATCCAGCAATCCCACTACTGGGTATTTACCCAAAGGAAAAGAAGTCATTATAGAAAAAGACACTTGCACATGTCTGTTTATAGCAGCACAATTCACAATTCCAAAGATGTGGAACCAACCTAAATGCCCATCAACTAATGAGCAGATAAAGAAAACATATATATATACTATGAAATACTACTCAGCCATAAAAAGGAACAAAACTATGTCTTTTGCAGCCACTTGAATGGAGCTGGAGGCCATTATTCTAAGAGGAGTAACACAGGAGTGGAAAATCAAAAACTGTTATGTTCTCACTTATAAGTGGGAACTAAGCTATGAGTATGCAAAGGCATACAGAGTGATGTAATAGACTCAGAAGAGACTCAGAAGAGGGAAGGTGGGAGGGGGATTAGGGATTTTAAAAACCAAACGTTTGGTACAATGTACACTACAGGGGTGATGTGTGCACTAAAGTCTCTGAAGTCACTGCTATATAATTCATCCATGTAACAAAAAACCACTTGTACCCCAAAAGCTATTGAAATAAAAAATAAAAAACTTAGAAATTTTAAAAAACCAATTAAAAAAATAATGCAGCAGTGTGTGAGAGAGGTAAGTAAGGAGTGGACAGAATAGCAATTAAGCAAATCTCATCTTAAAGTGCTCAGAAAGAAGTGGCCCCCTAAAGATACCCAACAAAACTAATGCTGAACACTGTGAGCACCCTGCTCAGATTCCAATGTAAGCAGGTATGCCTGTCCCCCAGCTGCTGTGAGTGTTGGCCACTGCCCCTTCTCTGGAAAACTGCCCTTGGCCAATGGAACAGCAGCCATCTTGACAGGAGGTTAGGCATGTCCCCTCCTCACAAGCCATCAACCAATGACTTATTAACACAGGAATACAAAATGCAGGTGCATTTGCCTCAAAGTGACAATGACTCTGTGGTACAATTGATACTCCAAAGCTTCCAGAAAGATCACGCTGAAGCCAAGTTCATCCTTTTCAGTTCTGTTCCTGGCCTTATCCTACTTTCTTTCCCCCCTTTCTCCTGAGAGCTCTGCCCTAATAAATCACATGCAGAAAAATCCCCATCTTATAATTTGCTTATGACATACTTGTTCTGAAGAATACAGCAAGACTGTTCTAAAGGCAAAAATAAAGGATAAAACCAAGGACCAAAGCCAACTAAGATTGGAAGAAAAGGCTAGGTGTGAGTGGTTGGGGTACGGTGGAATTAGTTACATCAATAAAATAGAAGGGCTTGGAGATATGGATGTCAGCAGCAGCAGGATACTCCTGTACCTTCAAATTCCCCTTAGAGCTCCCCTATACAAGCAGGAAAGGGAGCTTCCGTCAGTGCCTTTAATTCCAGGGGGCTGGACAGGTAAGGGGAAGGGATCTAGTAGATTAGCTAAGTGGCACTGTGGAAGGATCTTATCTGAGGCTCCAGAGACCTCCGTCCTCGAAGCCTCGAAAGTCCTCACAAGCAACCTTACACCACAACTTTGGGATCCATCTGACCCTGCCCCCTGGGTATAATGAGCATTTTTAGTTTCATCTTCTCAGAACAGTACTCTTCTCCTGGGAGAAGAGAAGTTCCTCCAAACCTTTTCTAGGTACTAAAAATAGCACCCCACCCTAGACGTAGTGATTGGTGCAGAGACAGGCACATTATTAAGCTGGACAATCAAGGCTAAAATTTACAACTTAAAACTCAAAGTATTATTTTAACTAGGCAATACATTTACGTAGTTCAAAAATCATAATGTCTAAAAAGAAAAAGTATACAGTAAAAAGTCTTGTTCTCTCCCTTTCTCTAGTTCTACTCCCATAACCAGGTACTTCCTAGGGTATCCTTCCATGGTTTCTTTGTGCATACACAAACAAGTACAAATTTGTTTTCTATCTTTTGTTACACAAATTGTGGCATAAGGTGCATATTTTCTGCTGCTGAATTTTATTTTCTCTTAACATTGTATCTTGGCAGAGATCTCTCTACATCAGTAGATGAAGTACTTCCTCACCTGTATCTTTATTTTAAAAAAATAGTACAGCTACAGAGTATTCCATTAAATATATGTATTATGTTACTTAATCAGTGCCCTTTCAAAGGACATTTAGGTATTTCCTGTCTTTGCTATTTCAAACAACACTGCAGTAACTAGCCTTGTATGTATATTGTTTTGCATATACAACATACAATATTTTGAGAATATTTGTATGATACATTGCTAGAAATAGGATTACTTTTCTCGATACATGCAGGCTAATTTCTGTCTCTAGGGGTTGTACCAATTTTTCACTCTCACTTGCAGTGTATGCAACTGCCCATTTCCCCATAGCCATGTCAATAAAAAGTGTTATCAAACTCTGGAATTTTGCCAATCTAACAAGTTAAAAATGGCATCTTGGGGGTAGTTTTAATTTTCACCATCTTTTATCTTTGGGTTGGAGGACTCCAAATGCTTGCAAAGCTTTAAAGAGGGGACCTCAGGCCATATCTCAGTCATATGGAAATGGCCAGCTTGGCAGAAGTCCAAGTGCAGGTAGAGAGAAGTAGAACTGAGAGACAGAAAGGGGAGAGAGGGTTCCTGGCTCCAAACATCTTGGCCTTCCCACACTGGACTACATTTGCCAGTGATACCCCCTTTTTTATTTAAGGTGGTTCAGGCTGGATTCTGTTGACCTGCATCCAGATTGAGGATGCACAAACAACCCCATTAGGCTACTACAATCTGGTTGCCAGGTGGACCTGCCAGCTGCCTGGCCAGGAACCAGGACCTTATAAAAGCTGTTAAAGGCACAGTGCAGCCACTTTGGAAAAATGCTTGCTGGTTTCTAATAAAGTTAAACATATGCCTATCCTACAGACCAGCAATTTTACTCCCAAGTATGTATCCTGAAGAAATGAATGCATATGTCCCCCTAAAGACATAGCTGCTTTGGTCATAGTACACAAACACTGGAAATTACCCAAAAGCCCATCAACAGGGCATGACAAAAAAATAAAATTAGGTATTATTTTTCTAATGGAAGAATAAACTACCAATAAAATAACACAGAAGAATCTCACAAACAATTAAGCAGAGGTCAGATCAAAAAATGCATCCTACATAATCCCATGTTTATGAAGTTCAAGAAAAGGTATAACTAATGTATAGTAATGAGGTTAGAGTAGTTTTCATCCCTGTGGGAAACACTATCTTCAAGGAAGCAAAACAGTACTTTCTGGGGCAAAGGAAATGTTCTATACCTTGGTTGGGGTGATGGTTACATAGAAAGAGGTATATTTTCTTTATCTCAATTTTTTTAAGTAAAAGAATATTATCAATAACAAAACAAACCATTGTAGGGAACATAACTGAACCATCTTGGAGATAATCTCCACCAGATGCAGGTAACAGTGAATCTGTCCTCTTTGGGTGCAACAGCCCTGTGGGTAGGAGGCAAGGTGTCTGCCCTCAGAAGTTTGCACACACTTTGCCGTGGACACTCAGTGAATCTACAGCCCTTTGGAAGCCCTCCTGGAACCAGCTCTTTCACATGACTTTGCTGCTCAGATTTCTCTCCTCACCTACCAGACAGCTGAGGTCCCAGGGGCAGGCTGGTGTGAAGCAGTCCATGGCTGTGGTCAGAGAGACCCATATCTCCATCCTGGCTGCACCCTCTGAGTCCATGGGAACAGGAGTATAATGGTTCCCTTGCTGGGTCATCTTGGGGATTCCAGATATCAGTATACAAATCTGACATTATCCATGCTATATACATGGCACCTATTTTATTATTTGTGAACAAGAGCTGTGTTGACTGAGCTTAGAGGTCTTGGCTTGCAAGGGTGAGGAAGGGTATGGGAGGGGCTTAGGAGAGGGCAGGGAGGCTTGATGGTCTGCAAGCTAAGTCCTTGAATATTAGACCCCAAGATTAAAAGCTGTGTAGTAGAATTCATTGCAATTGGTTCCCACCCCTTTTCAGCAATTAGAGGCTAATTTTGGATAGGAGATTTGTGTCTGAAGCCTCATTCCCACCTCTTTGCAAATGCCTTTAATCTATCTTCTTACCTTCTAAGAGAGATGTTAGAGGAACACCACGGGGTGTTTGGGGAGAAGGGATGGATGAAGTGGGGACTTTAAGAAGGTTGACAGTTCTTAAGAGCTGCAAGGATCACAGGGAAAAGGAAAGCAATGGAAAGAGGTTCTGAAGGGAGATAAGAAAGCAGCAGAGACAAGGGTAGCCTCCTGTGCAGCTTGGGTAAGGCTGTGATTATTTGCTGTGGCAGAACCTTATGACCATACTACACTATAGTAGCCACTAGTCCATGTGATTGCAGAGCCTTTAAAATGTGACTACTGTAGTGTAACTCTATTTTTAATATTATTTAATTTTGATTAATTTAAGTGCACACTGAAAATCTGGAGCAGAGTAAAAATATTTTCTATTGAAAACAAATGTATTTTATATTATTATATATTTGATATTATTAAAGTTAATAATTAAAATTTATTTTACCTGGTTGTTTTTACTGTGATTACTAGAAAGGATTGTGTTCTATTTCTGTTGAACAGCCCTGCCCTAAGATGCCAATACACATACTCTGTTCTGTCCTGCTCCCTCCCTGCAGATGGGGCAGGGCTGTGCAATTCAGCAGTCATTCTTTTATATGCATCAACACAAACTGTGTTCATGTAAGCTCAGCTGTTATACTTTGTTTGTCTAACAAAGTCATCCAATCAGAAATTTAAGAAACAACAAATAAACAAGCACATAAAGGAAGCAGGACTTGGGTGTGTTTCTTCTGTGTCCCTTCCCTAAGTGCACTAAGAAACCTGCCCTAATCTTTACTGGGAGAGGTGATGGAGTCCAATTTGTACTTTAAAATGTCACTCATCCCAGCACTTTGGGAGGCCAAGGCGGGCAAATCATAAGGTCAGGAGTTTGAGACCAGCCTGGCCAACATGGTGAAACCCCGTCTCTACTAAAAATACAAAAAATTAGCTGGGCGTGATGGTGGGTGCCTGTAATCCCAGCTACTCTGGAGGCTGAGGCAGAAGAATAGCTTGAACCTGGGAGGCGAAGGTTGCAGTGAGCCGAGATTGCACCACTGCACTCCAGCCTGGGCGACAGTGCGAGACTCTGTCTCAAAAAAATAAATAAATAAAATAAAATGTCACTCAGGCTGCTCCAGGGAGAATGAACTAATGGAAAGAGAGTGAGAATGGGGGGCCCCGTGGATAGGTCTTTACTGCAACTCAGGCAGCAGTTATTATGGGTTACTGTACATTTACCTTGAGAAGAATTTTGCATTTAACAAAACAAAGTTCTGAGAAAGCAACTATAAATAAGTGTCACCTTCCCCCAACCTCAAGGGTAACTTTCCCTAGTACAGTTTTTGAAAAGGCAGGATGTCCAATGTCCCTCCTAGGCTGTCCACCCAGTAGCAGGGTCCTTCTCACTCAGTGAGCACCCCTGGGACCCTGGCACCAGCCTCTTCAATGGGATACTGCTATCCCTATACAAGCTCCAGCAGAGAAGGATATAAGTGAATCACTTCTGTCGTGACTGCTCAGCTCTTAATTCCTGAAACTCCGCCAGCCCTGGCTTATCAAAGTCCCAGTTTCTTCTTGCCCAGCCTTTGGTTTTCAGGCAGGACCTACCTTCTACCATAAGAAGGTCAATTTCAGAGCAATTCACTGATGGCTGTGTAGAGATCCAGCCAAACAATAATGTACATGGCTCTGCCTCCTCACTGGGAAGCAAGAGGAGGAGTCTCATAACATATGTACCGTTGTTTCTATAATATAATTTAAAAAGCTGGTGGGAATTCCATTTAGCCACCTCAGCACTGTTCACTCAATGGTTCTCAAATATAATGTGCATAAGAAACACCCTGATGTTTCACAAAATGCATATGCCTAGGAAACAAATGACAATGTCAAATGGAGTAATTAGGGAGCATTTAATGAGAACTATTTATAAAAGTGCAGGAAAAACTAAGAAAAACACAAAATATGGTATAAGAGTGGAAGCTGTTATCATCCCTATGTCTCAAGGACCAAGGAAGGAAACCAGGAGAGAAGAGTTATCAGAGACACCTGCCTAAAAGAGCTGTGGCCTTGGGTAGAGGGACAAAGCAAAAGAAAGCCAGGGCAGTAAGCACCGGGACCTCACTCTCCTCCTGTCTCTACTGATGCCCCTCGGCCAAACCCAACCAGAAGCCAGAGAGCAAGGAAGTCCCTTGATGCAGCCCATTCAGTCCACACAAGCCAGCCACCCAGGCCCAGGCTAGGGTAGAGAAGTGTGGAAAGTGGATCTGAAGAGACAAATAGAAAACATCTAACCCATACTGCATACAGACAAAGAGTGGTTACCAATCTGCTGGCTTCACTGGATTGTCTGGTAAATTCTAGATGCTGTGGTTTAATGGCAATATTGGCAAACTGGAGATGAATTAGATAAGGTGATAACAGTGCTGAAAGTTAAGCCATTTTAAGAATGACTTTATTATAACACAAATCAGAATATTGAGTCTGGAGACCACAAGATTTGAGAGGAATAACCATAGCTGTGTGGTTTAAACTGTTTGATCTGATTTGACCCGTTTTGATAGGTTTAACTGGTTTGAACTGCTCCACAAATGCATGTCAAATCTTTACTTTTTCTGATTAATTACTTAAGTAGACACAAACATTATTAACATTTAATTCAGTATATTCCCCTTGAGGCTTCGCAGATGCCCACACTGGATTCCCAGGGGGGTTACTCAGTTACAAAGGAGTCAGCCTTCCCTGATGCAAACGGGAATCCCAGTCACAAAACAGTCAGCCTTCCCTGATGCTGCAGAGAGGGAACTGGAGTCTGGGTATCCCATGGCAACCACTGTTTCTCACTGCAACAGACTATGGCTGTTAGAGCTTAGACCCACACTATCCCATGGGTGCTCATCCACAGGGATGATCCCTATGCAAGTATAGAGGCTTGCAAGCTTGGGCACCAAGGTAGTAACTCTCTTTTAGTCCACACGCACACCTCCAGTCTCTTCCCCAGGGTGGAAACAGGCCACAAGCTGGCCCCATTAGTGCCCAGGCAGGTCTGGTTCCAGGCCCTCATGCAGACTGCGAACCACTGTCTCCACTTCTCCATCTCCGCCACCTCTCTGGCTGCCCATAGGTAAGGCTGCCTTATTTTCAGACCTTTAAAATGTAATACATCTTGAAAACATGCTTCTCCCTTAACAACTGAGGCTACTTTCCCTACACATAGCCTTTGGGGAAAGCTACCCCCAGGGGCATCAAAGTGGTTTCTAATGAAGCTAGAAACTGTGACATGTGACATAGAAGATAACGTCCTCTCACTAAAGAAAACAGAGCAAAGTGCAATCTGTAGTAAGGTGCCTTGTTGGCGACACATCTGTCCACAGAGCCCCCTACACACATTCACAGAATAATGTCATGAGGGTCCTCATATTTTGGAGCCACAGGAGCAGAAGCTTCAAGAAGTAAAAGGTAAAAGGTGACAGATTTCCATTCAACACCAGAAAGAAATGCATAACGATTAAAGCTGTTTCAGAAAACCGGGCCTTAGTGACTTTGGGAATTTTGCCTATCATATATGTTAAGAGGGGTGGATTCATACAGGTGCGCACCAAGTCAATTCTTGCCTCCAGAGAATTTGTCTGAGGGGCATAAGGCAGAGTGAGAGACTGAGGCAAGTTTTAGAGTAGGACTGAAAGTGTATTAAAAGTTTTAGAGCAGGAATGAAAGAAAGTCAGGTACATTTGGAAGAGAGCCAAGTGGTTGACCTGAGAGATCCAAGAGCTCCATCTAGCCCTCGATTTGGGGAATCATTGGCATGATTCCAGGGTTTGCGTTTCTTCTCCCCTGATTCTTCCCTGGGGGTGGGCTGGCCACATGCACAGTGGCCTGACAGCACTTGGGATGAGCCGCATGTGCAGTATGTTTACTAAAGTTGAGTGCATGCCCATTTGAGGTGTTTTTTTCCCTTACCAGCTTAGCGTTTCCAGAAGAAGGTCATACACCAGTTAAACTCCGCCATTTTGCCTCTTAGTGCGCATGCTTGAGCCCACTTGCCCAGCTCCTGAAATCTTACTGGGAAGCTGCTTATCACCAGTTTCAGGTGTTTTCTATCTATTGGGAGACCGCCGTTCCCTGGCGCCAGCTGTGGCCAATTATTATTTTAGAGAGCTAGTTTAACAACTACCTGACCATCACCTGACGGTTGCCTGACATTCTTTGGATAGTGGGGAGGCCCTCTCCTGCCCTGCTCATGTCTGCTTCGCTACCTACTCTAACATATGTATCACAAACTAAGGGGAGGAGATGGTTTACTGAACAAATGGTGTTGAGGAAAATGGCTGTTTTTGAAGGCGATAAAAAGTTATATCTAATCTAGACTTCACAATAAATAAAAATTAAGATGTGTGAAATATACACTAAATATTTTTAAAAGGACATAAACATCTAAATGTTAAAAAATGATATTTAAGTTATTTCAGGATGAGAAGGAGTTTCTGTGAATAAATATAACAAAAGATCTCATGTAGAAAGGTTTAACTACATAAAATTTAAAATATCTACTCTAAGTTTTGTAACATATTTTATTGTTTATCTATCCCTTGTTGGAGGCAGGGTCTGTATAGACACCAAGGACCTTAACCAGCTCTCTTTTTCTCTCACACATAACAAAACAATAACAAAAGGAAAATTATAAACCAGGAAAGAAATATGAAAATAAATGTAACAAACAAAGGTTATAATTTAAGTCATGTTAAACTCTTTTAAATTAATCTTGAAAACATCACACCAATAGGAAAAACATGAGCAAAGGAAATGTAGTGTTAAATCACAGAAGGATGAATATAAATGACCAATATAAGCATATGAAAAAATACATTCAACTTTTCTGTATCAAAGATACAGAAAACAAAACAATGATGAGATGTCATTTTTCAATTATGAAACTGACAGGTTTGTAAAATGAGGAAGTAGGCCAAGTTGCACCAAGAGAGGCTCTCTTATTTAAGAAAAAAAAGGCTTAGTTTTGCTGTAAGCTCCCTGTCCCTCAAATAGATTAAAGAGAAGCTGGCTACCAACCCTCAGAGATGTGGCAGGGAGGATTCTAGGCTAGGGGAGAGGTTAGGGCCAGTAAGCGCAAGCTTTCCTCTGCTTCTCTGGCTTTCAGTGCTGTGTCTCAGAGCTGGATTCCCACATAGCTGACATGAAAGCAGAGACTTTCCAAAAAACAGGCTCTCCCAGACCTCACTTTCTATCTTTTCTTAGCTTAATGAATCCATTGCTTATAGGTAGAAGCTTGTCCTCAAAGCACTAGCATATGGGTGGATGTGTTGAAGATCTAATTAAGGACAGGGTCCAGTTGTCCAAGGTTCTGTGATATAATGTATACCAAAAAAAAAAGTCTGCCTATGTTCTCTCAGTCCAGCCCTTTTGTGAGTAATGACTTAGCACATGTGGCCTAGCAAGAGGGTGCCCAGGAACAAGCCCAGTCAACCTGGCATGGTGTGAGGCAGCTTCCTGCATTCCTCCAAGGAAGCAATCTCAGTACATGGCAGCTATTGCTGCAAACCAGAAACCAGTACCAGCAGGTTCAGTATGGAATATTGATCCATAATTACGCTTTACTTAAAAGATAAAATGAGTCTTTCTCCCTCTCTCCCCACCCTGTTTCTCCCTCTCCCCTTTGCCCTCCCCATCTCCTCCCCACCCCTTTTTTTGTCTCTGTCTCTCTGTCAATGTACACTAATCTCTATCACATACACCAGTAAGTATGTCAGGCTGAAAACATTCCAAATTGTGCAGCTCTCATTGATTCTCTTCTAGGCCATCACTGAACCATGGTGGCTAGCATGATTCACTTCCATGCTCATCCCCAATAATGTTAAACTTCTCCCCTCAACCTCAAGGTCGATTTCACTCTTTGACTGCATCTAAAAATGTTATGATTTTAAATGTCCTAAAAATTAGCTCTGTCTTCCAGCCTCCAGGGAGCAATGGTTAGTGAGTGCCTTGACTAAGGTGGATTTGCTATTTTAAAAAAAGAAAGAAAAGAAAAAGAAATTAGCTGCCACCTTGGCTACAGTGCAAATGCCAGTCCCTGCAGGATTCCCCTTTTCCAACCTCCCCACCACAAGAGCCAGAGGATTTTTCTTTGAGCTCCTTGACAAGTCCAAACCCCAAGAGTACTACAGACCTCAGCTGGGTAGGGGAATGCTGTGGCTGTCTATCCCCTGTTAGGGCGGGGTCTGTATTAACACTGGGGACCTTAGCCAGCTGCCTTTCTCTCTCTCATACTCAGCCTCCAGGTCCACTTGTGTTAAAAGTGTGTCAATCAGCAGACTCCAGGATTCCCATACAACAGAGCCAGTCTGCAGTGCTACCCAACTTCTTGCAGCAATCAAGACCTGGTCAAGATGTTTAGAGGCCTTAAACACTGAGACTGTTAAGATGTCACCCTAGTACGTATCTCAAATAAAACTACTACACAATAAAATATGTTAGAAAATTTAATGAAGTTGCCACTTTTTTGTAACTTCTTGTTTTTTTTAAAACAACAACAAAAAAGATGTTCTATTATTAAACCTTCATAAGTTGTTGTTATTAAATTGTTAGTATATTGTTGGACTAAACTCAACTAGGTTAAGATATATTTTCTACTAATGTGCTCTTGAATTTGTTGTATTTAGGGTTTTTTGTTTCAGTATAAGTGAGATTGAACCATGACTTTCTTTTTTGTGCAACTTTGTGGGGATTGATATGAATATTATGCTTGCTTCATGAAAAGCATTTGGAAGTTTTTCTCCTTTTTTAAATGCCTTGAAACAGTTTAAATAACACTGAAATAATTTCTTCTTAAAAGGTTTGGAATAATTTCTCTTGAAATCATGTGGGCCTGGTGCTTTTTGAAGGGCAACTCTTTGACAACTTCTCCATTTCTTTGTAGTACTTGGCTTATTAAAATTCTCTAACTTTTCTTAAGTCAATTTTTGTAAAGTATGTTTTCCTAGAACATTATCCATTTCATCTAAGTGTTCAGATATATTTACATAGAGTTGAGCAAAGTAATCCCTTGTGATTCTTTTAATTTCCTCTATATCTGTTTTATTTTCACTTTAACATTTTTTTAAATTTTGTGCTTTTGTACTCTTCCACATTTTTCTGGATTAAGATAGCAAATGCTTTATCTGGTTCATGGTTTTGCCAAAGAATCCAAACCTGGGTATGTAATTTGTTTTATTATTCTGTTTTGTAATTCATTATTTCTCCTTTCATGGTATTCATTCCTTCTACTTTTCTTAGGTTTATTTTGTTGCTATTTTTCTAACTTACTGAGTTAGATGCTTAATTCATTTATTTTAATGCTCTCCTTTTTTATTGAAACACATATTTAAGGGAAGAAGTTTCCTCTGTATACCAATTTAGTTATATTCCATATATGATATATATTTTTTCATTTCTGTTATTTAGATTTTCTAAAATGTGTTTGGAAAGAGGAAGAAATCTTGCTTTTATGATGCTATTTTCAAATTTTCTCTCTTTTAAACTACATTATACATTTCCATTACATTATTCTTCCACTGGACCTGCTCTTCTGAAACAGGTCTTTGCTTGAAAGTATCTGGGGCAGATATCAAGAAAGAAGCTTTCTAAAACCATCACACTATTTTCATCTCAGTCTTCCAATGATGGTAAATAGAAGGGACAGGTAGACCCTGGAGGGGTAGTGGTGTGGGAGTGCCCCTCTGTCATTCTTCCCTTCTTTCTCTTTTCCCTCCCCTGCCCCCTACTTCCATCCCCAAATCCCTCCCTCCATGATATCTCAGTGAGCAAGGAAATGTGGAGCAGACCATGGAAACCTTGACCTTGGGAGTGAACTGGTTGTGTTAGAAGCTGCTCTACTTAAAACCATGTGGGGGCTTCTGGTACATTCATTCTTTCCCTTTTGTTGTCTCTCTGATATTCAGTAGATCCTCAAAATTCTAGCCAGCATCAGTTACTCTAAGGAAATTAATTCATCTAGTCACTGAGTCAATAAATATTTATTGAAGATTTACCACATTCTGGCCCTATGCTGAGCACTGGGGATTCAGGGATGAGCAAGACAGACACAGCTTCTCCTTGCAGGGCTGACAGCTACAGGGCTTACTGCAGCAGGAGCTGTGGGACTTCTCTAAAGTGGTGGTGATGTGTTGTGTAGCAAAAGCACTCTTCTTATTTGGACTCTATAATTATCTAGTGGGTAGGCTACATGACTATAAGGAGGATGAGGCTCCCTAGCACCATCCTTGGCACAGGGTGCCAAGGTAGTGTTGTGATTTTGACAGAGAAAGTACAAGATGCAATGAAAGCAGATAGGAGATGCATTTAATCTGTGGTGGGCAGGGCCTCGGAAGGCTTCAGGAGGAAGTGTCATTTCAGAGGAGACTTGAAGGATGATTAAGAGAGTGAACCACACAAAGTGATGGGAAAGGATGACCCAGGATCAGGGAATCCCACATGAGAAAGCCTAGAAGTGAGGGGGACCATAAGGTGAGCTTGAAGGAATAAAAGACTTTCAGATGATGTAACCATGAGAAACAAGGCAGGAGCTTCCTAAGTTCCCCTAATAAGTTGTCTCCTAGGTGGAGAGAAAGGAGTGTGTGGGGAGGCTGGTCGTGAGTGGAAAGGGAAGAAAGGGAGGGAGGAATTCCCAAGAGGACATGGAAACTCAGGGAGTAAGAAGAAGAAGGGGCTTAGAGTGATGAATCATGCTTCATATCTAGAATGAGGAAGTAAAAACAAAACAAGGAGATGCCGCTGAGAAAAAGCAAAATAAAACAAGCCAAATTGTGATGCTGCCTGTTTGTGGAGGCGTCGAAGCTGCTGGTGATCCCGAACGTATGACTTAAAACATGCTCAAACTGGTCTACCTGAGCCTGGGAAACCCTGACGGATTCCCCAGGAGACCTGAAGGTGGAGATAGGGTGCCTGGGGCTGGTAATTTTTTTTTCACCTCCCCCTTTTTCCCTCATCTGACTCAGTTAAAGCTGGAAGTGGTGTCTGAGAAATCAGGTCGGCCAGAACTCGTGTTTCTGCCACAGCCTGTGGAGGAGGATCTGAGGCTCGCTGCTCAATTTAGAAGAAAATGCCTGTGATCAGTGATGTTCCTGGCCCACCTGACAGGTCACTGGCAAATGGGCAGTGGTTGTGAGTGAGTTGGTTTGGGCTGTGCCTGTTGGTTAGGCCCTTTCAAAGAGTCGTATAGCCACAACAGAGGGCAAATTGCTAAAAAGTCATGTGTTCCACAGGAAAAGAGCCAAGCTATTCACTCAGGTGCCTCAGTACCACTGTTCCCAATTATGTGTTTGAAATCTCAGGATCTTGGAACTCTAGCTCTGTAAACCCACAGTGTGAGATCGGGGAAGAGAGGCTGGGGAGCCGTGGTCATGCCGTGAGTTGGCAACATGAGGAACAGCAGTAGAAGAGCCGGCTGGGGTATAGCAATGTTTCCAAAAAAGTGTGTCCACTTGAGATGAGCATGATGATTTTTTTAGGTAGCACACTGAAAAAAAAAAAAGGAAAATAATAGTATATTTATTTTGATGCACATTTGGAAATATTAGCACATAAATCACACAACTTCACTTGTTAGGGTAAGGCTAAAGTAAGTACTCAAGTTAGAATGTAGGTCGATTTAGAGAAAAATGTTAAATACTAGTACACAGAGGCAAGCATCGTGAGCATGAAGCACAAATGTGGAAGTGGGGGAAATTGGAGACAGTCAACAGACATTTATAGAATGACAAGCCTGTCCCAGGTGCTGTCTCAGGAAATGGACCTCGGTGGTGAGAGGAAACCATGCCTCTGCCTTTAAGTGGTTTATGTTCTGGTGGGGAGCCACAGGCGTTAAATACCTAAGCAAAT
Organism: Homo sapiens; assembly: GCF_000001405.40. NCBI lineage: Eukaryota > Metazoa > Chordata > Mammalia > Primates > Hominidae > Homo > Homo sapiens. Next base: position 40,713,984 of record NC_000003.12, on the reverse strand, counting down.
AAGTTGGTGCCAGGTCCTGGGGAGTATACAAATGGAGGTGACAGGCTGGGCAGAAAGTGGCTGGGAGAAGGTCATCAGCTCAGGGCATGGGGAGGCCTCGCTAACGAAGGGATGCTTCCCTGGGAACTTAAGTAATGAGGATGAAATGGCCAGTTGGCGAACTGGAGCAAGAGCTTTCCAGGGGGATGAAGAGCAAGTGCCAAGGCCCTGGAGGCGGAGGTGCTTGGTGTGATTATGCATAGAAAGGAACCCAGAGTGAGGGATGCGAGGAGGAAAAGGGCCCAGGGTGGAGAAGATGGTTAGAAGGATAGGAGACAAGGTCACACAGGTTAGTGACACTGAGCTTTTTATTGTACTTGACTTCATTTGACTTAAGTTTAAATAGTGACATGTGGCTTCTGGCTGCCCTGTTGGACAGTGCAGAGCTAGAGTGTACACTGAGAGTGCCAAGAACTTCAGGAAGTGTTTCAGGTCTCATGAGCCAAGCTGTTTCAAGGTCTGAACTCTGTCTGCCAATGTGGTTATATAACATCCCACACTTGTCTGAGAGTGTGGACCAGCAGGCAGGGCACTCACCTGTCACTCCCTGTCCTTAGCCCTCAGGGAAGAGAGTTCCAGAAAGGAATGGAAACCTCAGGGGGTATGAGGGAGGCTGCATGGAGAGACCATCTTAGTAAAGGACTGTGGGGACCCTGACCATGTAGGGAGGCTTTGGGGGAATGTTTTCTGCTGCTACCAAGAAATGTCAGAAAATCCCACCAAGGGCAGCTCTGCTTTCTGGACTCAGACTTGGCACTCCCTTGTTATAAGCCCACTCCCCCCGGGGCAGGTTCACCAAGTGCTCTCTCCCCAGGCCTCTGGAGGTGATGTGAGGAGTCCTCTGAGGGTCAGAGAGGAAATGCTGTGGCCAGGGTCACACAGCACTAAGCAGTGAGCACTGAGACAGGACCCACGGTTGGGTCTGTGGGCACACCCAGTGCCGCTCTCTCTCACCGAATCTATCTAGGTTCCTCCCACTGTCCACGTGCAAGATCACGGAAAACACTCAGCACTGAGAAGCATTCAAAAGCATTCCTTTTTATTTCATTTTACTTTGCAAAGGAGTATATAGATGCAGCTTTTTACTCTCCTTCTTCCTCCTGGATCCATCTGCCAGGCTCCCAGGCAAACCTCCTGTCTCCAGCACAAGTGCAGCTGAGGTCCCATGCTCCACCAAGGACTCTGAGGGGTCAGTGGCCTCTGAACATTCAATTCAGACACAGGTGTGATTGATGACTTATGACAAATTAGTCTCAGCTATAAGCAAAGCCATGTGCTTCCCAGGCCCACTGAGAGAGGAGCAATGTAGCCCATTCAATCCCTCCTCGCCTCAGTTTCTCCCTGTGAAATGAGAGGACTAACATGTCCCTTGGTTGGGTTTGGGCTCAAACCTGATCCCACGCTTCCAGGTGTAGCCCTTGGGCCAGTCACTGCCCCGGCATCAACCCCCATCCCTAAGTTCCCTCAACAGGTCCTGAGCAGCAAGTGGGAAGATGAAAACAGCACAAGCACAAGCAAAGCCACCTGCAAAGAGCCATGTGGAAATGAGTGGCCCTTCTCCCAGAATCTGGTTTTATTTATTTTTTGGTTTTTGTTTTGAGACAGGGTCTCACTGTTTCACCCAGGCTGGAGTGCAGCAGCACAATCATGGCCCACTGCAGCCTCTACCTCCCAGGCTCAAACGATCCTCCCAACTCAGCCTCCTGAGTAGCTGGAACTACAGGTGTGCACCACCACACCTGACTAATTTTTGTATTTTTTGTAGAAACAAGGTTTCACCATGTTGTCCAGGCTGGTCTCAAACTCCTGGGCTCAGCCACCTGCCTCAGCCTCCAAACATGCTGGGATTACAGGCATGAGCCACCACATAATCTAGTTTTGTTTGACTCACACTGTTTCTCCAGCCACCATGATATTTTTGCAGCAGTTTAGTGGTTCAAGACTGTGAACCACTGGGGCAGCCAGATGGCTGCATTGAACCACAGCTTGCTAATTACTAGCAGTGGGGTCTCGGCGGCAGCTCACCCCATGTGTTCCTCACTTTCCTTCCCTGTAAAATAGGTCAGTTACGGAACCATCTCTGGGTCATGGTGAGGATTCAGTGAGTTAATACACATGAAGGGCTACAAACTTTACTTGGCAACAATAATCCCTGCCATTAGAGGATGGCCACATTGTGACCCTTGGAGTGTATGTGGGGAGAGTGTGGGGGTAGAGACCAGGGAGGCATGCAAGGTGCTGGGAATACACTGTTTCCTGATCTGGGTGCTAGTCTCACAGGTGTATTCCACTTGTGAAAATTCATCAAGTTGTATGCTGAATGTTCTCACTTATACGTGAGAGCTAAACATTTGGCCACATGCAGGTACAGAGTGGAAAGATAGATAACAGAGACTGGGAAGGGTGAGTAGGGGTAGAGGAAAGGGGGAGGATGAAGAGAAGTGGGCGAAAGGGTACAAACATACAGTAAGATAGAAGGAATAAATTCAATGTTTAATAGCACAGTAGAGTGAATACACTTAACAAAAATGTATTATACTCAGGTAATGGACACCCTAAATATCCTGACTTAATCACTACATAGTGTATACAAGTAAAAAAATTTCTCATGTACCCTATAAATTTGTAAAAATAAAAACAACAAAAGAGATCGAGACCATCCTGGCTAACATGGTAAAACCCTGTCTCCACTAAAAATACAAAAAAATTAGCCAAGCGTGGTGGCGGGCACCTGTAGTCCTAGCTACTTGGGAGGCTGAGGCAGGAGAATGGTGTGAACCTGGGAGGCAGAGCTTGCAGTGAGCCGAGATCGTGCCACTGCACTCCAGCCTGGGTGACAGAGCGAGACTCCGTCTCAAAAAAAAAAAAAAAAAAAATTAAAACTAAAAAAATGAAAATCTACGAGAGGCAAATAAAAAAAGTGTGTTAAAGATATGTGCACTTTATCTGTATCACGCCTCTTCATTTTTAAAACTGCCTAGGAATTAGTAAAATTCCTAGGAAAACTCCAGACTGTCAAAGACTGTGGAATTGGTGGGGTCCAAGCCAGATCTCCAAGGGTAAAGGGCTTTCTAGGTTGTCTGGGTTGTAGGGAAAATACATAGAATTACACTGAGGTATAGATGTGATGTGAGGAGAGGACAGGGCTGGCAAATAGGAAGGCCCAGAGAAGGGGAGAGGAATCTAGAGTCTTAGGAGGGTGGATGGTAGGGGTAGGGCTGTGGATTCCCCTGCCCTGCCCTTGGGAACCCTTTATGACTACTCCATTGCTCTCTGATGTGACCTTGGAACCCTTTAGAACACAAAAGACATCTCAGTGTCCATTGCCTAAGGCAGCAGTTAGCTTCAGCCTTCAGATGAGGGACAACCATCTCCTTGACGGAGCCATGAGGCATCAATTCCATCATGGAACTTCTTCAGGGGTTTGGACTCCTCCCTTTATCTTTCTTTCTATGGAGGAGCCAGTTGCTACCAGTATTCAGATTAAAGGACCCATCAATCAGGTAAGGGAGCCAAGCCCAGCCCCAACTGAGGTCACTTTTGTTTTCCTGTTCCTCTTCCCACTTTTCTAAATTAATTATTTTAGTTCAAAGAGACATAATTAAGACAGGAAATAGGAAAAAAAAATATATCATCCCAAACACAGGGATTCAGTGGTCAAGAACTGAATTGTTATGGGAGGTCAGGATCCCTGCAAGAGAACAACATTCATGCTATCTTCCTGTCACAGACGTCTGAGTCAAGCCTTTCCTCTGGGTTAGGGCCTTTGTGGAAAGTGGTTCTAAGCCTCTGATCTGATGATAGAACCTCACCCATCCTCAGGGAACAGAATCTTCACCCATGGAACATCAAGCAAATGGAGGTCTAAAACTCCATGCTGTCTTCATCTGAGGATTACAAACTGAAATACCAATTGAGGATACAGTACGAAAAACTTTTCTTTCCGTTTTTCAGTGAAGAAAACATACAAAATATGTTTATCACTTTAAAAGTGAATAACACGAAAAAATCCACAACTCTCTGTTAATTGAATGTAGAATGTCATGTTATCCATGCATTATAAATGTTTGCAGCTTGTCTAATAAAAGGAGTGAGACGGATGCTAGCCTTTCACTCTAGCCTTTCAGCATCAATGCATAGAAGCAAATGGGAACATTCAAAGGTCAGCTTGGAGAACTTGGCCATGAAGAGCTGACGGGACACATAATCTAATTTCTTTTCATAAAAAGGTTGATTCATTTTTTTCAGTTTTCTCCTATATTTCATGATCTTATCCATCTCAGATTAGGGCTGTGGATTATCTTTCTCTGGAAACCCAGAAGGCGGTATAGTCTCTGACACTGACTGAAATTCAACACCTAAAACGACAGTGGTTGAAGAAGCAGCTGGGAATTTGGTGGGTTCAGTCTCAGTTGTCCAAAGATCTCAGAAGACCTTTGGTCCTCCAGCTCACAACCACCCCATCTAGCCTGGACTCCCAGGCCTTTGTGCCAGTCCCCACACTGTCTCAAAGATTTTCTCTTGGCAATGAGATTCAAAAGTAACGATCACTGCTGTTCAAAAGGGCTCTTCCAACTGCAGTGAGTCTTCACCCATCAGATACGCAGTTTCTGGCATGAATGCAGTCTCAGAGAAAATAATCAGGGAAACATCAGACAAAGGTTAAACAAAACCTCTCACCACTCTGAGTTTTAAGGCCAAACAATGAAGAGCTAGGGAGGAATGGACTGAGCACCCAGGAAGCTTCCCTGTGAAGGGCCTGGAGGAGGGTTTCAGACATAGCTTAGAAATAATCTATCAAGGAGCTCAAAAAGCTACTCAGGGAGACTTCTGGTTTCCAGTCCAGCACGTAAGGTGCTTAAAAGTTTCCACCCCATTCTAGCATGTAAAAAGCTGAACAAACTGAAAAATCAACAACTCTTATATCTGTCAGGGAAGTGAGGTTACAGAGCAAATTGCTGCCCCCAAAACTGGAGAAACAGGCAGATAGAGAGAATCACAACTTCCTGGAGCAGAAATGCACGAATAGAAACATTTGCAGAAACCAGTACCGGGGTAGGAAAACCTAAGCTGTAATTGACAAATTTCTGGAGGCTGAGTGTGGACAGTTCTGAGAAGACCCATTCATATGGGTGACCCTCACACTTTTGTGAGTTTTGCCTCCAGATACTCCATCAGATCCTCACAGGGAATATTGAAGAAAAATCCCCTTTTGCATCTAACACGAGGAGGGGGGAATAAATCATTTAAAAATACACCACAGCATTCTGTTCTTCTTAACAAAGCATTCTCTCTGGAGGAAATTGAGTCTAATACATTAGACTCTCTTTTACCAGAGCCAAATCTCTTTGGGCTTCATCAGAGCCTAGCACATCTGGGGGAAGGGAAACACCCTACCCTAGCCTTCTCTAGCCATCCCGTCCCTCCTAAGTGGAGAAAAAATCAAAGAAGCGTAATGAAGCTCACAGTCCAGGGGCAGAAGCCCATAAAGGACTGAGACCTAATCACAGGACTATAGAAGACACCCCCACCCCAACTCCATACCTCACCACTGGGTTACTAAGGGGTTACCAAAGTGCCTCTTACACAGTACATTGTGCCCACCTTTCAACAAAAAATTACAAGATACACTAACAGGTAAAAACGTAGTTTGCAGAGACTGAACAAGCATCAGAGTCAGATATAGCAGAAATATTGGAATGATCAGATCAAGGATTTATTTTCAACTTTTATTTTAGAATTGGGTGTACTATGCTGGTTTTTGTTACCTGGGTATATTGTATGATGCCAAGGTTTGGGGTATGAATGATATCAAAGCATAGCACCCAATAGTTAGTCTTTCAACCTTTGCCCCCTTGCCTCTGTCCCTTTCCCCTCTAGTAGTACCCAGTGTCAATTGTTGCTATCTTTATCAGACCAGAAATTTTTTAAAATTAAGATTAATATGCTAAGGGCTATAATACAAATGTAGACAACATGCCATAACAGATTGGTAATATAGGCAAAGAGATGGAAATTCTAAGAATCAAAAGAAATTCTAGAGATCAAAAAAACTAACGAATATGAAATATGCATTTGATGGGCTCATTAGTGGACTGGACATGGCTGAGGAAAACAATCTTTCAGTTTGAGGATATGATAATAGAAACTTCCAAAACCAAAGAGCAAAGAGAAAAAAAAAAAGTAGGGGAAAAACCAGCACAGAATATTCAGGAACTGTGGGGCAACTACAAAGGACGTAACATCCATGTAATGAAAAAATAACAGAAGAAAGGAACAGAAGCAATATTTTAGGAAATAATGACTGTGAATTTCCCCCATATTAATGTCAGACACCAAACTACAGATCCAGAAAGCTCAGAGAACACCTCCTAGCAGAATAAATGCCAAAAAAACTACACCTAGGTACATCATATTTAAACTTCAGAAAATCAAAGATAAAGAAAAAAATCTTGAAGAAACCATAAAGGAAAAAAAACTGACCTATAAAAGAGCAAATAAAAGAATTACATCTGATTTCTTTTTAGTAAACATGCAGGCTAGAAGACAGTTGAGTGAAATACTTAAAATGTTGAGAGAAGGGGACAAAAGGAAAAAAAACTAAAATCTATACCCTGTGAAATTACTCTTCAAAAGTGACAGAGATATAAATATTTTCTTAGGCAAACAAAAGTTGAATGTGTTGCCAATAAACCTTTCAAGAAATGTTAAACGAAGTCCTTCGGAAAGAAGGAAAATGATATAGGTCAGAAACTTAGATCTACATAAATAAATAAGTAACATCAGAGAATAAATAAGTAAAATAAAAATTTTTATTTTTCGTATTCGCAATTTATCTAACAGATGTTTGTTCAAAATAATAGCAACAATGTATTAATTATTCTTACAGATTTATGCATAAGTAAAAAAAATAATAATAGCAATATACAAGGGGTAGGAGAGAGGAAGTAGAGGTATTTTGTTATAAGTTACTTGCACAATCTGTGAAGTGGTATAGTGTTATTTGAGAATGGACTTGGGTTTCTTGTGCATGTATACTGCAAACTCTAAGGCAGTAACTGAAAAAAAATAAAAGAAATAATTGATATGCTAGGAAAGTGAGGGAAATGAAATAATATAAAATGCTCAATTAAAACCACAAAAGGCAGAAAAAATATGGAGGATAAAAATAGAAATAAAACAAAGATAACAAATAGAAAACAGTAACAAATATTGTAGGTATTAACCCAACTATACCAATAATCACTCTAAATGTCAATGGTCTAAAAATACCAATTTAAAGAGAGAAATTGCCAGAGTGGATCAAAAACAAGACCCAACTCTGTGTTGTCTACAACAAACCCACTTTAACTATAAAGGCACATACAAAAGATGGAGAAAGATATACCATGCTAACACTAGTCAGAAGAAAGCAGGAGTGGCTATATTAATTTCAGACAGAGTAGACTTAGAGCAAGAAAACTTATGAGGAATAAAGAGGGACATAATGATAAATGGAGTCAATATGCCAAGAAGGCATAATTTTTAATGTGTATGAGCCTAACAACATAGTGTTAAAATACATAAGGCAAGAACTGATAGAACTGCAAGGAGAAGTAGATGAATCCACTATTAAAGTTGGAGACTTTAGCACTCCTTTATTAGAAATGAACAGATCTGGCCGGGGGCGGTGGCTCACTCCTGTAATCCCAGCACTTTGGGAGACCAAGGCAGGTGGATCACAAGGTCAGGAAATCGAGACCATCATGGCCAACATGGTGAAATCACGTCTCTACTAAAAATACAAAAATTAGCTTGGCGTGGTGGTGTGTGCCTGTAATCCTAGCTACTTGGGAGGCTGAGGCAGGAGAATTGCTCGAAGCAGGGAGTCAGAGGTTGCAGTTAGCCAAGATTGTGCCACTGCAGTCCAGTCTGGCAACAGAGTGAAACTCTGTCTCAAAAAAAAAAAAAAAAAAAAACAGATTCAGCAGGTAGAAAATTAGTGAAAATCAGTAAAGACATAGTTAACAGCACTATCAATCAACTGGATATAATTGACATTTATAGACTACTTCCTCCAACAACAGCAGAGTACACATTCTTCTCAAGTTTATATGGAAAGTTCACCAAGATAGACCACACTCTGGGCCATAAAACACACCTTAACAAGGTTAAAAGAATAGCATTTATGCAATGTCTGTTCTCAGACCACAATGGAATTAAATTAGAAATCAATAATAGAAAGATAGCTAGAAAATCCCAAAATACTTGGAGATTAAACAACATACTTTTAAATAATATGCAGGCCAAAAAAGAGATTTAAAAATTTTTAAATATTTTAAACTAAATGAAAATATAAACATCAAAATTTGTGGATTGCAGCAGAAGCCATGCTCAAAGGACTTTTTTTTAATGTTTTACAATAGTTTTTATAGTCAGTGTTCATTTAGATTTATAAATATGTTTACCATTTTTTCCAGTTTGCTATTTATCTTTTAACATGTTTTTATTATTTATTTTTTCCATAGGTTTTTGAGAAACAGGTGGTGTTTCGTTACATTAGTAAGTTCTTCAGTGATAATTTCTGAGATTTTGGTGCACCCATCACCCAAGCTGTGTACACTGTACCCAATGTGTAGTCTTTTCTCCCTCACCCCCTCTCACCCTTTCCCCCAAGTCCCCAAAGTCCATTGTATTATTCTTATGCTTTTGCATCCTCATAGATTAGCTCACACCTGTGAGGGAGAACATACGATGTCTGGTTTTCCATTCCTGAGCTACTTCACTTAGAATAATGGTCTCTAATTCCATTATTCCAAGTTGCTGAGAATGCCATTATTTCATTCCTTTTTATGGCCGAGTAGTATTCCAAAAGGGGGTTTATTAACTGATAACTTATGTGATCACAAGGTCCCACAATAGGCTGCAAGCTTGAGGAGCAAGGGGAGCCAGTCCAAGTCTCAAAACTGAATAACTTGGGGTCTGATGTTTAAGGACGGGAATCATCCACCACAGGAGAAAGATGTAGGCTGGGAGGCTAGGCCAGTCTTGCCTTTTCATGTTTTTCTGCCTGCTTTATATTCGCTGGCAGCTGATTAGATTGTGCCCACCAGATTAAGGGTGGGTCTGCCTTCTCCACCCACTGACTCAAATGTTAATATCCTTTGGCAACACCCTCATAGACACACCCAGGATCAATACTTTCATCCTTCAATCCAATCAAGTTGACACTCAGTATTAACTATCACAACAATCTCTTCCAAAAGATAGAAGCAGAGGGAATACTTCCTAACTCATTTTGTGAGGCCAGCATTACCGTAATACCAAAACCAGACAAAACTATTACAAGAAAAGTATAGAACAATATCTCTCTGAAACATAGATGCAAACATTCTCAAAAAAAATTAGCAAATCAAATCTAACAGTGTATAAAAAGAAGAATAAGACAACACAACCAAGTGGGATTTATTCCAGGTATGTAAGGCTGATTCAACATTTGAAAATCAATTAATGTAATCCATTACATCAACAGGCTAAAAGAAAAAAATCACGTGATTATATTGATAGGTGCAGAAAAAAACATTTGACAAAATAAAATACTCTTTTATCATAAAACTCTCAGGAAACTAAGAATAAAAGGGGAACTTTCTCAACTTAATAGGGAATATCTGTTTTAAAAACTTACAGCTAGATAGCATGCTTAATGGTGACAAACTCAAAGCTTTCCTGCCAAGATGAGAAGCAAGGCAAGGATATTCCCTCTCTCCACTGCTTTCCAACATTGTACTGGAAGCCCCAACTAAAGCAATTAGACAAGAAAGGGAAATAAAAGGTATACAGATTGGGAGAAAAAAATAAAACTGTCTTTGTTCACAGATGACATAATCATCTATGTAGAAAATCCAAAAGAATCAAGTAAACTCCTGGACCTAATAAGCCACTATAACAAAGTTGCAAGATACATGATTAAGAAACAAAACTCAACTACTTTTCTATATACTATCAATGAACAAATGGAATTTCAAATAAAAACACATTACCATTTATATTAACACTCCCCAAAATGAAATTCTTAGGTATAAATCTAACAAAACGTGTACAAAATCTATATAAGAAAAACTTTAAAATTCTGTTGAAATAAATCAAAGAACAAAATAAGTAGAGAGATAGTCTATGTTCATGAATAGGAGGACTCTTTATTGTTATTGTCAGTCCTTCCCAACTTGATCTATAGAGTCAATGCCATTCCAATTAAAATCCCAACAAGTTATTATGTGAATATTGACAAAGTAATTCTAAAGTTTATGTGGAAAAGCAAAAGACCCAGAATATCTAATGTAATCCTGAAGAACAACAAAATTGGAGTACTGACACTACTCTAAGACTTACTATAAAGGTACAGTAATAAAGACAGTGTGGTACTGATGAAAGAATAAATAGATCAATGGAACAAAATAGGTAGCCCATAAATATACCTAGATAAATACAGTCAACTAATGTTTGACAAAAGGGCAAAGGCAATACAATGAAGAAAAGATAGTTTTTTCAACAAATGGTGTTGGAATAACTGGACATTTACATGCAAAAAAAAAAAAAAAGAAAAGAAAAGAATCCAAAAACGGACCTTACACTATTCACAGGTATTAACTCAAAATGGATCATAGACCTAAATGTAAAAATAAAAACTACAAAACCCCTAGAATACAACATATGAGAAAATTTAGGTGATCATTGGTTTGGTAATGACTTTTTAGATACAGCAACAAAGGAATGATGTGTGAAAGAAAGAATTAAAAACCTGAACTTCATTAAAATTAAAAACTTCTGCTTTGTATAATACAATATCAAGAAGATCAAAAGATGGGTCATAGACTGGGAGAAAACATTTGCAAAAGGCACATATGATAAAGGACTGTTCTATAAAACAAAGAACTCTTAAAACATAAATAAAGTGAATAACCCAATTAAAATATAGGCCAAAGACCTGAACAGACATCTAACCAAAGAAGATATACAGATGGCAAGTAGGCATATGAAAATATGTTCAATATCATGTCACTAGGGAATTGCAAATTAAAACAACAGTGAAATGTCACTATGCACCTATTAGAATGGCCAAAATCCAAAACAAAATCCAGAACCGGATGCTGGTGAAGATGTGGAGCAACAGGAACTCTCATTCACTGCTGGTGGGAATGCAAAATGGGACAGCCACTTTGGAAGACAGTTTGACAGATTCTTACAAAACTAAACATGCTCTTTTCATAGAATCCATTAATCGTGCTCCTTGGTATATACCCAAAAGAGTTGAAAACTTATGTCCACAAAAAAACTTACAAATAGATGTTTACAGTAGCTTTATTAATAATTACCAAAACTTAGAAGCAACCAAGATGTCCTTCACTAGGTGACTGGATCGATAAACTGTGGTACATCTGAACAATGGAATATTGTTAAGTGTTAAAAAGAAATGAGCTATCAAGCCATGAAAAGACATGGAAGAAACTTAAATGCATTATCGCTAAGTGAAAGAAGCCAACCTGAAAAGTGTACATACTGTATGACTCCAGCTATATGACATTCTGGAAAAGGCAACTATGAAAACAGCAAAGAGATTAGTGGTTGCCAGGTGTTAGAGGGGAGGAAGGGATGAACAGGCAGAATGTAGACGATTTTTAGGGCAGTGAAACTATTCCATATGATACTACAATGATGGATCCATGTCATTGTACATTTGTCCAAACCTATAGAATGTACAACACCAACAGTGAATCCTAATGAAAACTATGGACTTTGGGAGATAATAAGGTGTAAGGGTAGATTCATCAACTGTAACAAATGTACCACTGTGGTGCAGGATGTTGAGAGTGGGGGAGGCTGTGCATGTGTGGGGACAGAAGTATATGGGAACGCTCTGTAAGTCCTGTTCAATTTTGCTGTGAACTGAAAACTGCTCTTCAAAAGTTTATTACTATTTTTTAAATCTACCCAGTGAAGAGTTTGGGCACTGACTGAGAAGGAGACTGAAAGTGGCATGTGAATCACTCAGGAAATGGCTTATAATAATCCCAAGGAAGATCAGAGGCAACTGGAAAATGTCCTAGGAAGGTTTTGGACAAGAAATCAGGGCAGACCAATCAGGATTGTTTCCAAGTCAGTTGTGACTTGTTCAGGGCTTGCTGACTACTTTACACTGGCCCCTCCTGGGAAGTTCCATATGGCTTAGAAGCCAGAAATTGGACACTCTCTGTGGGTTGTAAACATTACCTGAATATCTCTTGGATTTCCTTCCTTGTTCAGGAGCTCATTGGGTCCTAGATGCCCATATTCTGTGGTTACATATGCAGCAGAGGCCTGGTCTGCCTCTCAAGGTCCTTGAATCCATAAGCATTTAGGTGGAGAAATGCCCAGTTTTGGCCTCTCCCCCTATCCATCTTTCCCTCCTCAGGCACACATGTATAAAGAGAGAACTCCAAAGCCAAGCTCACCAAGCAGTCCAGTTAAATGAGGTCATCACTCTGAATAGTCTCCCTGTTGTAGTCTCTTATCTATGAGTGTGGAAGTCCAGAGGGCCCTGATATGGTCCCCCACAGGCCTTGGCAGCCACATCCTCATGGCTTTACTGGGTGTAGCCCATGTGGCTGCTCATATGGGTTGGAGTTTTGTGCCTGAAGCTTTCCCAGGCAGGTGTTGTATGCCACTGATGACTCCACAGTTCTGACATATCAGTGATGGCCCGGCCCCCACAGCTCCACTAAGCAGTGCCCTAGTGGTGACTCTCTGTGACAGGTCCCACCCAACATCTCCACTAGGCATTGCTCTAATGGGGGATCTCTGCAGTAGCTATGTCCCTGTGACAAGTCTCTGCCTGGCCCCCCAGGCTTTCAGCAACACTCTTTGAAATCTAGGTGAAAGCTGCCATATCTCTATAGTTTTTGCATTCTATGGACCTGCAGAATCAACACCATGTGGATGCTGCGAAGGTTTATAACTTTTACCTTCCAGAATAGTGGGGCCACTTGAGCCACCACTGGGGTAGCTGAGGAGCACTGTGCTGCAGTGTAGGGAACAGAGACCCAAGGGGATCCTGGGAGGCAAGTCCGTGGAGGGCACCCTTGGGTCTGACCTCCCAGACCATTCTGTCCTCCTAGGCTGCTGGGCCTGTGATGATAGGGGCAGCCTTGAAAATCTCTGAAATGCCTTTGAAGTCCTTCTTCCATTCTTTTGATGATCTCTTCTCTCTGTACTAACCTCCTTAGCAAAAAATTGCTGGGCCACACCCTTGGTTTTCTCTCCCAAACACTTTTTTACTCTTCACATGGCCAGGCTGAGAGTTTTCCACATCTTTCCATTTTGCTTCCTTTTTGATTATAAATTCTATCTTTAAGTCATTTTTTTCCTTCTCACAGTTTAATGTGAGGGGTTAAAAGCAGCCATGCAGCAGCCTGAATGCTTTGCTGCTTAGATATTTCTTCCACCAGATATTCTAATGAATTGCTTTTAAGTTCTGCATTCCATAAAGCCCTAGGGCATGAACACAATGCACACAAGTTCTTTGCCAGTTTATAATAAAGATGGCCTTTACGCCAGTTTCTAATACCTTGTTTCTCGGTTCTTCTGAAGCCTCATAAGAATGACCTTTACTGTCCATATTTCTATCAGCATTCTGGTCAGAACCACTTAACCAATCCCTAAGGAGGTCCAAACTTTCCCTAGTCTTCTTGTCTTCTAAGCCCTCACAAGAATCTAGGCTTTTTCTAGCCTGCTCCTGCAAATTCTTCCAGCCTCCGCCCATTACTCAATTCCAAAGCCACTTCCACATTTTCAGATATTTGTTATCAGCAACAACCCCACTTCTTGGTATCAATTTTCTGTCTTAGTACATTGTCTGTTGCTTATAGCATAATACCAGAAACTAGGTAATTTATGAGAAAAAATATTTCTTCCAGCCCTGGAGCCTGGACAGTTCAAGGTCAAGGGACAACAAGTGGTGAAAACCTTGCTGGTGAGGACTCTCTGAAGAGTCCTGGGGCTGTGCAGGGCATCTCATGGTGAGGGGGATGAATGTGCTAGATTAGTTCTTTCTTTCTCATCTTATAGAGCCACCAGCCCCACTCCAATGATAACTTATTAATTCAGTAATCCGTGAATGGGTTAATCCATTCATGAGGGAAGCGACCTTTAGGTCCAATCACCTCTGAAAGGCCTTACCTGTCAAGTACTGCCACATTAAATTTCAATGTAAACTTTGGAGAAGATAAATATTCGAATCATAGTACCATCCTGGCTTGTCTGGGACTGAGGGGTTCCCTGGGAGACAAGCTTTTTTATTGTTAAAACCAGGAAAGTCCTGGATAAACTGGGATGAGTTGGTCATCCTACCAAGTGATGAGGGCGGATGTTATACCCTATGAGACTTTAGCCATGGAATAGCAATGCCATCTAAGGCAGAGAACAGAAGAGAGAAGGTCTTGAGAGAAGAGAAGGGATGAAGGGAAGAATCTCACCAAAGAAAGAGAGCATCTTCAGAAGAACAAGAGGTGAGAATGATCCCCGGACAATGAAAGCAAGTGTGTTGCTGCATCCCACGCCCAGCGCTTATGTCCCACCACCATCGTCAACAACACCGTGCCCAAGAGAAAGGCTGAAGGGGATGCTAAAGGAGATAAAGCCAAGGTGAAGGATGAACCACAGAGAAGATCCATGAGGTTTTCTGCTAAACCTGCTCCTCCAAAGCCAGAGCCCAAGCCTAAAAAGGCCCCTGCAAAGAAGGGAGAGAAGATACCCAAAGGGAAAAAGGGAAAAGCTGATGCTGGCGAGGAGGGGAATAACCCTGCAGAAAACGGAGATGCCAAAACAGACCAGGCACAGAAAGCTGAAGGTGCTGGAGGTGCCAAGTGAAGCATGTGCATTTTTTATAACTGTGTACTTTTGATGACTGTACAGCTTGAAATACTATTTTTATCAAGTTTTATAAAAATGCAGAATTTTGTTTTACTTTTTTTTTTAAAGCTATGCTATTAGCACACAGAACACTTCAGTGTTGTTTTAGGGAGAAGGGGCATATGTCACTAATAGAATGTCCCAAAAGCTGGATTGATGTGGGGAAAACACCTTTCCCTTCTAGCTTTGAGAGACTTCCTCTTGGCTCCCAGGAGGAGGGATTCCCTGACTTTGACACAGATGGTCACCTTGGCACAAAAGCCTTGTAGGATGGAAAAACAAATTTGTTTTTATGTCCTCTTCTCCCTTTCCATCCTTCAGCATAGACTTAACTCCCTTAAGCCCAGACATCTGTTGGGACCTGACCCCCAGTCATTGGTTACCAGTGTGTCAGGCAATCTGGACTTTCCAGTGATGCCACTGAGATGGCACCTGTCAAAACAGCGGTGGTTCCATTTCTAGACTGTGGATCTTCAGATAAATTCTGCCATTTTCATTTCACTTCCTGAAACTCAGGGTCGGCTTGTGAAAAGCTGTTAAACAACATGCTAAATGTGAAATGTCAACCCTCACTCTAAACTTTCCCTGTTCAGAGCATCAGACGAAAACTTCATTGGGTTTTATAGTGGCTTTCAGATTTTTGGTAGTCAATTGAAGAAGGGAGTTTAAAATTTGTTGTATACTGTTCATGATTGTCTGCCCATGTCCTGCCTGAAATACCATGATTGTTTATGGAAAGTATCTTTAATAAAGCTGGATACAGTTTGGCTTGGAAAGAAAAAGAAATAGAGCATCTTCTTTATGGTGAATTTCTATGTTAAGAAAAGGACGTTGGAAATTAATTTAGGAATTCCTTGAATGGTTGAAGATTGTAGGGAGATAGTCAAGTTGATGATTTCCAGTTTCTAAGCCAAAATCGGGAGATGATCTCAGAGGCAGTAAACTAGGAAACTCTCAAAAGTTAAATGGGGATCAGGATAATCTAAGGTCCCAGTGACTGAGAGATGTCCCTAAAGAGAATATTTCTAGCTGGTTAAAACTCAGCTTGTCAGGAGAGCCACAAAACCAGCCTCAGAGCCATCCCCTTAAAGTATTCCTTGCCTCAGATCACTTGGCTTCTAAGGACTCACAGTTCCATGTCCAAAGCATTACATATCCACCTCATCCCAGTTTTCTTCATTTTTACCTGAAAAAAAGGACCTGTTTAAAAATACATTATTTTTTTCATAAAACTCCCTTGAAAATAAAACAATATAAAATGAACTGTATTGTAGTTGTCGAGGTTAGAAAATCTAGTAACAGCCTGGCCCCAGGACCTGGCTGAAGCTCTTATTCCCCTGATCCTTCACTATTTTTACCTTTATACAGTTGTAGTAGGAAGGTGATAGTCTACAAGCCTACTAGACTGGATCAGGGCTTCCCATTTCACAGAAGTAGGATGGGACCTGCCTTCTCTGACGAAATTCTATAGAAATAATAGTAATGTTGATCATTATTTATTGAAGATACACACCATCTAGGCTGGCTTTGGACAAGCAACTCAACCCACGTCCCAGACCTCACATATTTCATAGAGATAATACAGTCATGTGCTGCATAACTATGTTTCGATCAATGATAGATTGCATATAAAAGGTGTTTCCATAAATTATAGTACCATATTTTTACTGTACATTTCTATGTTTAGATATGTTTTAATGTACAAATACTTCCTATTGTGTTATAATTGTCTACAGTATTGGACACAGTACCATGCTGTAAAGATTTGTAGCCTAGGAACAAGAGGCTATACCGTATAGCCTAAGTGTGTAGTAGGCTGTACCATTTAGGTCTGTGGAAGTAAACCCTTATGATGTTCACACAACAATGAAAAACTGCTTAAAATGCATTTCTCAGAAAATATTCTTGTTATTACATGATGCATGACTGTACCTACCTAATAGGACTGTCCCAAAGAATAAAATGAACTAGTGCTTCAAACCTTGCCAAAGCTCTATACCATATTAGGGGACCTGCGAAAATTGCCACATGGCTGTGATGTTCCCTGAGAACCCTAAGTCCTGGAAATGTCAGTATTAGTCAGGACAGTGAGACTTCAAGTCACCACCTGAACACTAAATGACAGGGTCCACAGCTCCAACTGTAGGACCACTGATCTAGAGCGAGACAATCCCCATAGTCCCACTGAAAATTGCTTTCATAGGAACTGACAAGGTTTGTGAAATCTCTGTTGCTTTCCAGTGAGGGGAGTGAAAATAGTTTGGCAGAACTGCAGGGAAAGACCCATCTAGGCATAGGGTCAGTGACCGGAGATGAGGACTCTTGGGGCAGAGGCAGAGGCAGAACCATGTGTTCGGCACAAGTTCTGCACTTGCAGAACCCTGCAGACTCCAAGGCTGCATCTCTGAAATAAAGAGAGATCCCCAGCCTACAGGATGGGGCCATAAGCCTTCCAAAACTCAGGTATTGACAACCATGCATGTGTTGAGAGTATGGATATATAGATATCAATGTTGTTTTAGGGTTTGAGGTTTTTTTGTTTTTTGAGTTTGTTTGTTTGTTTTTTGCCTTTTCTTACAGTAGTTGTTGTATTAACCATTGTTTAGTCCGGGAAACAGAAGCAACACTAGTTATCTTATCAGCAAGGATTTGATGTAGGTAATTGGGTAGGTAGATGCTGGAAGCCTAGGAAAGTCAGAGGTAAGGTAAAGGTAGCAATTGCAGGAAGCATGTTCACCCTCAAGGCTGGGGAAACAAAAGGGAAAGTTTGTGGTTCTAGGAAGCTAGAAGCTTTAAGAGTCAGGGTTTAGACTATAGAACAGGGTTCATTGACTGGATGGTTGAACAGCTCAGGAGCTTGGAGAAGAGGCCTTTAATACTAGGACTTCCAATGAGAAAAGGAGCCCTTGCCTAACATGGCAGACACTGCTAAGGGATGTGACAAGGTTAGCTGACGGAATGTGGAAAGTATCTGGGGAAAGGAGCCAATGTTGTTGTTTCTTGGTGACATGGGAGAAATAGGAAGTGCAGAAGAAAGGGCAGATCCCTTCTCCCTTCCTCTACTTTCCAGTCCTTCTGGCCGAACCTAATTGAGAGCCAGCTAGCACAGGAGAAATGCAGTTTTCAGAATCACAGCCCCAGCATCACAACAGAGAAGAACAGAGAGGATTTGGAGCTGAGGCAGCTCCTTAATCCACAGTGCATTTGTGGAGCTGAATCTTTTTACACTTTTATTAGTTGTTCATGTTTCTTCTGTGATTTTCCTGTTCCTATCCAAATGCTATCTTTCTTAAATATAACACCACACTGACTTGTATGAATACATTGTGATAATCCTTTTTTATATGTATACACACTGTATATACATACACACTATATATATACATACTGTATATATACACACATATACATACAGATTAGTAAGATATACTGTGCACACATGCCATATATAATACATGCAATTATATATATGCAATTGTATATGGGGGGTGTGCACAGTATATGTATTGTGCGCACAGTATATCTATTACATATGGCGAGTATGCACAGTATATCTTGCTATATATATGTATTATAGATCATGCATGTCCTCTAGATCAACATTTGCTAAATGAATAGGTAAATGTTCACTTATTCTTTTGCTTGATCCACCTCCAGTTTCTGTTGTGGGTAGGCTACAGGCTGCTATGGAAATCACAAAAAGCAGCAATAGCCTTTATTTATAAATAAAAAGATGACTATTTTAAAATACTAATAATTAACCCTAGAAAACCTTTTACAAAGCAGATGGGAGGTTGATGCATGGTTGGTGGAAATCCGGATGCTCTAGTCCCTTGCCCTGGCTCCACTGCCACCCTCCTGCCCTGCCCCTGCTCTGCCTCTTGGCAATAGGACTACTGGAGGTGGGCTGTGGGGGGAAGATCATGGGAATCCTAGAGTCATCAGCTAAGCCAGAGAGGAGTCTTTATGCATAAAGATTTGTGCAAATCCTGACCCTGGACCAGTGTTTATAAAAGAGAATTTCTAAAAAAGCCAAGTGGTGCTCAACCATTCCCAGCTGGGAGTTTCTTCCCTGGGAAGATAAAGCTGGAACTGAAACTACAGGAATAATTATATTTTAAATTGAGGAACTAGGAAGAGAAAATAAGCAGAAGCATTAAGGAGTTACCTCTTGGCTTATAAAATAATGTTAGAGGTTTGTGGAATAAAGCTGATTATGGAATCTGGAAACAAGACCTAGGCCATTTAACTTGCAAAACAGGCCTCAGCCTCTGAGCAGGGCCCAGTGCAGCCAAGCTAAAGTCACCCATATGCTGGAAGCCCACGTGAGCTTGGATAGGAATGTTCTAGATTTCCTTTAGCAAAATGTATTCTTCATGAGGTATTGGTGGAAAATAACATTGCAGGGCTCTGGAATATTCTGTTTATACAATTAGAGACAAAAAGGAAGAAGAAAGTTCTGATAGTTTGCCAAGAATCCTTTCTCTCCCTCAGAGAATTTTATCTGAGTCCTCCTCAAGAGGGAAGCGGGAGAGAAGAAAAGAGCCGAAAATGCAGCTCCTCCTGCCTTAGGTCATAAGTGTTAAAATACCACAAAAAGCCAAGGACTCCAAAAGTTCCACCTCAGATGACTTAAGCAGCAAAATAGCTAAAGAAGGAAAAATAAAAGTGGTGGGAGTGGGGAGGGACCCTTAGAGAATCTGGAGAAGAAATGGACCCCCCAGAACCAAGCCAGGGTGATGCTGCTAAGCAAAGACACAGGGAGGCCAGCCCTGCCAAAGCACTGAACTCTGAACAGATACAATAACAAATAGTCCATGCACAAAGAGGAGGGAACTTCTACTCTCAAAAATACGGGGGTTGTAGGAACTCACAATGAATACTACAAATACTGGAAACATAAGCACAAGTTCCCATGATGGTATCCTATTCGAGTGCCAAAGTGTTTAGGCAAATATGAGTGACAGGGGAAAACTACTGTACAATTTATCCTCAAAGAACAAAATTAGGTCAAATTCTAAAGTGAAAACTTGGCCATCTTTTGGGGACTTCTGTTGGAAATATTTTGTTGTTTTTCTTTGCTTTTGTTGTAGATGACAGTTAATAAAAAGTCAGGCCAGGCATGATGGCTCATACCTGTAGTCCCAGCACTTTAGGAAGCCAAGCTGGGAAGACTGCTTGAGGCCAAGAGTTCAAGGCCAGCCTGGGCAGCATAACTAGACCCTATCTCTACAAAAAAAAAATTAAAATTAGCCAGGCTTGGTGGTGTTAGCCTGTAGTCCCAGCTACTTCGGAGGCTGAGGCAGGAGGATCCCTTGAGCCCAGGAATTCAAAGCTGCAGTGAGCTATGATCATACCACTGCACTCCAGCCTGGGATACAGAGCAAGACTCTGTCTCTTAAAAAAAAAAAAAAAAAAAAATCTGAAGACAAAACCCGATAAATGAATGTATTACATAGTGCTTAAAAAAACAACCAAGGAACTCTGGGAGGAAGAGAGGAGGTCAGAAGGAAAATGGCCCAGAATAGACACTACTTATTCCCTGAAAGTCTAGGACTAAAGCCCCAGCTCAGAGAAAGTTTGAAGCAACCACAGCGGTAGGGTTCCAAGCATGATCTTTCAAGTATGGTGTACAAAGGTGATCCACAGGTGTATGGGAAGAGAATGTTAGATCATCCACTTCTGTTTATCAAAAAAGGACAGAAATTAATACTTTATTTAATATATGAATTGACACTGGAGGTCTCCCTCAGTCACTATGTCAGCCAGATGTCACTCGGGCTCTGTGGCTTGACTCGTTCACAGTATGCAGAGGCTGGCAGTAGAACTCCATTATTCACGCTGCCTTGCAGTGTGACCGGTTAAGTGGATAGGCTGAGTATACAGGCTAGTTTTAGATGAATACTAAAAACATTCCTGCAAAGAAACAGTTATTGAAGATAATTCTAAGTATTGAAATACAAGTGAACAAAAAAACAGCCTAGCTGATACTTCTCCTGCTCCGTCCTTATTAAGCACTTGAAATGTCACTAGAGTGGCTGAGGAACCGAAGTTCAAATTCTATTAATTTTAATTAATGTAAATATATATTTAAAATCTGATATGTGATTCCATTACTGTAAAACTTTTAAGTATATGTGGAACCACTTGAGTATATGAATCTATTCTGGCAACTATAAAGTTTGTGAAACTGAAATGCAATTAAGAATTCCAATGATTATTTTTTAGCATTGGAATTGAGGTGTGCTGTAAGTGTGAAATACACACAGGAGTTCAAAGACTTGGTAAGAAAAAAGAATATAAAGTATCTAATAATTTTTATATTGTTACATGTTGAAATGGTAATGCTTTTAATATAATGGAATTAAAAATATATATTATAAAAATTAATTTTACCATTTAAGAGTTTTTTGATGTTTCTACAAGAAAATTTAAAATTAAAATTCTGCAAGAAAATTTAAAACTAAAATTACATTATTTTAATTATATTGTCTTTATAGTGTTTTCATATTATCTTTTATAGTGTCTTACATCATCTGTCTACTGGATAGCACTGGTAGAGAGGACTTCTTTGCCCTATACCAGGTCACTCATCCTTGGTAGCCCTGGAGGGTCTTGAAAAATGCACAACCTTATCTACCTATACTGGAGTTTTTTGTTTCATAGTAAGATTACCAGAAAAATAGAAAACATACCCAACATGGGCACAAAAACTGCTGGGGTCATTTTCTCTGTGCCAGATGTGAGCTGCCAATATCATCATTTCCATTGGCAAAGCCCTTCAAACTTTAAAACAAAATGTAATTACTTTTACACACCCTTCCCCTTCCTACCTCATGAGACTATTATGAAGCTGAAGAGAGAATGTGAAAATTCTGTGACATTGGAACAAGGGATGATTAAAATATCAGCCAAGTAAACACTTTCCAACAGTTACTACCTCTGACCTTCACACTTATGTGGGGGCAATATTCCCATTTCATAGGTGAGGAAACTGTGGCAGAGAGAGGCTAGGTCCTTTCCCTGAGTCACACAGACAGCAGGTGGTGGGGCTGACATCTAGACCTCTACTCTGACCTATCAGAGAGTCATTGACACTGGTGGAGTGGACAAGAGACCTCACCCTCTGGAAACAATTTTCAAATGAGAAACTGTCTGGAAGTCTCTCTGCTTCTCTGATCTGCAGGCTGGCCTCTCCAGTCCTTGGTGAGCAGCTTCTCTGCATGGGAGCAACAGTTCCCATGACAGCTGCAGGGAACCATGGGAAAAGGGGAAAAAAACTTCCTGAATGCACTCATTGTCTTTCCAGACATTTCCGGCAGGAGGGTTGGTTCTTGGGAAACAAGACCTCATTCTTAAACTGGCTCTGCACACTCAGGTATGTGCCAAAGTGGCATCAGCATGGCCAACAACCACTTATTTGTCTAAAGCAACAGATGACTCGCTGGGGCTACTTGAACTTCTGGCCGGGAAGCTGACCCCACTCTTACTGCCCACAGAACCTCCAGGTTCCTCTGATAGGTCAGCGGGAGGGTGACCTTCAGCCCCAAATGCCTGTTTCTTCCCTTCCCAGTCATGACCAGTGGCAGGCCTGGCACGGGTGGTGGAGAAGGACAATATTCACTTCCAACGGTCAGTGGTTGTACACAGGGCCCTTCCCAAGCCATGGATTCCAGGCCCAGCCCTCCTTTCTGAAAGGTGGTAGTTTGACTTGGAATGAGATGCGCCTGCACCTGCCAAGTTCAACACACAGTGAAGAGAAACACAGCTCAATCCCCAAAGGCCCCGCCTAAGGCAAGGCAGAGACAGGGCAGTTCATCTGGAGAACAAGGGGGGTGAGCCAGGTTCCAGCACAGTCGATGCAGATGGGAATGGGGAGGCATGGGGAGGGAGTAAAGAGCTATGAACTGAGGCTCTGGGAGCGGGGATGGAAGGAGGTGGGTCGAGTTCCCACTCCTGCCCACCTCCTTTTTCATCTACTTTCCCTTTGGCCTTAAAATAACCCCATAAGTTTTGATTGATGTTTTTTGTTGTTTTAACTGGTTGTCCTCAGGGAGGGTTTTCAGAAAGAGCAGCAGCGTTTCCAGGAGCTGGCAGGGCCTCAGAGTGAAGCAAGCTCGCCCACACCCACTCCCTTCCTCACCAAGCACCAGGCAGCTCAGCCAAGGACTTCCTTCTCCTCCCCCCTGGCTTCCTCCCCTTCTCTCTCACCATTTCACCCAGGGGGGAAAAGCTCCAAGTTTTAAAAGAGTCAGCTCAAACCAGCAGCATACTTGAAATATAGAGGAAAGCCCTGCTAGGATGTCCAACAGCTCTGTGTTGTGTGACCTGGGTCGGGGAGATGGGGAGGACAGAACTGACCACAGATACCCGACCTCTAGATGAGTCCTACCCCCTAATATAATCAATGGCTTTGACCTCCTTGAAGAGCTGTTTAAAAGATTTCACATCAGCTGACTTGAGTTTCAGCCCCTGCTGTCTAATGGAAATGAATAAAAGACCCCAGGTAATAGCCCACCTTAATAGTTGCCATCTTGATAACAGAAGGGGGTTTGTAGGGCTGTTTCTGGATCTGGCAGAAACTGATCTGGGTCACTAAATGGCTTTACAGTTACAGCTGGTCTTCATTAATTATTAGATAGTTGCTAGTTAGACCAATTTGAACACTTCTAAGAGCAGCTTAATGGTTGTTTATTAAACTCTCTCCAATTATGACTGCTTAGCATATCAAAAGGCTGGGAAAATACCCCCAGGTAACCTTGGGAAGAGAAGGCAGGCACAGGTACAATGGGTGACTTTGCTGGGCTTAACAAAGATCCCAGAAAAAGAGCAAATTCAAATGAAGGTGAAAGTCACCCTTTAAATAAACCATGGACTGAAACAAATGCTAAAGAGTAAACCATTGCACAGTTCAACAACTCCCTCCCTCTTCTGGGTAATTGAAAATACTGTAACATTGTTTTGCACTTGGACTCAGTATTATGAAGTTTCTATGGTGGTGAGGAGTAAACCCTCATATGTACATATTTACAAGGTTGTGAACACTAAACCCTGCATACTGTACCTTCTGAGCAAGTTAAATGATTTTAATCCCTGATAGTCACCAATCTTGATTTTTACCTTATACTGTCTTTAGAATGTAACATTTAAATAGAGACGGGATCCCACTGTGCTACCAGTAATATCTGCATTGAGATTTTACTGTATGCCAGGAACTTTACAAGCATATTCATTTAATCCTTAGAATACCTTTTGAGTTTTGTTATTATCTCAGTTTTACAAATGAAGCACTAAGGTTCAGAGAGGCTTTGGTAACATGCCAAGTTCACAGAGTTTAAAAATGCCGAAAGTCAAGACTTACTCAATGGGCATCAAACTCCGGATCCCATGGCTTAATCTCTATGCTATAGTTCCCTAGTCTGATGGTCAACTTCTGATCTTCCAAATCAGAAAACTCCATCAGAGAGTCAAAACTTTAAATCAGTAGTCAATATTGAAAGCTTTGTCTCTCTGATGGAGTTTTCTGATTTGGAGGGAACAAGTATTGTTGGGACACTGCCCAGATCCCCCTCAGATCCCTTTTACTGAGTCTCTGTTCATCTCCCCCAGCTTCAATGAGCTTTTGCCTTTGTATTTGTCCTATTGCTTCTGTAACAAATTGCCACCTTCTTTTTCTTTTCCTTTTTTTTTTAGACAGAGTCTTACTCTGTCTCCCAGGCTGGAGTGCAGTGGCATGATCTCAGCTCACTGCAACCTCTGCCTCCCAGGTTCAAGTGCTTCTCGTGCCTCAGTCTCCTGAGTAGCTGGGACTACAAGCACCCACAACCACGCCTGGCTAATTTTTGTATTTTCAATAGAGACGGGGCTTCACCATGTTGGCCAGGCTGGTCTCGAACTCCTGACCTCAGGTGATCCACCCGCCTTGGCCTCTCAAAGTGCTGGGATTACAGGCGTGAGCCACCGCACCCGGCCACCACCTTCTTTGTGGTTTGAAATAACATAAACTTATTATCTAACAGTTCTGGAAATCAGAAGTCCCAAATGGGTCCCATGGGGCTAAAATCAAGGTGTTGGCAGGGCTACATTCCTTCTAGAGGATCTAGGAGAGAACCCATTTCCTTGTCTTTTCCAGCTTCTAGAGGCTGCCTACAGTCCCTTTCCATCTTCAAAGCCAGCAATCAAATCACTCTGACCTCTGCTTCTGTCATCATATCATCTTCTCTGACTCATCCACCTCCCTCTTTCTCATATAATGACTTTGTGATTGCATTGAACCCACCTGGATAACCCAGGATGATCTCTCTATCTCAAGATTCTTAGTTTAATCACATCTGCAAGGTCTTTTTTTTTTTTTTTTTTTTTGGGGACAGGGTTCCATTCTGTCACCCAGGCTGTAGTGCAGTGGCATGATCACAGCTCACTGCAGCCTCAACCTCCCCAGCTCAGGTGATCCTCCCACCTCAGCCTCTGAGGTAGCTGGGACTATAAGTGTGCATCACCACACCCAGCTAATTTTTTGTACTTTTCGTAGATATGGTATTTCACCATGTTGCCCAGGCTGGTCTTGAACTCCTGGACTCAAGCTATCCATTAAGATAATGCACAGGTTCCCGGGATTAGATGTGGACAGGTTTCAGAGCCATTATTCTTCCTAACACAGCATCTAATGACTGCAGCTGTTTCTCTCTTCCAAGGACTTTCCTTGGGCTCTTGATACCATTTTTCCCACAAGCAGATAGCTGCAAGTATTTCAGTTACAACATGTCCAGGCTTTCCCCAGACTGAGGGGTTTCCTGGGCCATGGGACTTTCAGTCCTAAAGCCAGGATAGTCCTGGACCAACTAAGGTGGTTGGTTACTCAATCCCAGATCAGACCTTAGCCAGTGACCGACAGTGCTGGACTACATAAACTTAGCTCCTTTGCCTCAAGTTTGGACAAACTCTGAGAGATAATTTACACTTCAGAGTTCCCCTATAGGATTAGGCTGTAGCTGCTGTCTTTGCCTAACATTCCACCCCTTACTAACTTCCCTCCCTTCCCTGTCTTTCTTTCCCATTCCCACACTAGTTCTACTGGAAGCAGTTTCTTAACAAACCACCTGCATACCAATCTTCATCTCAAGGCCTGCATCTGTGGTGACCAGCTTAAGAAGGAAGGTTATAGTAGCTTTGTTATCATTTATTCAACAAACATTATTGAACTCCTTTAATATATCAGGTACTAACCCAGGGATCAAAAGTCAAACAGAAGCTAATTTCAGTCCTTATGAAGCTCACAAAAAAGTAAGGAGACAATAGAGGAGAACCAATAATACATTTTGTTAAGCAAGAGAGGCATCCAATGAACACCACGGTAAGCAAAAGAAGGGCACAGACTACTGCAAGGGAAGAGGCGTAGACAGGGGCTGATGATTAAAGAAGCTTGGACTTTATTTTAAAAGCTGCACAGAGCCACTAAAAGAGACACACATTTCAACAAATTTTTGCAAATCAGAAAGCAGTTAGTAGAGAGGTGACTGAGAGTTTCCTGTCTACCTAAGGGTCTACAAATCTAACATTCTAAAATGAAAATATGATTATGCCACTTATCTGTTTGGTGTCATCCACAAAGATCACTCTTCTGGTGGGACCTCCAATTTAATCCAAAGTCTTTATCACATGTGTGCATCTCCTGTTCTTTCTGTTACTCCTTTGTAAAAGATTTTTAAATATACAGACTCATAAAGGAAAGAGAGATATCAGCAGAATATCAACAAATTATTTAAGAAAATGAAGTCATTACAGGACTGGTCATTGAGTTGGGAGTCCAAACGAAGCTACCAGAGAAGGTATCTGCAGAGGAAAATCTGTAAACAATAAAGTTATGCTTCTGGTCCTCTATCCCATCCAAGGAGAAGGGAGTTTGGTCTTTGAATGAATTAAAGTCAAGGGTTTCAGAGTTCAAGATCTCAAGAAGGGAGGAGGCCCAGAAATGTGACACATGGCTACAAACAGGTGGATAAGTTGAAAAAAAAAAAACAAAAACCTATATTCTGAAAACTATTTTCTATTTCCAGTCTCCCTCCCCCGGCACACATACACACCCTTCCCTAATTATTCATTTATAAACCCCAGGCAAGAGGTGAATACTGTTTTTGAGAAACTGAATGCCTCAAAGGAAAAGATCACTGGATACTGACATTTCAGGGTTCCTCGCTATCTTACAATAAAGCCACTATCTTATACTATTCACAACAAGCACCAACAGTTTACCTAAACATTCAATCAGTTCCTTCATCCCTTGGGTGTCTTACTCTTAGTTATATACTCATCCCCCAAGGATCAAGAAATGTTGACAAAATCCCACAACATGAGAAAGAACAAAACCAACAGAAAGTAGGTGCTTAGAGGAAACAGACATACTTTGGAGGAATTAAGCAATATGCATTTAAAAATCTCTCTGAAGGCAGAACACAAAAACAAAGGTAGAAAAGAGAAAAGAATATTAAAGAATCTTACTAGAAGGTCCAACATTTGAATAAGGAGTTACAGAAAGAGAAAACAGAAAATAGAAATCGTCAAAGAAATAATTAAAGAAATAACCAGAACTGAAAAATAAGCAAACAAATGAAAGGTCCACCAACAGCCTACCATGATAATTGAAAAAAGATTCATTATACAGGGTGTTATTGTAAAATGTCAGAGTCTCAAGGATAAAGTGAAGATTCCAAAGCATTCAGAGAGAATATAAATAGGTATTTGCAAAGGCCACAGTGAAACATAGAAGATGCAGGAGGACTACGCTGCAAACATTTGAGGAGAAATTATTCTCAATCTGGAATTCTATGCCTGGGCAATCATGTGTTAGTATAAAATAATTTTCATTAATGCAAGGAGCCTAATAACTTATATCCCATGCCTTTTCTAAGAAAGCTACCACAAATGTACTTTTTAAAAATGAGGTCAAAAATGAAGAAAAAGGAAAACATGGAACCCAAGAAAGAGTGGATCCAAAAAAAGAATCACAGTTATGCAGCAATTTCAGAGAATGACCATTTCAGGAGGAGCATACAAATAGAACCAATACTTGTTCTTTGGTTGTTCTTTCTTATACCTCCAACTATTGGGAAAATCATCTTAATACACTGACAGATCTGATGAAGCATTTGAGAAAAAAATTAAAGATATGCACAGACAAAGGCTAGCAAATGGAAAAAGGGACAATTATTAACTCTAGGAAAAAAATAAGAAAGGAAATACAATGCCCTACTGTATTCTGCAATGAACAATATTTGTACCCCTAAGAATATAAGCTTTGACTATTGAATAAACCAAAATCTTGATAAGCACATAGATGACCAAATAGGGAGAGGCATAGTTGGTGTCATGGGCTGAATAGTGTCCAAAATTCATACTTTGAAGTCCTAACCCTAAGAACCTCAGAATGTGACTATTTGGAGATAGGGTTTTGAAAGAGGTATTAATAATTAAGGTTAAGTGAGGTCATGATGGTAGGTCCTCATCCAGTGACTGTTGTCCTTACAAAAAGAGGAGATTAGAACAAAGAAACATACAGGAGAAAACCATATGATGACATCGAAAGAAGATGGCCTTCTACAAGCCAAGGAGAAAGGCCTCAGAATGAAACCAACCCTGCTAAGACATTGATCTTGGACTCCTAGCCTCCAGAATTGTAAGGAAATAAATTTCTGTTGTTTAAGCCACCTAGTCTATGGTACTTTGTTATGGCATCCCTAGCAAACTAATACAGTTGGAAAAGATGTAAGATGACCAAATCTTCATAAATTATAATAGGAAGTCAACACACTAAAATGTCCAAAATTATAAATCAAGATATGAAGCTAAGCATGTTATTTGAAATAAAGAAAGAAATATAATTTTTAAAAGCTAAAAGCATTTAAAGAGTTGCCCCTGGGGAGTGGAATGAGGGCAGAGGATTCATACTACACATGCACAATCCACAATTTTGAATCCATAGAGCCAAATGTAGTTCAGAATTCTAACATTTTCTGATTTCTAAGAGGGAATATCATGCACATACTCATCATACTTACTCCCATCAAGGTGTGGGGAAGCATGCTGTATTCAATGCAATATTTTTGCAATGAAACTAAATTTAGGTCAAGTTTTGCCACCAGAATAAGCTTTGGTGCCAGAAGTGCCAAAAAATCCGTTTCAAAGCTTTTTTTATTTTTAAAAAATACAGACCAGTGACTGTAGACTTTATTTGATATTTTTAACTCTATACAGTACTTTGAGAAATATCAAAATCATTTTTTAAAAGCTCATTCTGGTAGACAGGTAGAGGAAGATTTGGGGAGTGGGAGTACATAGGAGAGGAAGACTGGAGTCAGACACTGATGACAAGGCTATTGCAATAATGAGGCAACCAGATTGAAGGATCTGAACTAAAGCATCTGTGTTTGGTAGAGAAAGAAAGAAATAGATCTGAGAGATGTTGAGGAGATGGAATTGCAGCCTTTGTCAACAAATCAAATGGGACAGGTGAAAAAGAAGGAATCGTCCTGGACAAAGCTTAAGTTCTTGATGTGGGAAATTGAATACGTGGAATTGTCATTAATTGATCAAAGAATACAGGAGGTTTGGAGGGCAAAGGGAGAGGTGAGGCTTCGGCCTGTCAGGTTTCCATTAGGAGACGTTTAGGAGGCATTTGGAAACATTTGTGCAAATTATGCAGATTTTACCTAACCAGCGACAGGGTTCCTAAAGGTAGGGAGCAGGGAGAGCAAAGGAGGGGTGAGATTTGAAGCTCCAGCCCTAGTCTCTGCTTCGCTTTCTCTTCTCAACGAAGTCTTGTCCTAGGGAATAAAGTAACCAAACCCCTGCATTTGGTACTCCAAGTTGCCATCCCGCAGCTCTGAGAGGCACCTGACATGGCTGTAGATGCCCCTTGGATGTTTTCTCATAAGAAAAGGAAATAGCTTCCCAGAAAAGCCAATTCTAGGGTTCAGTTAATGGCTGGAGTGATAATTGACAACTCCCTTTGATAAGAGAAGCTGAAAATAACTCATTTTCTTCTATCTCCACAGATCAAAACTGGGGAAATTGTCAGAAAGAAACCACCACTCAAAAAAGTGCCAGAATTAAATTGTTTCAGGGGAGAGTTATTTCTAAATCAAACCTCATATGCTCTTTAGGCCACATCAGAGAATAAGGAAGGAAAGAAGGAAAGCATCTCTATTCTTTTAAAGACACTGATGTAGTGCCAATATCAGAATTTGTCCATGATAATTTTTTTAAAAACACTCCAGGATTGGTAAATATCCATGAAAAGTCAAACATAATATTAGCAATATAATCTGAGAGTATTTTAAGTTAATTCAAAATTAGGAAATCTAGCAATATATTTCTTCACATTAAACGAAAGAGGGAAACCATGTGGCCTTCTTGAGATATTTCAAAAAAGCATAACATCCAGATTTTTTAAAAGTTCAAAACAGTTGGAGGCTGAGGTGGGCCGATCACGAGGTCAGGAGATTAAGACCATCCTGGCTAACACGGTGAAACCCCGTCTCTACTAAAAATACAAAAAATTAGCCAGGCATGGTGGCGGGCGCCTGTAGTCCCAGCTACTCAGGAGGCTGAGGCAGGAGAATGGCGTGAACCCAGGAGGTGGAGCTTGCAGTGAGCCAAGATTGCACCACTGCAGTCCAACATGGGGGACAGCGAGACTCCAGCTCAAAAAAAAAAAAAATTCAAAACAATTAATACTATATACATAAACAAATCCAATAGCTTGTATCCTGCTTAATGGTGAAACATAATCGTTGATTAGAGTCCCAAACAATATAAATAGGTTAAACAATAAAATAACTAAAAAGTAAAATAAGACACATTAATATTCTAAATGAGAAAGCAAGTTTACCATTATTTGCAGATACTGTCATTGCATTCCTCAAAAACCAAATACAATTAACTGAAAAACTGTTGAAAATAATAAGCAAATTCAATAAAGTGATCATTTACAAAGTAAATGCAGAAAGTTGGCAGGTTTCTTACATACCAAGAATAAAAATCAAATGCACTTAGAAAATGCAATACAAAATGAGATCTCTCACATTTATATATGATATATATGAATAAATTCAACAAATATGTACAAGACCTATAAGATGAAAACTATAAAAAAACATAGAACTATGTGGACAGGCATGCCATGTTCTCAAACGAGAAGAGTAAAAGCTGTCCATTCTCCCAAAATCTGTAAAGTGAACCACTGTCAACCAAAATTCCTAGATAAACTTTTCACAAACTGACAAAATGATCCCAAGCTCATCTGGGAAACCAAATATGTAAGGGGAGTGAAAATATTCACAAAAGAAGACTATTGACAGGGCTTTGCTCTATCAAATATTAAATGTGCTATAAATCTATATTTATTAAATCAAGAATGAATGAATAGATAGACTGAACAATGGAACAAAATAGAAGGTTGTGTATTTGAAGTGTGGACTTTCAAATCAGAGACTCATTTAGGAAAAAAAATATATATATATATAATTGCCTTTCTTCTTTCATAAAACAAAAAACCTTTTCTTAAGTTCTCTTCCTAATTACTTTCACTTAAATCTTCAACTGCTACTGAAAAACCCATTGTAACCTTAATTATTTTATTAATTCTTAAATACAAACCTATGAGACGGGTGTTATTCTGTTCTCGATTTTACAAATAGAAAAACTAAAGACTAGAAAGTGTAAGAAACTTGCCCAAGTAAGGTAGTAGATCTGAGAATGAAAGCCAGGTCAAGGAGCCTCCAACACTCATTTAGAGGCCCATTCCTACCCCAATCCCTCGTTGCCTCACAAGGTAGAGGCCAGGTATACCCCGTTTGAGAGTTTATCTCAGTGAGTCACATCTGTAATGCTGGTATGTCATGACGAAAACAAATCTTTCCTTAACCAATGCCCCAGGATTTGCAAGGTAATTACAGATGAAAATACCTGAAACATACATGGGTTCTGCTAACTATAAAACATCTTATCACCATATCATACCATTTTTGGAAAACATCTGTTTTGAAATTCTATCTCTGACCATACATGCTGCACCAGAAAATGTTATGTATGTTATTCAACTGAAAGTGATTCAAATGGCCTTCTCTGCCTATGTCACTCACCCAGTGAGTCGCCATTATGCAAATGGGGCAAGTCCAGACTTCTCAACCCTATCTAATAGCCTCAGCAGATCAATCCCTTTCCATGCAGCCTTTAAAGATTTAATCACCAGGCCCTCTTGTATGCACACATCCCTAACAGTGCACTTGTCACATTCCATTCTAAAGGTTTTTCTGCTTATCTACTTATAGAATCTCTGAGAAGAGGAACTCATATTTATATTCCTGAAAACTGTGAAGGTGCCTGACACTTGGTAGGTATTTAATGTTTGTTAAATGAATGGATGGGTGATGAATAAATGATAGACAAATAGATAAAGAATTACACTTTAGACCAGAACAGAACAGGAGCCAACTCCCAGAGAAGACAGTAGAGGGCTGACTGTGAAAATGGCCACTTCCCCATTGCTATCTTTTCATTCATAAAGTGAGACTGGGAGCTCCCCTGTTACATATCTCTCTTACTACAACACACTATGCCACAGATACGTTTTTACATGTCTACTTGTCACAATTTGCCCTTTTGCTCATTCTCAGAAGGGGCTGTGTCTTTGTGTACATTTATATCTCCAGCAACTGGATCAAAGTCTAGAACAAAGTAGGAATGCAGTGTTCACTGCTTCAAAGCATGAATTAATGATTCAATGAGTTTTGTTCTCCTACTCTATCAAAAGCCCAAACATGAGACCCAGAATGACAGTCCTCTGACAGAGCGATGATCTGGAACCTATGCATTTTCTGCAGTTAACTTGGCCTGTGTCTCTCTCCTCTCTCCCCTTCAGGACATCTAGGAACACCAGATAGTGGCTGAGAGTGTTGGGAGGATCTTGGTTACACTGACTGGAAAGTGAGGTAACCATGTTGATCTAGCCTAGGTAGCATTTACAAAACATCTTTCATGTCCCGTTGGTCATTCAGGACTATGGCCAACAGAAGAAATAATGTTGTACTAAGAGGAAAAACAAATTAAAAAGAAACAAAGCTGAAGCATGCAGTTTAGCTGCAAGCCAAGAACACTTCCTTTTTAACAAAATTTGGGGCAATGGGCATGAACCCAACTTTCAGAGGCTGCAGATGCTATGTCAGAGTGGCCATCTGGAGGGAAAGTTCTCCATTTCAAGCTCTGCTGTCAGTCAGAAGAGGCCAAAGAGCTCAATCAGAAGCTGGGAGATAATTATTATTGAGCCTTTTGGAGAAATTCAATCTTAATATAATTATAGTAAGTATTGCTATTATTTAATCTTAAGGGGTCTAAAATTGTTCCAAGCCATTGTTATTCTTTGTTTTTCTAATAATAGTCTTCCTTTGCTAATACTAAGCTAGGAAATTTGTGGAAGTCACTTGTAGTTGTTTTCTGTTCATAAAATTGCATAAAATTCCCAAAGAAATTCATTAACCAGGATTTTTTTTAGAGCAAAAAACTCATATTTAAAAAAATAGATTCAGGTAGAGGCTACCACTAGGCCTTTCTCTATAACCTAGGAATAAGGTAACATAGTTCAACATGGTCTCAAAAGATCCTTCTTTATTTAAATTTAAATTCCTTATATCAATTCTAAAGCCCTTTTAGCAAATCTAGAGCCCCAAACTACCAGAGTACTCTCACTTTGTCTATGGTAAAGAATTGAGGTGACTCTATACCCAAATCAATGCAAATGTAATTTAGGATGTATAAAACTATTCTCTGTGTATACACACACACACACACACACACACACACACACAGTTTTTCTATCATCTTAGTAATAACTTGCTCTGAAGCTTTTTTCTTCTACTATCAGTTGGTACTGGATCCTTTTAACTTTCTTTCCTAGGTATTTTTCAATTCACTGATCAGCTTAAATTACTCCTAAACTAATGACAAATCCTCCTTAAACCTAATTACAAAGACTGACACTGACTAATATACCAAACCACTCACTATGGCCACAAATATGAAGGGAGAGGCAAGATCAATGGACATTTACTTAATCAGGATTTTTAAGTCAAACTTTTAGAAACATGTAAAATATTTACTCATACCCTCTATAAACAGTGTCCTCCTGTACCTGTATGCCCTAGAGCATGAGATGTCATCATAAATAAAATACTTGTCTTAATTTCTTTCCTATTAACATATAACTTCTTGCCTAGTAACATTGTTTGCCTGATTCTTTTTTTTTCCAACTATTGCTTTTATTCATGGAATACCAATTCTGGGTCTCTACTAGTTCCTAGAGATACAAAAATGAGTAAGACATAGTTCTTGTTTCTGAAACAGTCAAAGACGGAAGATAGACATGCAAATAAGATAAAAGGCTGCACTATGAGATGGACACAAGAGATACCATTACTGGGTGTTTTCTGCATGTTGGTCATGGAACTGTGCATATCTTCTGCAGCCCTTCACCACGGTCCTATCATATACACCCCGTGATTATCACCGTCTTACAGATGAGGGGACTGAGCCTTGGAAAGACCAAGTGACATACTCAGAGTTCTAGCACTAGGAAGTGGTAAGAGCATGTTACAACAGAGAGAGAAAGTTCTGCTCAGCCTGGGTAATGCAGGAAAGACTTCAAGGAGCAGGAAGTTTTGGTGCTGAGTCTTGAAGGATGAGTAGGAGGCTTCTGGGCAAACATTTGTATGGCTGGGAATTTAAAATGGGCAATGTTACAAGAGGCTAAATTTCCAAAAAAGCTTCTTTTTGGGGGTTCCCCATTTAACCAAAAGAAAGCAATAAGATCATGAAAATTAAATGATACGAAATAGGGTATACATGAAAGATCCTCTTCTACCATCTTTTCACCTCAATGACCATCCTCTCTTCCTAAAATATCAGAATCAGAGGTTCATTCTTTTGGATTAAATGGTCTGGTCTCTGGCAGTTGCCTATTAAATGCCAAGATGAAATACATATTAGTTATTATTCATCAACACTCTAGCATGAATCAGTGTATCAGCTCAATGCTGGCTCTGGCCCTGGAGATTGATTGCCAGTTACTATCTGGGTGACCTTGGATAGTTTCCTAAACTGTAAAATGCGAATGTTAATAACAGTACCTGATAGAATTGTTGCAAGGATTGGAGATCATACATGCAAAGCACTTAGAACAGCACCTGGCACTTTGTAAGTACCCAGTAAATGTTAGCTAATCTTGTAATTAACAAAACCTAAAGAAAGAAGAATTATAAGGAGGGTGAATGAGAGGAAGGTCAATAACAGCCAATTAGGGGAAATCATTACTGCCTCTCTGGAACTATGGGTCAAATACAAGGATATAGGGGTCAAGAAAGCAGAGATTGGGAAAAGGAAGCAGGATGGGGCCTGTCCAGGGTACAGTACTGGTTATGTCTCATCTGCTTGCATATTGGCTTCCCCATGAACTTTACCAGTCTTGTTCATTACGATATCCCCAATCAATGAACGAGGGATTACCTTTTGTATTTAAAAATAATACATAAGCATATATTGAACAAAGACTGGAAGGACACACCCTAAAATGTTAATCATAGTTACATTGGGTTCACAAGATTACAGGTGATTGTGTTTTCCTTTGTGCTTCTCCACTATTTTTTTCAAGTTTTCTGCACAAGTCTTTAGTTAGTCATAAATGTAGATGGGAAAATTATCAGACAGTTCTTGGTTTTCTGCATTATCAGAAGTTAGATTGTTTCAATTTCTCTTCAAGGAGAAAACTTTAGGAAACAAGGCTTCTCAAACTCTAAAGTGCTTAGAAATCACCTGGGTATCAGGCTAAAATGTAGATTCTAATTCAGCAGGTCTGTGGCAGGGCCTGAGAGTCTGCGTTTCTAACAAGCTCCCAAGTGATACTGGTAGTGTTGGTCTGTGAACCACACTGTGAGAAGCCAGGGCATAGACTAATGTAAATAAATCCCAACTCAAACATATGCAAGAAAGCAAGAGTAGAAAGAGAAGGTGCACTGGTGGGCAGACGGCTTCTCATTCCAAAACCAGCATGACTTCAGGACATTTCTCCCTGAGATTGTGCATTCTTCGGGATCCTATTTTGCTCACTTGGTCTATTCAGAGGCCAAATTGTTCAAGAGAAAGGATTAGAGTCTATTAAAGCCCTGGGGATACTTATATTTTCTCAACAAAGGGAAAGAATGTGGCAGGCCTGGCTCTTTTTTTTTTTTTTCACTTTGTCTTCCATTAAACACCATTACTGTTGCTGTCAGTTGAGTTTCTTTAGATTAATGTCTCCTAAATTAATTTTGTGTTCAATAAGCCTCCACAAATATGTTTGTTCAGCAGACCAAATTGGACCCTTCGATTTAACTAAGGATGGACGCACAGACACATAATACTCGTCTGTGATCACATGCTGTCTGCCAGGGTCTTTCATTAGTCACTGTCACCAGTGGTGGCCACTGGTCCCTGCTAAGCTCTTCCAGATAATCAAATGTTGCTCCTTTTGAAATATAATCCTCCCCAGAGCATAGAGGGGCATTTTGTAAATTGGCTGGAGAGGATTACAAAGCACTGGAGAAGAAAATAAGCAAAAGTGGAAGCAATGCTTAATTGAAGATTCTCTGACAGCAGCAAATCTTGGTACTTTCTTTAGCCCTAACTTTTTTACAGAATGTTTAATGCACATCCCTTCCACCCACTTTGTCCCACTCCACTTCTACAGTCCATATTCCAAAATTGCTAAATCTTAGTATTACAGAATTTGGAGTTGGCCCCAAGTCCTCATTTTACAGATAAGAAATCTGAAGCCCAGATAGGCTGGACAATTTTCCCAAAGCCCTCCAGGTTTTGTCCCAGACACTGGGGTTTCCTCCACAACCTCAAGCTGTCTCAGTTTAATTGCTTCAGAGAACAGACTTGGGAGTGGACAAACCAGGTTTGCTCTTGCGTTGCCATTAAGGTATTCCTTGTAAATAGCTTCAAATGTTAAATTGTGTTTTGATAGTAATAATTTAAAAAGTAGCCTTTGCTTTTTACTTTGGCTGTCATAAGCATTCATTTCCTAGGGTGGGAAGATTGAATAAGTGTGATGCCTGGGACTCAGAGAGGTCCTGTAACATCAAAAGATGGTTAAAGAGCAGCACAAAGATGGTGCTGAGACTTCCCCGGGAGGCCAGAGATCAGAGGAGGTCCTAGGGATGACTTGAGATCTTGCTTGGCACCACCATGGATATTCACCTGATTCAGCTCACTGTCCAGAAACCATCCAGGAGCTGGGAGTGGGGCAGGCAGAAGCCTCACCTTCCGAATCTCACAGTGATGACCCTGTGATCCACACTACAGGAGCATTCCACTACCCTGAAGAAGAACCAAGGATGTACAAATTCATGGTCATTCTCACAGAATTAAATTCCACAGAAAGTGGAATTCCACATTCCACCTTAGTGTTTCATTGGGTTTTCTTTTTGACAAATCAAAAGTAGTCGATATATCTATAAAAATTACTGTTTAGTCCAGCAATCCCACTTCTAGGTATGTATGCCAAGGTTACACTGGCAAAGGTAAGAAAAGATACACGCAAATGACTATTTGCTGCCATGTAATTTACAACTGCAGATAACTGGAAACAGTGTAAACAACTATCAATACAAAACTTATTGAGTAAATTTGGTACATCCAAACAACGGAGTGTTATGCAGCTGTCAACAAGGAATAGTTCTGCGTGGTATAAAGAAGCCATTGTCAGGATAAATATTTGAATAACAATTTCAATGTAGTGAAGTTTGTATCATTCCTAAAAAGTGGTAGACATAAAGATATAAACATATATGCATATCCATATAAATAAGACGCATTTTTATTTTATTTTAGATTCAAGGAGTAAATGTGCAGGTTTGTTAC
The DNA here is from genome assembly GCF_000001405.40 of Homo sapiens. NCBI lineage: Eukaryota > Metazoa > Chordata > Mammalia > Primates > Hominidae > Homo > Homo sapiens. The sequence goes on along the minus strand of NC_000003.12, from coordinate 40,676,073 downwards.
ATGGTTATATTGTGTGATGCTGAGGTTTGGGCTTCTAATAATCCCATTGCCCAAGTAGTAAACATAGTATCCAATAGGTAGTTTTGTAACCCTTGCCCCATCCCTTCCCTCTTTTGGAATCTCCAGTGTTTATTACCCCAATCTTTATGTACGTGTGTTTAGCCTCCACCTATAAGTGAGAACATGTGGTATTTGGTTTTTTGCTCCTGTGTTAATTTGCTTAGGATAATGGCCTTCAGTTGCATCCATGTTGCTGCAAAGGACGTGATTCCATTCTTTCTTATGGCTGTGTAGTATTCCATGCTGTGTACATATCACATTTTTTTATCTGATCCACCATTAATGGGCCCCTAGTTTGACTCTATGTCTTTGCTATTGGGAACGGTGCTGCAATGAACATATGAGTGCAGGTGTCTTTTTGGTAGATTTATTTTCTTTTCAACATATACCCAGTAATGAGGTTGATGGGTCAAATGATAATTCTACTGTTAGTTTTTTGGGAAATCTCCAAACTGCTTTTCATAGTATCTAGACTTATTTGCATTCCCACCAACAGTGTATATGTGTTCCCTTTTCTCTTCAACCTCGCCAATATCTGTTATTTTCTGACTTTTTAATAATAGCCATCTAACTGGTGTGATCAAAACCAAATCTCATTATGGTTTTGATTTGCATCTCCCCGATGATTAGTGATGTTGAGCATCTTTTGATATGTTTGTTGTCTGCTTGTATGTCTTCTTTTGATAAGTGTCTGTTTATGTATTTTGACCACTTTTTAATGGGTTTTTTGTTCTTGATTTGTTTAAGTTCTTTATAGATTCTGGATATGGGTCCTTTGTTGAATGCATAATTTGCAAATATTTTTCTCATTCTGTAGGTTGTCTGTTTACTCTGTTGATAGTTTATTTTGCTGGGCAGAAGCTCTTCAGTTTAATCAGGTCTCACTTGTCAATTTTTGTTTTCATTGCAATTGCTTTTGAGGACTTAGTCATAAATTATTTGTCTAGGTCAATGTCTAGAAGGATATTTCCTAGGTTTTCTTCTAGGATTTTTATTGTTTCAGGGTCTTACATTTAAGTCTTTAATCTGTCTTTAGTTAATTTTTGTTTATGATGAGAGGTAGGGGTCCAGTTTCATTCTTCTGCATATGGTTAGCCAGTTTCCCCTATACCATTTATTGAATACAGTATACTTACCCCATTATTCATTTTTGTTGAATTGTCAAAGATCAGTTGGTTGTAGGTGTGCAGCTTGTTTTCAATGGTCTGTATTCTGTTCTATTGGTCTATGTGTCTATTTTTGTACCAGTACCATGCTGTTTTGGCTACTGTAGCCTTGTAGTATAGTTTGAGGTTGTGTAATGCAATGAAGTTGTGATGCCTCCAGCTTTATTCTTTTTATTTACGATTGCCTTGTCTATTTGGGCTCCTTTTTGGTCCTGTGTGAATTTTAGAATAATTTTTTCTAGTTCTGTAAAAAATAACATTGGTAATTTGATAGGAATAGCATTGAATCTGTAGATTGCATTGGGCAGTGTGAACATTTTAACAATATTGATTCTTCCTATCCATGAGCATGGAATTCTTTTCCATTTGTTTGTTTTGTCTATGACTTCTTTCAGCAGTGATTTGTAATTCTCCTTACAGAGATCTTTCACCTCCTTGGTTAGATATATTCCAAGGTATTTTTGTGCGTGGCTATTGTAAATGGGATTGCATTCTTGATTTGGTTCTCAGCTTGAACATTATCGGTGTATAGAAATGCAACTGATTTTTGTACATTGATTTTGTATCTTCAGACTTTGCTGAAGTCATTTATCGGGCCTAGGAATCTTTTGGTGGAATCTTCAGAGTTTTCTAAATATACAATCATATCATCAGTGAAAAGGCATAATTTGACTTCCTCTTTTCCTATTTGGATGCTTTTATTTATTTCTCTTGCCTGATTGCTTTGGTTAGGACTTCCAGTACCATGTGGAATAGAAGTGGTAAGAGTGGACATCCTCGTCTTGTTCCAGTTCTTAGAGGGAATGCTTTCAGCTTTTGCCCATTCAGTATGATGTTGATTGTGGATTTGTCATAGATAGCTCTTATTATTTTGAGGTATGCTCCTTCAATGCCTATTTTGTTGAGGGTTTTTATCATGAAGGGATGTTGGATTTTGTCAGATTCTTTTTCTACATCTACTGAGATGATCACATGGCTTTTGTTTTTAATTCTGCTTATGTGGTGAATCACATTTATTGATTTGCATATGTTAAGCCATCCTTGAAGATGAATATTTTAAAATAGAAGAAAAAACCATACAATTTTTACATGATTGCCTATAGATAGATGTGGATAAAAGGGATAAAATGTAGGCCTCTTTGAATATATCTAGTCTTGAGGATTTCACTTGAAACCAAGTGAAAATTTACATAGTTGCAGAACAAAATTGAATCTTTAAAAAGCAATTCTTAAAATCAAAAGCAAAATTAAACAGATGAACAAAGATGTATAGCCATTGGTAGCATAGCCTCCAAAGATAAAATATTCTAAGTGATTCTAAATTACCTGTACATCTCTAGTAGGATACTCCCTAAAGACAGAAATAACTGCAAGATAATTCTTCAGTTGTTTTCAATAATCACCTGTTGGTGGAGGTATTGGTATTATTATTCTGAGTCTGTTGGATACATACATATTGTGGGAAAAAGAAAAAGAAAGAAAATGGGTAATTATGACAGTGTCATTGAGAATCAGGATATTCAGTATCGGGGAAAGGAGACACAGATGTCAGATCAGTGAAATTTACTCTGTAATCCTAAATTTGAATTGACAGTATCAATATAAACTCATACGATACAGTGTTTTACTTTTTTCATTTTTAAAACTATTTTGATATAATTATAGATTCAGAGAAAGTTGTAAAAGTAATACAGAGAGGTTCTATGAACCCTTCACCCAATTTCTCCTAATGGTTAGTTGCTGTATAACTATAGTACATTATCACAACCAGGAAACTGACATTGGTACAGTGTGTATATATAGTTCTATATCATTTTATTACATGTATAAATTGTTGTAACCACCATCACAATCAAGGTACAGAATTATTCCATTACCACAGAGATATCCCTCATGCTAACCCTTCATAATCATACCCACCTCCTCCCACTCATCATTTCTAACCCCTGACAACCACTAATTTGTTCTCCTTCTCTATAATTTTGTCATTTCAAGAATGTTATATAAATGGAATCATACAGTATGTGACCTTTTGGGATTGGCTTTTTTCACTCAACATAATACCATTGAGATCCATCCAAGTTGTGTGTATCAATAGTTTGTTTCTTTTTATCAATGGTTAGTATTTCATGGTATGGATGTACTGCAGTTTGTTTAGCCTTTCACACATTGAATGACATTTTGGTTGTTTCCTGGTTTCAGCTATTACAAATAAAACGGCAATGAACATTCATGTTCTGGTTTTTATATGGACATAAGTCTCATTTTTCTGGGGTAAATGCCCAGGAGTGTGATTGCTGGGTTGTTCTGTAAGTGTAAGTTTAGTTCTTAAGAATCTGCCAAATATTTTCCAGATTGGCTGTACCATTTTACATTTCCACCAGCAATTTATGAGTTTCTCTGCATCCTTGCCAGTCTTGATAGTCACTATTTTTTATTTTAGCTCTTCTAATAGTTGCATAATGGTATCTTATCGTGATTTTAATTTGCATTTCCCTAATGGATAGTTGTATTGAACATCTTTTCATGTACTTATTTGCCATCTGTATATTCTTCTCAGTGAAATGTCTCTTCATGCCTTTTGCCCATTTTTTAATGGGATTGTTTGTGATTTTACTGTTGAGTTTTGAGAGATTTTAAATATATTTTATAGGAGTCCTTTGTCATATATGTGGTTTACAAGTATTTTCTTCATGTTGCTGCCTTTTCGTCTGCTAACAGGATCTTTCAGAGAGCAGAAGTTAAAATTTTGATGACATCTAATTTATTTATTTCTTTTATAGATCATATGTTAGGTATTGTGTCTAAGAATTAGTTACCAAATTATAGGTGCCAAATATTTTCTCCTGTGTTCTCTTCTAAAAGTTTTATAGTTTTATTTCTTGCATTTAAATCTATGACCCATTTTGAGTGAATTTTAATCAATTTTATTTTAGAGAAGTTTTAGGTTTACAGTGGAAGATACAGAGATTTTCCATATACTCTCTGCTTCTACGCATGCATATACAAGTTCAGGTATAAGTTCTGGTATTGGTTCTATGTCAGTGTCTTTAAAAGAATGAGATGCTTTCATGCTTTCCTTACACTCTGATTTGTCCCTGAACAGCATGGAAGTTTCAATTTGTAAATATTAATAACACACTGTCGAAAATAATTAAAACTGGCACTTTTTAATGGACATTTTTAAAGAGTAGTTTTAGGTTCACAACAAAATTAAATGAAAAGTACAGAGATTTCTCATATATCCCCTGCCCCTATAAATGCAAAGCCTTCTCTATTATCAACATTCCTCAGCAGAGTAGTACATTAGTTACCATTGTTGAACCTGCACTGACACATTAGTATCACCCTAAGTCCACAGTTTACATTAGGGGTCATTCTTGGTGGCGTACTTGGGTTTGAATAAACATATGACATGCATCCACCATTGTAGTATCACATAGAATAATTTCACTACCTTAAAAATCCTCTGTGCCCCACCTATTCTTCCCTTTTTCCCTGCTAACTCCTGGGAACTACAGACCTTTTTACCATCTCCATAGTTTTTCTTTTTCCAAAATGTCATATAGTTGGAATCATACAGTTTAGAGCATTTTCAGACCAGTTTCCTTCACTTAGTGACATGCATTTGTTTCCTCCGTGTCCTTTCATGCCTTGATAGCTCATTTCTTTTTAGTGTTGAATAATATTCCACTGTCTGGATGTATCATAATTTATCCATTCACCTACTGAAGAATATCTTGGTTGCTTCCAATTTTTGGCAAGTACGAATAAAGCTTCAATAAATGTCCATGTGCAGGTTTTTGTGTGGACATAAGTTTTCAACTCTTTTGGATAAATATCAAGGAGCACAGTTGCTGGATCCCATGGTAAAAGCATGTTTATTTTTATAAGAAACTGCCAAACTGTCTTCCAAAGAAGCTGTCTCATTTTGCATTCCCACCAGCAAGTAGTGGGAGCTCCTGTCTGTTGCTCCACATCCTCACCAGTACTGGATGTTGTCAATGTTTTGGATTTTGGCCATTCTAATACATTTGTAGTGATATCTCATTTTTGTTTTAATTTTCCTTTCCCTGATGACATATGATGTGGGTCATCTTTTCACATGTTTATTTGCCATCTGTAAATCTTCTTTGGTGAGGTGTCTGTTCAGATCTTTAGTCTGTTTTTTAATCAAGTTGTTTTCTTATTGTTGAGCTTTAAGAGTTATTTGTATATTTTGGATAACAGTCCTTTAGCAGATATGTCTTTTGCAAATATATTCTTCCCAGCCTGTGGCTTGTTTTTTTTATTATGATGACAGTGTCTTGGGCAGAAAAGAATTTTTTTAATGATGTGCAGCTTATCAGTTCCTTCTTTCATGGATCATGACTTTGGTGTTGTATCTAAAATGTCATCACCAAACCCAAGGTCATGTAGATTTTCTCCAATGTTAACTTCTAGGAGTTTCATAGTTTTGTGTTTTACATTTAGGTCTGGGTGTGCTCACAGACCTGGCCGTGGGTCCTGTCTTAGTGCTCACCATTTAGTGCTGTGTGAACCTAGCCATGGCACTACCCCTCTGATCACTTACAATGAACCCAGCAGGGAGCACATGGTGAACCTTCCCCAGGAGGAGTGGGTTTATGACCGGGAGTGACAAGTGTGAGTGTAGGGAGCAGAGCCACCCAAGATGGGATTTGCTGGTGTTCCTTGCTAGCAGCAGAAAACATTCCCCCAGAGTGGCCCCACATGGCCCCACAGCCCTTTACTAAGATGGTCTCTCCATGCACCCACCCCCATCCCACCTGAGATTGCCATGCCCTTCTGGAACTCTCTTCCCTGAAGCCCAAGGAGCAGGAGTGGCAGGTGAACTCCCTGCCTGCTGGTCCACACTCTCAGACAAGTGTGGGATGTTATGTAACCATGTCAGCAGACATGACCAAGACCCTAACACCACCTGTGCGACCTAAAGAATTTCCTAAAGTTCTCTGGGGGCTCTTAGTATGCCCTGTAGCTCTGTACTGTCCAACAGGATACCCAGGAGCCACATGTGAGTATTCAAAGTTAAATTAAACTAAGTAAAATTAAATATTCAGTTCCTCAATCACAGGCACATTTCAAATATTCAATAGCCACCCATGGCTAGTAGCTCTTATATGGGACAGTACATCTCTAGAGAGTTGTTGGACATGGCAGATTCACTTCTCATGCATCCTGACTTTGAAGGTGTAGACTTTTGATGTCCCAGTGTTACGGTGAGGCCTTGTACAAGACAGCCCACCTGGCTTGGAACCAGGCCTTGGCAACCAGTTCCTGTGCTCCTATGACCACCAAGGTCTGTGTGTTTCTTCCGAAAAAGCCTGAGCGAAGGCCAGGTTTAGTGCTTGCTCAACCCCTTTTAGTTCCTTTTTTCATGCTGCTTTTGCCTTTGAGGAGCCCCACTTTCCATGCCAGCTCAACAATGCACATAAACAGGTATTCTCAAATATTTATCCCACATGGTAGGTGTTTACTCAGGACCATTGTTCAGGGCAGTGGTATGTCCTAATGCCTGAGACAAGAGTCCGTAGTTCTCTTTGATATGTTTTGAATCAAATTCCGTCTTTCTGCTAAACTCCCCTCCTGTGAAAACTATCAGTTCTAACTCACACTATGAAACCGTGGGACCATCTCCCTACCAAAGGCAGTCACTTGGTGGCCCTCAGCTCAGTTTATTTTTTCTCACTATCTCTGTATCCTATCCCCCATCCCAGCTTCTCTCACCCTTTCTCTCTCTCCTTTCTTATGGCTTTTTAATTAGTTTACCAAAATAATTGCACTTCATAAGAATCATTGCATTCAGTGGTTTTGATGTTTGGGATAATAGGGGGTTGCCACAAATGAACTGACATTACCAGGCAGAACTCTCAGTCCAGCGATCTCTAATCAATGGCCAGACTGCAAAACATGCAGCCTTTGTGGTGGCTGGTGTGGGTCTGCATGAGTATGAGTGTCAGGGTTACTATATCACAAGTGCAGTCAGGCTGAGCCTCCCAGAAACTACTAGAGTGCACAGAGGGGATTATTTTTACTTACTTTAATCAAAAAACAGCCTGACTTCCACCACAGCGTCTACCTCTGAAAATATCACACTGCATGCATTCTTTTTTTTAATTTTTATTTTACTTTAAGTTCTGGAATACATGTGCAGAACATGCAGGTTTGTTACATAGGTATACATGTGCCATGGTGGTTTGCTGCACCTATCAACCTGTCATCTAGGTTTTAAGTCCCACATGCATTAGGTATTTGTCCTAATGCTCTCCCTCCCCTTTGCTCCCCACCCCCCAACAGGCCCTGGTGTGTGATGTTCCCCTTCCTGTGTCCATGCGTTCTCATTGTTCAACTCCCACTTATGAGTGAGAACACAAACTGCACGCATTCTAAAGATGGGTTACTGAAGGCAAAAGCAGCCTGGACTCCGGTCTCTAAGCAAGTGAGCTCCTCAGATTTTCATCACTGCCATCTTGCTCCCAGCCACCACCCCTGGCCCAGGAGACATGACTGTGGTTTTACCACCAGGCAGGTGCCCCTTCATAAGAATGGAGGGGAATCATTAATGAGTGTGCATGAGTGGAAAGTGAATGCAGTTCCTGGTCTATCTTGGAGGGAAGCTTACTTCTGCTGTCTGATAAACCCAAGGAAGAAAATACTGGGTGATCTCCAAGGGCCACACGAATCTAGCACAAGTTTTTTGTACTCCACAAATTAATTTTTTGACTGATACATTATAAAATGTTCCAGAATCCAACAGATGACTAATAAGGGCTGTGTTGCCCAATGCAAGATTTAATTCTAATACCACTTCAACAAATCCAAAATTTGAATTCAATGCCAGCTCTGCCTCAGCTTTCTTTTCATAAAATGGAACTGTGACAATCTTGTAAGAGTTAAAGGATGCAGGAGTCTATACGATGTCTTTGAAAGTGCTTCATATGTAAGGTAATCCATAAATGATTATTATACTATATTATTAATTATTGCCATGACATCCAGTTAAGATCTGTAGCCTGGAAACCAAATCTAGCACTTAGAAGACCGTGTGAAACAGTAACTCTTGAGCTTTAATAAAAATCAGAATCATCTGGAAGGCTTGTTAAAACCCAGTTTCTAGACACTCCCCTTCCCCCAGAGTTCAGTAGGTCTGGGAAGGGGCCCAGAATTTGCATTTCTAACAACTTCCCAGGTATATTAGTTTGCTATTGCTGAGTAACGGCACCACAAATTTAGCACCTTTGTCATCTCACAGTTCTATGAGTCAGAAGTCCAAGCTAGTTTCTTTGTTCAAGTTCTCACTGGGCTGAAGTCAAGATGGCTCTGAGCTACATTCCATTCTGGAAGTTAGGGTCCTCTTCCAAGCTCTCATGGTGGCTGTTGACAAAATCCAATTTCTTGAGGGTATAGGATTTAGGGCCCTGTTTTCTTGTTGTCTGTTAGCCAGGGACTAGAAGTCACCTTCATGTCTTTGCTATATAGCCCTCCAAAGGCCTCTCACAATAAGGCAATTTTCTTTATCTTGAGACCCGCAGAAGAAATTTCTTGTATGCTTTAAATCTATTCTTTCAAGAAGGGCCCAGCCTAAATAATCTCCCTTCTGATCAACTCAAAGTGAACTGACTAGGAACCTTAAGTACATTTGCAAAATTCCTTCTTCTTATAATACAATCATGGGAGTAATATGCCATCATATTCACAAGTCCCACTCACATTCAAAGAGAATAGATTAGAGAAGAGATTAAACGGGATGTACACCAGGGAGTCAGCAGTCTTGGGGCCATCTTAGAATTCCGCCAACCACATCAGGTGACACTGATGATTTAGTCCAGAAATCACATTTTAAAACCACAATTTTAAAGGAAGATATAAATAAATACACACTCATGTGGTGTTGATAACAGTGAGTTCAGAAAAGCAATGATTATATATTTCTGGATAAAGATTTCTAATCAAAATGACAGAAAGAGTTCAAGAGGAAACCTACCCACTACACTGAACACCTATTGATGCTGCATAAAATTCTTTAAATTATGAAGATATACTTAAGCTTTAAAAAAAAGATAAGCAGAATGTAAATATGCAACAGCAAATCAGGGCTAAAACTGTTGGCTACTCTGGACACTGGGGTCATAGATAGACATAGGGAATTGAGTTCAGTTCCTCTGGGAACCATCTTGTTTGTGTCCTCAATAGCATTTGAGACTGTTGACTATGCCTGCAGTTCCATTAGACATTTTCCTGAGCTTAGGTGGCACCAGTGCTTCCTGCTTTCCCTCCAGGGCCACTCTTGTCACTCCTCCTTAGTCTACTTCACATGCTCCTTTTCCTCCACCCTTAGGATGTTTCTTGCTCAGAGCTCTATCTTGGGACTTCTCTTTTCATGTGACATGCTCTGGGATACTCCAGTGAAATTCATGACTTCAAAGACCTTCCTTGTGTTGAGACTCCTCATTCTTTATTCTCAGCCAGGTCTCTTTCTGAGGGACAGACCCATATATGTAACCACCTCCAAGACAGTGTCATCTGCCTGTGTTCCAGACCTTCAAACTCAGCATGTCCAATTTTGAACTTACCACCTTTCCTCCCGCCACAATGCTTCTCTCTTCCAACATTTCTCATCTCAGTAAAGGGCACCATCATCCACCAAAATGTTTCAAAAAAACGTGGAATTCTCCCTTCTATCTCTCCACCTCACAGCTAACCAATCATCACCACCTATTAGTTCCACCTCCTAAACATCTCTCTATCCATCCACTTCTCTCCATTTCTATGGCCACTTTCATAGTCCGGGCCATCATCTGCTCCTGCTTGCATCATGAAAACGATTTCCTAACTACCATCTCTGCTTCTATTGTTAATTCCTTTCAACTCATGCTCCGCATCTTAGACAGCAGGATCCTACTAAAATGCAAATCTCATATCTCACTCCTCTACTAAAAGCTTCACTGGTTTCCTTTCCTCATGGTAGAATTCAAATTCCTTACCATGCCTTCAACTTCTCCATTACAGACACTACCCCAGAGCTCCAGTCCTGATTTTGCCCATCCCCACCCCACCCTCTATAGTGCAGCCATACTAAACTTTTATTCATTCCTCCCATACACCACACTCTCTTCCCTTGTTTAACTCCTACTCAGTCATCAGGTCTTGGCTCACATATCCCGTCTTTCAGGAGGCCTTTTCTGACATCTAGACAAGGCTAGGGACCCCACCAAATGTATCTTAGCATTCTGCACCTCCCCATCATAATATTTATCATATATTATTCTGGGTGCTGAAAGCTTTTTGAACAAAGATACAGTGAGGGTCATTATCTGCTACTCTTCTATGCCCTGAGTACAGCCACTGCATCAGTGGTTAAACTACATCCTTCATGAAGTGATAAGTGGCACAGTGTCCGAGGAGTTCCCTGCGAGATCTACCATGAGAGGTGTTGCAAGCACTTAATTCCTTTAAGAACAGGGAAGCAGTCACTGGGACTCAAACAAACAGAGAGGTTTGCCCTGAATGAAATGTGATTTTAATTTGCACAATATGCACATTTATAATAATAATAGCTACATAAGACATGCAATAATAAGTCCCTAATGCTATCCTGGGGCAAAATATCTAATACAAATTAAATTGGCTCTGTTCCTGGGAATTTTAGTATATTGCATTGTGGATTTTTAGCCAAAGTTGTGCTGAGTACAGCTGATTAATATTCTAATTAAAATCAGAATGGACCATAGGAAATTGTTGGGTTTTCCTAGTAATGAATAAATAAAAGCCTTCCCAGTGAAAGTAAGCTTCCAACAGACATCTGGATGGACAAGGCTGTGTCTTCTGTAGGAACCACATAGCAGGCCTACCCAGAAGTCATGAGGCCTTGAAATGATGCTGTCTCCAAAATCTACCCTATGAAAGCTCTCTTAACCACAGAGGTATTTTTGGCCTTGGAGGACTCTAGATATGCACAATTGTTTTCTTCTCTTCTATATGCCAACATGGAGAAATTGTCCCACTCACATTCTTGAAGGGGCAGCTCAATATACAATATGATATTGCCTTTAGCCACAGATAGTTGGAATAGATGTGGACATTTGTATCAAACTGGGCCAATCCCAAGAGTATGTGAATGTGGAGGGCTGAGCTGGAAGGCCAGGTGGTCCTGGAGTGTGAGGGAACTCCATGAGGGCACCCACAATGGCTCATTGTGAGCCTCAGTGAATGAGCAGATTTACAAGTCTGCAGGGGGAGGCAAATGCAGCTATTGCCAAAGCAAAGAAACAACAAGGACCCAGATGGTAGAGAAAAATCAAAGTGCAAGAAGTTTCCCAGAGTGCTTAAAATCAGCCCTCCTGCGCTTAAGATAGTTTGAGCAGTTTTCTGTTCCTTGGCTATCTAACACCCCTAAGATAAAAGGAAGTAGTGGCATAGTTCACATGATTTTCTGTCCTGGTTCTTAACATTGCTCCTGCCTAGTTAAGAGCTATACCAATGCCTTAGGTGAGGACTGAGATGGTGTCCTGAGGGAAAATATGGGGAATGTGAAGTGAGCAGAATGCAAGAATGAGATGACAGTAACAGTAGCCAAAAGAACCTCAGTAACTAGAAATTTGGGTAAATCTAACAAGAAAAGGGTCAATACAAGTGAATACAAAGACCCACATTTGGAGAGGGAAAAAAAAAATCAGCCAGACAGTTCAAGATGAAGGGTGGAAGTGGAGAATGGATGTAATAATAATTCATGTGTTTAAATGACTGAGGGGATGTAATAGAAAAAACAAATCTGACTTGGGGCTCTGTACTCTTGAATTCAGCAAGTACTCTGTGTACCTACTATGTGCTGGGAACTCTGTTAGGTGTCATATATCCACATGTCAAAAATATTATTATAACCTTCTTTATAAATATCTAATAAACATAGAAGCCCTCTTTTTCAGCAAAGTGGTTGTTGGGGGGTGCGTGGGGAAGGACTTACAAAGAGTCCCAGACTCACCGGATTCAGCCTTTGCCCCTTTTAACTTTGTCTAATCAGTCATTTTCATAGCTATCAGAATCATCAATTCCTGCTTCTTGTGGAGCTTCCTTTTTCTCCTTTCGATAGACATCTTAGTTTGGACTTTCCTAAAGGCAGATCTTAAGACAAGGATTGAGTGCAAGTAGTTGATTTGGGAGGTGATCTGGGAAATACCATTAGAGTGGGGAAGTGAGACAGGGAAGGACAGGCGGCTAATAGTGTCGTCAAGGTGCTGCTGGGGCAGCCGGGGTGTGATTAGTGGGGAATTCTGGGAGCCGGTGTAGGACAACATACTGCAGACTTATTAAGGAGTGAAAAATCCGAGGCCCTCCTTTCAGTGATTGGTTGAGAGTTGCTTCCAGAACATCTGTTTTCTGGCTTGCCTTGTATGCAGGCTGTGTGCTCAGAGACAGATAAAAAGCTCTCAAGGCGATTCACAAATGTCACAGTAGCAGTCTTTGTCTTTAAAAATATTAATAAATTCTGAGGGAATGGGATGGGGAACTGATAACTACAAAACTCATGTTTTCTTCAGGATTCATTGTATTTCTCCACAATTGTACCCTTATGTATGTGGATCAAAAGATGAGCTGATTCTTTTATAGCATGCAGAAGATGACAGAATTAGGAGTCTGTGAGAAAGGAGGAAGTTAGAGAGTATGTGGTATAAAATTATTGCTGTTGTGTCGCAGGAAAAACATGTCTGGCAGAATTCTAAGGTCCATCAGTTTACTAGAAGCTCAAGTGGCCCTGGGTCTAAGCACCTAGAAATTTCACAGCAAATCCTAAGTAGACTGCCCATTTTCTAATGTGATCCAATGAGCCAACAAGGCTCTGAGAAACTGAATGGATTAGCTGAGAGCAAATTCTTACTTCTGGTTTCTTCATAAAGTCCTTGACTTGGCTCTCTTTTGCACTTGAAATTGGAAATATACTTGGATTAAAAACAAAACAAAACAAAAAAAACTTGATTTTTACCTGAGCTAGCGGAAAAGGGATGTGTGATTAGCAGAAAATACATATAAATTGTACATGCAATTTTTCCTAGTATGTAGATTTTTTAAATCATTTGAGGGCAATAAAAACAAAGCAGCAACCCTTTTTTGTTGATGTTGAATAATTGTCTTCATGCCCAAAGAAATGCTCCATCTGAATTTTTTTTTAATGGAAGGAAAAATTCTTAGGCAAATTTGTTTTCCCTAAAAATATTGCTATTCCTCTTTCCCTTCATTCCTATTCCTGACCCCGGCCCAACTGGCCAGCTTCCCCACCGTGAGTTAGCTCATAAACATATGCCTTTTTCATGACACCTTTTGAGAGTGAGGAGCAGCATGACAGCTTTCAATCTCATCCTGCCCAAATTTGAAACACCGGTCCCTGCTTTCAATACTTTTTCATGTGTTCTAGTCTAGCATTCTATGGACAGTTTGACACATTTCTTTAGTTGTCCATAGGTCCTTTACAAGTGTACATCATTGTCCTAGACATGAAGCCCCTGAGGAAAGATTATCTTACTGCAGTATCCATCTAGAACCATGGAACATACCACCACATGGCTGCCATGTTGCAAAACCCCAGGAGGCACCTTTCATGTAGAATACCATGGAAATGGAACCCTGGAGTTGTAAATTTAGCAGTGCTGACCAATACAAAATTGCTGTTCAATAGTAACCTGGGTAATGAAGTCCCTTTCTGATAGCAATTATGACAAACCCACTCGCAGTAAGAAATGCATATAGTTTTCCAGGAGAGACAAGATCTAAAGAGAAACTCAGAACTAGATGGAAAATCAGAAATCAACTAGTGCAGCCCTTTCATTTGACCCCAAGCAATCCAAACTCCGAATGGCTAACTCGGCTTGAAATGGCTGACCTGGCTCCAGAATATTCTAGAAAATGTCTCCTGCTTCATCACTCTTCATCCTTTACAGCCCTACCTACTTCTTCATCCTTTAAAGCACTACCCCTACTCCATACCACATACCTTACCATTATTCATAGAGAAATCTAGATGACAGCTATCAAGTTCCAATGGCCAAGGGACCAGTCAAGGGATAAAAATGAACAAATCCAGCCAAATGGGTGCCTCAGTGATCTAGGAAGGGCTCCTTCCACCTGAGAAAGCAACCATTTTTCAGCCAATTTTTACCCTACATGTGTGCAGGTCTGCTGTGGCCAGATATTCTTTAAGAGAAGTCCAAAGCCTAGATTTTCATGTAAAATTTCCTGGCTCTTAAATGTAGTAAATTAACTTTGGTGGTTTTTAAACACTATGTGTGCCAAGTAAAGCCAAATATGGCCCACAGTTTGCAGTTTCTGCCTTGGATGATATACACCCCTTGAAGGAATCAACACTTCCTCATAGCTTACCAGCTGCATGGTCTATTATGAGTCAGTGTTTCTGAGCTTTGATTTATTTATTTATAAAATGAGAAAATGGCCCCTTTTTGAAAGATTTTGTTAGAACTAAGCTTAGTTAGAATTAAGCTAATACATATTGGGCACATCGCACAATGGCTAGCACAGCCTATTCTCAATGAAACATAACTACGTACTTCCCTTTGCACCTGGGACATATGCACATAGGTGTTGGTGGGAGACATTCTCTGCAGCCCTACAATTGTTCTGTATTAGGGAAATTTGCCCACTGCTGAAGGCAGTGGGGTGGGGTTGTCTTTAAGCAGTCATCCTAACCTGAATCACAGTTTTTACAAATCAGAAAATTTGATTTGGCATGGTCTTTGGCACAGGCCAGTAAGAATAAACAAATAAACAATAAAAATAAAAAGAAATATATCCTTACAGGTATCATTTAAACAGAAAACATAATAGTTATGAATACAAAGGCAGGATGCTCACATCAGGCCACATTTATAAGAAGGTTATGTTGTAAGATGTGGGCTCAGATACAGTTTATCAAGCCCTTCTAAATGACCAAGGTCAGAAGTCAGTTGGCAGCTGAGAATACACTTATGTCTTCCCTCAAAAGGTGAATGTGTCTCTGCCTTTAAAAGGATGGACCTGGGCTGCATTTAACTATTGGCAAGAGAAAAGCAGGAAGTAGGGCTGGGGCTAAGGGACAGGCAGAGGCCACTGGAACTTGTGAAATCCTTGAAGCACCAGAAATGGCTTGTTCATTGGCCTTCTTCTTTCTCCCTCCTCACTAGCAATGCAGGATATCTGGCAGTAGGGGAATGTCTGACCTTAGATTTAGGCCTGGATTATGGGTCAGTCTCCTTGTGTTTCGCCCTAATTCCTATTTGGTAATGATTTTCATACCTGGACCTTCACAGGCAGAGAACATTCAAAGCTGCATTTTTAAAAGTCAGTTATCATTCTGGAGCACGATTGTTACAGGGTCAGACAGCTTATTATGATATCTCAATCCCTGCCAGGAGAATACATTTACTAATTTAAAATGGAATAAACCACATAGATTATTGGTGACCCTTATATGCCCACCAGACTTCTAGCATGAGGTCTTCACACAGGAAGCACCCAATAAATCATGATTATTGAATAAAACCAACATTGGGTCAGAGAAAATGATGGCCCACAGAGAGAAGTAAAACCCACAGCAGAACAAAAACTGGTCCTCTGCAAAACATGAATTTACTCCTTTTTTCTATGTCTTATTCACTAATGGAGTCTCTCTTCATTGGCTCATTCATTTATTCATTCCATAAATGTTTTCTGAACGCCTAATATACATCAAGAACACCAGTAAATTCTAAGGCTAAAAAGAGGATCCTCAATCAAGTTTGTATCTACGCTGCAAAAATGACATGGCCCTCAGAACCATAACTACAGCCAGGTCATCCATTGTGGACACCAATCTATGAGGCTTATCTATCTAAATCACCCAGATCTGCTAGAAATTGTTTTGCTCTCAATTTCTTTCTGTGCTGCACTGACACAGTATAAATGTCACTTGGTTTGGCCAAATTGAAAAACAGCTTAAAAGAGGTAGGGGATATTTTTTTCATGAGTTTATCATCCTTTTAGGCTATGACTTTATTTAATGTTTGAGCTGATGACTCTTGGGCCAAAAGCCTCTACTTGAGATATGCCATTACTATGCTAGGTCAGTTTGTCATCAAGGAGAGTTGATCAGTGGACTAAATATGACAGAAGCTAGGAACTTGCTGGTGTCCTATATACATCATTCAACCAAAGTTTGAAGCATGAAGAGCATGAAAAGAGTTATATGGGCAGATGCAATGCCAATCAGAGAAGCATATCATGCTTGCTGACTCATCAAAGAGCATTTAATACTGACATATATTTTGAGCTCTTACTTTGTGTCATTCATTGTGCTAAGTGTTTTACTTACATTATTTTCTACAGTTCTCAAAAGAACTCTGTTATTGTCTTTCCCGTTTTACAGCTAAAGAAATTAAGATCTTCTCAAGAGATTAAACACCTGCCCATGCTCAGAGTTAAGAAAAGATGGAGTGGGGAATGAAACCCAAATGTTCTGAGTGCAGAGCCCTGCCTTTGACACACACAGCTTCTGCAGCTCTGCCATATGCATTGCTTCACTTCAGTGTTGCCACCAACCCGTGGGGGCCAGAGAGCTGCTATTCCCCATATGACAGACGGAAACTACAGCTCAGATCTCACAGCTCTAGTGGGCACCATGTTACAAGAGAACAGAGCACAGACACACAATCTCTGGTGGGCAGAGACACAAAGAATCTGAAAGGACTGCAGCATCTACCCTGGAGTGTTGCAAGATACTGCACCACTCAGATACTGACACACTTAGAGAGTGTGGAAACTCTCTGAGCTCTGTTGAGTACTTCCACTGGTAGTAGGAGCCTCTACAAGAACGAAATACCAAGTGCTGAGCCTTGGACCCTCCCAGAAACTAGATTCAAAAGGGAGAAGCAAATGTTCATGAAAATTGTAAATGCATTTGTCCTTTGACCCAATAATCCCACTTCTAGAATTGTGTCCTATTGATATTTCTACACTCACGAAAAGATTATTCTTTACTACACTGTCTGTGACAACAAAAGAGTAGAGTCAATTCAAATATTCATCAAGGAGGGACTGCTTAAATTAATTATGGTAGCTATTTAATGAAACACTACATAGCTGTGAAAAAGAAGAAGCTCTCTACGTACTGATATGGACTGGTGTTGATATGGTTTGACTGCATCCCCACCCAAATCTCATCTTGAATTGTAGCATTCATAATTCCCATGTGTCATGGAGGGACCCTATGGAAGGCAATTGAATCGTGGGGGCAGGTATTTCCCATGCTGTTCTTGTGATAATGAAGAAGTCTTATGAGATCTGATGGTTTTATAAAGGGCAGTTCCCCTGCGCATGCTCTCTTTGCCTGCCACCACGTAAGACATGCCTTTGCTTCTCCTTTGCCTTAGCTTTTCATTTGCCTTCCACCATGATTGTGAGGCCTCCTCAGCCATGTAGAACTGTCAGTTCATTAAACCTCTTTCCTTTATAAATTACCTGGTCTCAGGTATGTCTTTATTAGCAGAGTGAGAACGAACTAATACAGGTGTCCAAGATTTATTGTTAAAGAATCTAAAATGCAGAATATTTTAGTATGCTCTCTCTCTCTTTCTCTCTCCCTCTCTCCTCACACACACACATACAGAGATCATGTGAGCATACAGCAAAATAGTATCCACCTGCAAGCCAAAAGAAGAGGCTTCAAAATGAAATCTTCCTTACCCATACCTTGATCTTGAACTTCCCGCCTCCAGAACTATGAGAAATAAATTTGTTATTTAAGCCATCTGGTCTATGATATTTCATTACAGCTGCCAGACCAGACTAATACACCATCTGTATTATTCAGTGTGGACCAAGCTGCTGTGACAAACAGACCCAAATACGTAACGATCTGACGTGATAAAAGTTTGTTTCTCACATACCTAGAAGGGTGTTTAAGTCTGTAGGTGGCTCCCTTCCACAAAGTCATTCAGGGACAGAAGTGGCACACATCACTTCCTGTCATATTCTATTGATAAGAATAAGTCACATGACCACACCAAGTCAGTGCAAGAGTAGCAGAGTGGCAGTGGGAAATTCAGTCCCTGGTTGGGCAACCTCTTCCCATCTCAACATTTACCACAGAAGGGGAGAAGAGAGAGTTACCCATCTCTGCCACCATCTCTTTCTCTGTTACTAAAGGAATTCTGGAAGGGTTAGCAGACATCAATCACCCAGCAAGACTGTCCAAGAAACCCTGATGTAGTCCCTGACGATATGAAGGAGACTTTGATGATGAGGAAGTTCATCTCCAATTGGAATGATGAACACAGAGTCTAGGGAGCTACAGGAGTTAGCTGGAGATCTTACTTACCCTGAGCTTCCATGTGGCCCAGTACAAAAATCAGCATCACTGCTTTATCCCATCACCCATCTCTGATTCTCTCATCACAGAGAGATCCCCTCAGACTTTTTGTTTAGTTTCTCTTCTATTTAATGGCAAGAGGGCCAGCTCTTCAACAACCAAGTGTATGTTCTTTTCTTGACTCTCTTGACTCCAATTCCAGCACTCGTTCCCACAGGAATAGCTTCTTCATGCCCCAGAAGACAAAGGCAAATCATCCTCCGAGCCCTGTCTGTCCAGTGCCTTCACATGTGCTTACACTCATGTGCACATACATGCATAGGCATGCATGCCTGTGTGCCTGTGATATAGCTATCACCATGTTCAAGCCCAAGGGAACACAAGTAGGAAGGTGCAAGGCACAAATATACTCATGACCATGCTTCCATGTAGGAAGGAAGAAACACATAAATAATTATCTGAGAGGCAACAATTAGGCATAGATTCTGACTTGAATACCTCTTCTAAGCACCTAAAGCAACACAGATGTGATCTAGTCCATGGAATTCAGCAGGTGGAAGAAACAGATGCAAATTTTGAAGACTGTTGCATTAAACTAGAGCAAACAAAAGCAAAATTCAGCCAGACAATAACTCTAGGAGTTACTCACTTTTTCACCATCAAGGGCCCATTTAATTATTTATAAACATCACATGGGCTCACGTTGGCAACAATTTTTTCCTCCCAGATAAATTACACTTATTAGATAGCAATGTCTTCATTTCCCCTGTGTCTTATTAAGCAAAGACATATGCAACTACCAAGCAGGGTTTCTGATCACTCATTTGTTCATTCAACAAACATTTACTGAACCCTTACTGTGTTCCAGGCACTGGGGATACAGCAGAGAGCATGGCAGACACGGTGCCTGCACTCTCATTCTTACCGCAGAAGCAGATGTTAAGCAAATGTTCATAAACATTTAAGTACAGATTTGAAAGGAGAATGAAGGAGGCCAGGAGAGAGTATGAAGTGAGATTTGCATAAGGTGGGGCTTCAGGAAAGGCATCTTGGCCTAAAGGACACCTGAGCTGAGCTGGGAGCAGCTCCTAAAAAGGTATGACTGCCCTAAATTCAGTAATTTCCTCCAAAAGAGAGGAAAAGGATACAGTTAATGACTATATGTCTGCTCTGTGCCAGAGACAGGGATGGGCCATTTCTTTGCACTATCTTGGCTTCTCCTCTCCAATGCTTCCAGGTAGGTGATATGCCCCCGGTTATTGCAGATTAGGAACCAAGTCTCCAAAAGTTGCAGTAGCCTGAGTGCATCTCATGTTCAGTAAGTGGTAAATAAAGGAGTCAAATCTGGATCCAAAGGAGCTAGTAACAGAAGACAGGGATGCTTAAGGGGATCTCACTCTGGCACTGAAAGGAAAGCCACAAAGTGGCACCAGCACTTGCTGTGAAGGATGGGTGGGTGCACCCAGGTAACGCTTAAACCCACAGAGAGGGGCATGTCAAGAAACCATAACCACACAGGCCTCTCTATCACTTGGACCACCACATGTGCTTCCCAGGCTGCGCAAACAGGTAGCACATGGGAGCATCCCAGCGGAGGAGAAGGAATTGTCTTTTTGTACAGATTTCTATAAGTGAAATCTGTGATTTGACAGAATTTGACCTTTCAGTGCTGAGTCCTTTGCCGGCCCCATCATTGTTCCTGGCAGGACTCTCAACCTCCCATAAAAAGGAAAGTGTGACCTATTTTAAAATTCCTTCGGGGAAAGAGTCAGCATATTGTCATGGCAACTGATGTGGGCTTTTTTAGGAGTCCTGCTTGGTTCTTCCTTCAGTCTAACCTAGTTCCCCCCCAATATAATTCAAAGCTCATGTGCTGGCTTCCCAGGGGTGGTAGAGCAGACAGAAATGAATCCCTGCAATCACAGCCTCTCACTAGTCCCCAGCTCCATGAAAACTTTCAGGGATGGAGAGAAGGTAGGAGAAGGGAAGAGGATGTAGAGTGAATGAAGGGAACAGAGGACAAGAGGAGGACCTCTCACCCAGAAATGGACACATGGGTTTAAAGGCCTGGGCAGTCTCTAGTCTTGCAAATTTGTACTCGTTCCAGTGATATCATCCCTCCACCTTCCCCTCTACCTACCACTCTAATTCCCTGACCCAACAGCTTTAGGAAGCCTTCCTCTCCACCTTCCATGACGTCCTACAACTCTGACTGTCTAGGTCTTCTGTCAGGGCCTATATTGTGGGCTTGTCTTTAGCTTTACTACACGTGTGTCCTGTCACTGTTTCTCAACATCTAAGTTCCTGGAGTTAAGAGCCCATGTCTGACGTTTCTTTTCAGCCACCACATCCGTGCACTGTGTCCGTGCACACATTTCTGCTGACTTCAAAGAGAATTTCAATGTGGTACATATACACCATGGAACACTACACAGCCATAAAAATTAAAAAATAAATAAATAAATAAATAAAACGAGATCACGTCCTTTGCAGGGACATGGATAGAGCTGGAAGCCATTATCTTCAGCAAACTAACGCAGGAACAGAATACAAAACACCGCATGTTCTCATAAGTGGGAGCTGAACTATGAGAACACATGGACACATGAGGGGTGGACAACACACTCTGGGGCCTGTCCAGGGGGTTTGGGGGGTTGGGGAGAGGAAGAATAACTAATAGACACTGGGCTTAATACCTAGATGATGGGATGATCTGTGCAGCAAACCATCATGGCACACATTCACCTATGTAACAAACCTGCACATCCTGCACATGTACCCTGGAACTTAAAATAAAAATTGAAGGAAAAAAAGAGAGAATTTCAAGACATCATTCCCCTTCTCCATGTTGTTGAGCACATACCCACTCCCCTTTCCCCAGCTCTCCCCACAGGGGAGAAGTACTTTACCAATGAGTATCAAGACCTTCATGAGAACCCATAAAGCAGAGTCCTTCTGTCCTGGCCCTATCTAAAAGGTAGGAAGCAGATCTTTGGTGAAAGTGAGGGATTGGCACAATTGCTTTCCAAGACTATTTGGCTGAAAATGACAAAAAGCACAAGTCAAACAGACTCAAGTAAAATAGAAGGGAAATTTAGCACTCACTTAACTGGAAAGTCTGGCTTCAGTGGATACACCAATATGGTCTCTATCTCTTAATTTTATTCTGTTTTGGCTTCATCCTCAGCAGGCCCTCCTACATGGTAGCAAAGATGACCACCAGCAGAATCAGGTATTTACTCTACCGGGGTTGCAAACA
Organism: Homo sapiens; assembly: GCF_000001405.40. Classification (NCBI taxonomy): domain Eukaryota; kingdom Metazoa; phylum Chordata; class Mammalia; order Primates; family Hominidae; genus Homo; species Homo sapiens. The sequence goes on along the minus strand of NC_000003.12, from coordinate 40,654,241 downwards.
CAACAGGAAGAAAATACCACCTTTCCCAGACTTCCAACCAAGTGCCAGGGCTGACTCTCCTGGAGCCAGTGTGGGTCACACGCCAAACCCTTAGCAATTCCACTGGCCAGGCCAGTGTCATGTGTCTACTCCCTGGAGCCTTGTGGGTTGAGTAACCCCCACAAATCCCATGACTTGGAACAGGGAGGAGGTGGCACCCCAAAGCAAAATCTAAGTGCCATTTGCAGAAGGAGGTGGCATGGCGGCTGAGCTAACAAACACAACACATGTCCACTGCCAGGTAGTATCTTCTCTTCTCTTTTTTGTTCTCATTCAGAATAGTAACACATGGAATTAGAAGTGTCTCCCCCTTGAGAAACATCTTTAGTTCTGAAGGATTGGGCAAACCCAGAGTAGAACCAATTTTGGAAAAAAACTGAGTCACCTAAAACTGGTGCTGACCCTATGTTTACAAAGGGAGGAGTGAATGGGGGTCTTATTTATTCATTTTCACATTGAAATCCTTAGCTCTGTTCCACCTTGAGCCCTTTCTCACTGGCTATTTGTTGCCAGCCGGACTTTGCAGACATCAGAATGTTTTCCTTAATTATATGTCTGTATTTAAAAAAAAAATAAGTAGTGGTGCTTATCACTCTGCCTGCACATGGGGACCTGGATGAGCCGGCTGATGCAAAGCAGTTTCTAAGCAACTTGCAGAGGCTGGTGCCTAATGCAACAGCAGTGAGATTTGGAGGGAAAATAAAATAAAACCCATGGAAACTCAATGTGGAACCAATTTTGATTGGTTCATAAAGGCTGCACGGGGTCCTTTGGGAGGTTAATTCCATCTCAGACTGATGGAAAGGGGCTTGTTTCCAGAGAGCCAGGACCTCTCTGGTGTGGGACATGTGATAAGTAAAGTAGGCTTCTGGAGGATTCCAATAAGCACTTTGTCCCAGGGAGACCTGGCACTGATAACGTGTGATAACAGAAATGCTGACTTTCAGAACCAAGAGAGGCTCTGAGGAGCCAAGCATCGCAAGCAACTCCACCAGTGATGTCTAGGAGAGGAGGAGGGGTGGGGCACAGTCTCCTTGCCCCATCTGCCCTCAGCCCAGTGTGGCCTCACTGCCTGAAAGAAGGGGTAGGCATTCTCAGCTGAGAGGTTTAAAGACTCACATCCATAAAGCTGACTTTGCAGTGTACACAGAGGGTATAATTGCAAGCAGTGGTGTGATTAAAAAGTGTGTGGGCTTTCTGGTCATTTATTTGTGACAGCAGCATTTGCATACTGGCTATGACACTCACCATCCACCATCCATGTGACTTGGGGAGAGTCATTTAACCTCTCTTTGCCTAAGTTTTCTTGTTTTTTTTTTTAGATGGGAATAGTAACAGGATCGTTATGACTATTAAGTAAGATAATGTCTAGGAAGCTCCTTGTTCCTAGTGCGTGCTTAGCAAAATACCTATTTGTTCCCTTTCCCTCAAAATATGCCTATAATCCCAGGCCTGCTTTCGGAGGCCGAGGCAGGTGGATCACGACCTCAGGAGATACAGACCATCCTGGCTAACATGGTGAAACCCCATCTCTACTAAAAATACAAAAAAACTAGCCGGGCATGGTGGCAGGAGCCTGTAGTCCCAGCTACTCGGGAAGCTGAGGCAGGAGAATCGCTTGAACCCGGGAGGTGGAGGTTGCAGTGAGCCAAGATCATGCCACTGTGCTCCAGCCTGGGTGACAGAATGAGACTCCTCTCAAAAAACAAACAAACAAAATCGTTCTCTTAACTGCTCCTGATGCCCTTTCTGATGCTTTCTTTCCATCATTTAAATTCACGTATCTGTTCAACAGGCAGCCCTTAAGGGCCTGCTGCATGCCGGGTGCCTGGGGCTGTGGATACAGAAGCTCAGGGACCTAGTCTTAGCCTTGGAGGTGCTCGCATCAGCTGGAGCATCAGGGGAACACAGACAGGGCAGTCAGTCAGTCTCAGGGCAATGAAGTGATTGCATCAGCGGTGGTGGGGTTGGGGTGAGTGCTGTTTGGGAACCACAGGTGTCTCTGGTTCGAAACCTGAAGGGCAAGGGGCAGTTGTAAGCTTTGAGGCTTTGCTAAGGAGTTTGTGCTTTAAGTGCAGAAAAGTGAAGGGATTGATTTTCATTTTAGATCACTCTGGGTGCTAGGAGAAAAATAGGTGGAAGTAGCGGGTGGGGCCAGACTGGAGACAAGGCCAGAGTATAAGTGGCTGGAGCAGAAGTTATCAGTGCCCCACTCATATTCCCTCACCCAGATCACTGAAGTGCCTACTGGTCTCTCTTCCAGCCACCAGTGCTGGCATCTCTTTGCCTGACGGTCATCTCTTGTCCACTGGAATTGTCTTCACTTCCCAAAAAAACTACGTGCACACAAATTCTTTCCCAGGGTGGATTGCTGTAGGAACCCAAACCAGGAAGGTGACTAACAGAGAAACATTTTCTAAAAGTGGTTTTGATGCTGAGGAGGAGAGGGGAGGCACTGGACTCCACAGGAGAAGGAAGGCTCTGGAGTTCACAGGGGATAAAACTCACCAATATCTCCTGTTTCATTCTGTTCTGCTACAGTAACGCGAAGGACCAAGTGGCAACTGGCAGAACCCATCCCAGCCAACACACATGTCATCATTCGGCTCCTCAACACTGACTGGAGCATTGAGATTGTGGGGAGAGTCTCTGGAGCACAAGGTCCTGCCTTAAGCAGCCTCTGGCACTCTCTTCTAGCTGATGTAGCAGAAGAATCCTTAGTTCCTATATTACCAACACCTGACACCTTCCTGGTCTCAGGATCCATTCTTAAGGGCAGAAACCAAGTTCTAGAAGGAATTCAGTGTCAAAAAAAAGAATTGCCAAACTCCATCATTTGATATTCATTCATCTGCTAATTAAAACTATAGTAAAATTTATTGAGGGCTTCTTGTGTGCCAGGCATCCTGGGAGGCCTTATGGATATGATCTTGAGCAAAGCTAGAGTTTCCCTTCTCCTCCTGTCCAGATGGATTGGCAGTGGTTACTTCACTGTCTGGATTCCCTGAGCTGTACTTAGTTGTGTGTAGTGAAGGTAGACCCTGTCATCTTCTCAACATGAACATTTTCTATTCCTATGGCTCCAGGTAATGAAAAAAGACTAGTCATTCAATATCATAGAAAAATTAGCAAATGACAGTTCATGAAAAAACCAATGACTTTTAACCATATGAAAAGATTCACAAAGCACATATAATAGAAAAGTTATCAGCTCATCAAACATTGAAATGGTGATTATCACACTGTGTTGAGGAGGGTGTTGAAAAACAGGCACTATCATATATTACTGTAAGAAGTTTAAATTGTAAAATCTCTGTAAGTAAAATTTGGAAACCTCCTTCAACAATGTAAATGTATACTGCCATTTGATTCCAATTCTAGTAATTTTTCTTTAAGGTCAACTCACACTTGTGCAAAGTGACATATGTGTAAAGATGGAGTCACTGCACCATTGTTTGTCTTAGCAAAAGGGTAGAAACAAGCTAAACGGTAATCAACTTGAGAACGGTTCAGTTAATTATAATATATCCATCCAATGCACTAGTATAACAGCTGAAAAAAATAAGGAAGCTATTTATGTACTATAAGGAAAGATCTCCAAACTTTAGTGTTAAAATTTTAAGGTACACAACAATGTGTAAAACATCATGCTACCCTACACGCACACATACATACATTCACTTGTTTGCATATGCAAAAATATTTCTGAAGGATACACAGGAAATATCTGACATTGATTTCAAAGAAAGATCTGGATAGCTAGTGGATAGGTATAAGAAGGAGTTTTATTGTGTGTGTTCTAAATCCTTCTTTATCTTTTGAATTTTGAAGCATGTGAATGTATTGTCTTATTTTTGTATTAGAAATAAATAATAAAATTAAAAATAAATATATTTAATATCTTGAAAATAAATTCCCTTGGAGCTCTAGGATGTTAACTATACCGTGTCTCTAACTAGGTATTAGAGTAATAAATGCTAGCTGTTATAACAAACAATTCTGAATGTCAGTAGCTTAAGATAATATAAATAGCTCACATCACAGGTGGATACAGGTGAGGCACTCCCTTCTAAGCAATTCAATTCTGTCTGGTGGCTCTGCCATCATGGTCTTTGAAGTCATGGTTTCACCCATCTGGCAGATGAATTAAGAGATAATTTGAGAAAGCAAACTGAAGACTTACCATCCCAGCACAGAAATGACACTCATCATTTCTGTTCACATTACTTCTAGACAGAATTAGTGATATGGCCTTATCTAGATACAAGAAGGCTGGGAAATGTGGTATTCTTGTATGCCCAAGAAGAAAACAAAATGGTTCGTGAAACACATAACATGATCTCTGCCACTAAGGATAATCTTAGGCCTTTATGATGACTGCACTAAGATTCTAGAGAGTCTGTTGGTCACTGCCTTAGTTGACCCCTTACATCTATTGACTTTTGCTGCATAAAAAATTATCCAAAACCCAATGGCTTGAAATAACGATGATTTATTTAGCTCACAATTCTGTGGGTTGACAATTTGAGCTGTGCTCAGACGAGTGGTTCTTCTGGTCTTGACTCACTCGTGCCTCTGCAATCAACTCCCAGGCCAGCTGGAAACTGGCTGATACAGCATAGCCTCAGCCAAGACAGCTCATCTCTAGGCAACATGATCTCCATCATCCAGCTTGCTAAACTGGGCTGGTCAGTCATGTGATGACTGAGCAGGATTCCAAAAGGGTGTGGTGCAGAGTACCTAGCCAGTCAATCCAATGGGGTTTCTGTGTAATTAATAACATCTACCCGCTTATCACTGGGTGTTAAGATATTTAACATGGGAATGGTTTGGAAATAGTTAAAATGCTATACAAATGTAAGGAATTATCACTTTGATTATTGATAGCAGATTAGTGAGAGCAGAGGCTGCAAGGTGTCCCAAGGCCTGTGGTCAGAACAGGCACAGTGTCACTTCTATCACATACTAATGGTCAGCTTGAGCTACAGGGTTGTCTCTGACTAAAAGGGGGAGGAAATAGACTCCATAGCTTGATAAGAGGCTCTGCAAAGTCACATTGTATGGGGATGTAAATACAAGGAAGGAAATGATCATGGCCATGTTTGCCATCCACCATAGTTCTGTCAAAGGTTTTTTTGGGGAAAATTGATTCACATCCATGTCTAGGACTTCTTTGGAAAACTTTTTAGTGGAATTGATGAAAAAGACAGCCTTCTGCTACAAAAGGCCATACGGGGCCACCTCTACAATCCCTGATATCCAAACCCAGTATCTATACAGCTAAGTCATGGGTGCCAAAGTAAACCAAGGACACTGCGCAGATGACAAAAGAACAGATGACTTAGGGTCAAATTTGCTAATGATAAAAATTATCAATGCTTAGAGTCAGAATTGTCCTTAGAGATCCTTTAATCTACAGGTTTTTAGATTTGTGCTCCACGGAACAATGAGGACTCCCAGAAGGTGATTCACAGATTCACTGAGGAGAAAGGCAAACACCAAATAGCAGTGCAGAAGAACTCTGGGCCTCCCCACACTACCTCAACAACAACATCCACAATTTTTTATAACAAAGAAGCCATTGACTTTTATTGCAAACATCCTGCTACTCCTTATACAAATGTTTTCCTAGAATTGCACTGTGGTTATTTGGATTTATTCAACTTTGACCACCCAGTATCTTTAGGGGAACCAATATCTGTTGAGTGCCTACTAAACACCAAGCACTGTGTTAGGTCTTTCAGCATAGAATCTGATTCTCTCTGCCAAAAAGCTTAAGGGCCTTTCAGATTTCTTCTCCATGTCTGCCTTTATCCTGGACACCTACTTGCCAATGCCCAAGTTCCAAGTCTCCATCATAACCGCATTCAAGGTCCTTTCCTGCTATAGTGAACATCAACATGCCTTATAAAGCCAAGCACCATCTGGTTTTACACTGTCCCAGTCAGCTCTAGCCCACCCACCTAGGTCTCCAAGACCCCTCCAGGTTTGAGTACGAGGAGTCCTCCAGTAAGTTCCCAATGTTCCCACTTTCCAAGTACAACCATAGCATTTCTTGGCTAACAACTTCTCCAGGCCAACTTGATATTAACAACATACACTCCAGTCAGAAAGCAGGGCTATTTCTCTTCAAGCCTGGTCCTCTTTGACTTATATGACATCATCTTGTTTCTGCAAAGTCTATTTCTAGATGAGAAATTATAAAAAGGTTAATAGGAAATGACTTAAATCTTTATTTTGAAACAAAAATCTCACAATGCAACATGAGGTCAGTTGCTACAAGACAAATTTGTACCATCTGATCATCTAAAATTCTATTCTTGGTTCTGCTATCAACCCAGCTAGAAGTATTTATTGAGACACTTTGTCTCCTTGAGCCTTTTATTCCTCCTCTCCTTGTTCTGTTCCCAATGGGAGTGGGCTACCAGCTGCCCACCACCTCTCTAGACTTCTAACTCCCAGGCCGGCTAGGTAGAAGTGCTGTTGAACAAGAATGCTAAGCATTAATAGTAATCTCTTCATCCCAAGAGAATGTTGCGACTGCTTGGCTAATTCTAAGGTAACTGACTGACACTTGTTATCTGTTGGGGCTCCTTAAAGACCAGAAGTTAGGACCCAGTTCTAATTAGCTGGCAGTGGGGCAGAGTATCTAGCCAGTTAATCCAATGGAGTTTCTGGTACATTAATACCATCTACCCCCTTATCACTGGATGTTAAGATATTTAATGTGAAAAAGATATTTAATGTGAGAATGATTTGGAAATAGTTAAAATGCTATACGAATGTAAGGAATTATCACTTTGATTATTATGACACCCCATCTCATTTTTCCCCTATTTCAGAATGCAAGAATACTCTCTAGTTGAGTCTAAATTAGAAGAAGCAGTAAGAGTTTACACCAGTCCCTCCAAGTAGTCTTCTGGTGGCCAAAAACCAGAGCAGGCAGCACTACAGATGAGCCCAACCTGACAGGACTTTTTCTTAACCACAGACAAAGAGGAGCTGATGGTGTGAAGCTGAGAAAACACTGCCTCATGAAGATTACTCCAGCTTGTATGTGACATCCAAGGGCAAAGCTGTACTCTTCAGCCAGGAAATCAAAAATATGTTGCATACTGTGGCCAGAGATGTTTCAAAGTACTGGGGAGTCAAAGACATGAGCATAAAAAGAAAAATGCCATTGCATCCCTGGCAGCTAGCACAGCACTCAGTACATAGCATGCACCATCCTAGATACACAGAAAACATTGGCTGGCTGGCTGGATGGATGGATGGATGGATGAATGGACGGATGGATGGGAGAAGAATGAAAGAACAAGCATAAAGATACCCCCAAAGGCTGGGCACTGTGGCTCACGCCTATAATCCCAGCACTTTGGGAGGCCAAGGCAGGCAGATCGCTTAAGGCCTGGAGTTCAAGACCAGTCTGGCCAACATGAAGAAACCCTGTCTCTACAAAAAAAAAAAAAAAAATTAGCCAGGCACGGTGGTGCATGCCTATAATCCCAGCTACGTGGGCAACTGAGGCACAAGAATTTCTTGAGCCCAGTAGTGGAGGCTGCAGTGAGCTGAGATTACACCACTATACCCCAGCCTGGGCAATACAACGAGCCTCTATTTCAAAAAAAAAAAAAAAAAAAAAAAAAAAAAAACTCCCCAAATGTGCCTCTATTTTAGGAAGAGATGTCTCCCCACCGAAGTGATTAGAAACTGCCATTTCAACAAGTACCAAGGCAAACTTTGCTTACGAACAGCTGTTTATGACCCAACATTAGCCACAATGCCATGCTAGCTTAAAGCATGACTTTCTACAAAATTTTTAAAAGGCTTCCCTCTCAGAGGATGTTTAGGAAAGGGCACCTGCTCTGATCTGAAACTGCCAGGGCCTACAGCTGGATTCCAGTGCCTACTCACTTCTTCTGCCATGTAACTTTGTACAATGTACAAAATGAACAACTGGGTGAAGTGGTTTTGCTTAGTTATATGATGAAGCAAATGCTAATACTATGGGAGAAGGCAGAATGTGGCTCTCTGGCTTGCCAGGCCCCCTTCTCTGGCCTCCTCCTGGGCTGGTGGAGCAGGGCGTGTCAGCCACTGGCCTTCGGTGACCACACACAGAGATGTTCTGGCACAGGACCAGGTTGAGCTCATAAAGCCAGAGGAAACAAATCCTGTGTAATCTTCACCCAGATGAAGATCAACAGCACTCCCATTACCCCCAGAGACTTCTCTAATGACCCATTCATCAACACACCCTCCACACCTCCATCTTCCTTGGCAGACACTATTCTGACCTCTGTCGCTATATATCAGCTTTGTCTTTTCTTTCATTGCATAAAAATAGAATCATACAGTAGGTTCTCTTTTGTGTCTGGATTCTTTAACTCAACACAGTGTGCTTGAAATTAATCCATGTTATTGCGAATAGCAATAGTTCATTCCTTTTGGTGCTGAGGAAGATATTCAAATGGCCAGGTCACATGTAATAAAATGCTCAAAGTTGTTAGCCATCAGGGAAATACAAATTAAAACCACAATGAATTACATCTGCATACCCACAAGAATAGCTAAAACCAAAGATGCAATACCAAGCATTGATGAGGATGTAGTGAACTGTAACCCTTGGACGCCACTTGTGGGCATGTAAACTGGTAAAAAACCATTATGGAAAACTGGTGATCAATTTCTAATAAGCATTCACCTATTATATGACCTGGCAAAAAATGAAAACACAAATGCACAAAAAGACCTGTACAATAATGTTCATAGTAACTTTATTTATAAAAGTCCCTAAGTGTAAATAGCTGAAATGTCTATCAATAAAAGAATGAATAGATAAATTGTATATCCAAATAATGGACAAGTCATTCTCACCCTCTATGGTGCTTCAGTTTATGGAAAAAATAATGTGTATGCCACACAGAGGGTTATTAGATGAATAATGTGGAAAGTGGCTTACAAATACAAGATTTATATTTGGTTTTGTAGCTTTATAAATCAGAAAAAGACAAAGAAAAGGTAGGCTTGAAAAAAAAAAAAAAGACACAAATCAATGTGTTGTAGGCTGCCAACTTCTAAGCCTGCTCAAATTTCTCATCTTCCTGGATCCAGCTGCCATTTCTCTGACCTATTGGAAGCAAGAAATAGTTAGGGACAGCAAGTAAAACCATTTTTCCTCCTCCCAATAAAACATGGTAACCAAGAAGGTTTCCTTTAGAATTTTAACTTAAAAACAAACAAACAAACAAACAAACAAAAAAACAGCCAAATGGTGGGTGCAGTGGCTCATGCCTGTAATCCTAGCACTTTAGGAGACCAAGGCGGGCAGATCACTTGAGGTCAGGAGTTTGAAACCAGCTTGGCCATCATGGTGAAACCTGTCTCTACTAAAAATACAAAAATTAGCGGGGCGCCTCTAATCCCAGCTACTCTAGAGGCTGAGACAGGAGAATTGCTTGAACCTGGGAGGCGGAGCTTGCAATGAGCCGAGATTGTGCCGCTGCACTCCAACCTGGGCGACAGAGTGAGACTCCATCTCAAAAAAAAAAAAAAAAGCCAAATTTCCCATACACGTTTAATCTGCTCAACTCAGAAATCTTAAAGTATCTATTTCTGCATCCTTCCCATAATCTTTATTCTGTTTCAATCAGCTAGCCACCTCCAAACTCTGGAAACAAGCAGGGAAAGAATCACATATACCCATACACACACACACACACACAACACATACACACACACACACAAACATGCACATAAACATAGACATGCACATATGTTGCCTTCTCTACCTAGGAATATATGGAAGTCCACATATTTTCTATAGCTCTGCACAATAAGCATAAAGTGATGTGTCCCTTGATAGCAAACATGCTAGAACATATACATCCAAGGGAGCCTTCCCAAAGTGAGGAACTTCTAGTCTTATTCTGATGATGCTGTTCTTGCTAAAAACAAAAAACAAAAAACAAACAATAAAAAAACCTTTTTGGGGTTTTTGGAAGCCATGTTACATGAAAAACTGTGAGAAGAACAGAGGCTATAGAACCTGGAGGAGAAAAGCCACAAAGGCTTACAGATGGGGAAACTAAGGTTGAGTTACTTGTCCAAGATGACACAGCCAGTAAGGGCTGGTGGCTCAATTTGAGCTCAGGCAGTCTGCTGTTGATCTGCTTTACCCTCGACCCTCCTAGAATAGAATGGGACAGACAAATAATGAGAAATGATAATGCAACCCCGGTGCTCTGGTAGAAGAGTACTGGAGTATAGTGGATGCTCTGAGGAAAGAGTGCTCCGTGGGGGTTAGGGAGTGATAGGTGTCAGGAAGGACTTCATGGAAGAGCTGCTGTTCACAAAGAAGGGACTTTAGAAGCTGATTTAGCTCTTTTAAGATCCACCAGCTTTTATTTTCATACCTTCTTTCAAGGTAGGTTCAGAAAATTCCAGGTGGGATTTGTAACGTTCTGTTCCTCAGTCACTATCAATACCCTTGACCTGGTACTTCTCTTGTAGTGGGTGGAGATCTTGGGAGCAGCGTTGGCAAATGGGACCTCTACAGGGAAATAAGTAAGCTGTCAATGTCTTCTTCCCTCTGCTTCCCAGACTCCTGAAATCCATAGTCAGATGTTTCCTTAACAAATGGTGGTCCAAGAAGAGAGAGAGACAGACAGAGAGCGAGCGAGAGAGAGAGAATGAATGTGTGCGTATGTGTTTTTTTGTGTGTGTATGTGTTTTTGTGTGTGTGATGGAAAGGAAACAGGGAGGGAGACCGAGGCCTGGAAGCCCATCTCTCCCCCAGCCTCAGAGCATCCAGCTCGTGCACACAGGACCAAAGCTGCCTGGTCCTTTGATCGGGACCCCACGCTGTGCCTTGTTCAGGGAATTTTTTAATTCTCTTTCATTTTATTGAGTGGCTTCCCTCGCCACCTCCCATCCCTGAGTCAGGTCTTAGGATTATTGGGTCCTTCTCTTCATTGATTTGTTTTTCTGACCTTTGTAGTAGATACAGAAATATATGGATGGAACAAGAAAAGAAGGAAGAAAGGGAACGGGGAGGGAGCCTGAGCAGCCTTCCTCTGGAAGGGAGGGTGTATGGTGAGGGACTTGGCTATGGCCACATTTTACAGGGAAAAAAAAAGCAAGTGGGATGGCAGCGGCTTGGTGCCCAATAACGGAAGCCAGGCTGGGAAGGAAAGGTTCCTGGCCTGAAGGAGCTGGCCACTGATGAACAGGGTAAGGCCACCACCCTGTGTCTTCCCAGAGGATGGCGCTATGGACCTCTGTGCCTCTATGCATTTGCTTTCTGTTGAAAAGACTCCTACATCAGCTATGTTTTTCATTCTTTCAGTGAATACCTACAGCACCCATTCCATGCTACGCTCTGCACTAGGAGCCAAGAATGCATGAGCTCTTTTCTTTCCCTCTCTCTGAGCCTATTGTATTAAACCTCATGTCTTCAAGCCAACCACACCTGTGCAACCTCCATTGTCATCACTGAGAAGAGGCAGGAAATGAACATTCGTGGAGTACCCACTGCCCAGCACTGTGAAAGCATTTTATTTGTATTACAGGGTACTTGGCAAGACTTTTTTCTGTTGCTCCAAAAACAGAAGCTGGGATGCACACCTGAGTCACCAACTGGAAAGTAGTGCTGGATGAGAAATGATTCCTCCCGAGAGGTGTGAGTGCTGTTCCCATTTAGAAGACAATGGAAAGGGCTCTGTATCAGTGGTAAAGATCTGAGATTACTGCAAGATGGGAATGCCCTGTGTCCTGTGTCCACCCTAGCAGGGCATACTCCTGAAGAGGAGGTACATGGCAGAGAAAAGCCCAGAACAACCTGCACCTCAGCATTTTGGTGAGGCTGATGATGTGATTCCCCCAAAAGTCAAGCAACATCACCTAAAGTGGCTGCACTTGACTTATCTTGCCTCTACTCCACCCAACAGGGCTGCCCACCAGTCAAAGGGAGGCAGTAGTGAAAGCTGAGTGGAAGTTGAAGAGGTGAATATCCATCAGGGAATTGACACAGGGCCATTCAGAAAATCTAGACACGCACACTGCAAGGAGGTCTAGCCTTTGAACTCCTGCCACAGAGGGCATCAACAACCAGTCATTGCTGGCCCAAGAACCACCACCATCCAACAAAGGGAACATCAGAGATGGGCACAGTTATATAAAGAGATGCTTGTCCTTTTCCTCTTCCTTCTACCAGAAAACCACCCTGGAGGGACCAAGCCCTAAAGAAGGAGTAGGTACTCCAAGCTTGCCTGGGAGGAGGGAAGTGATGTAGATGAAATTTCAACTGAGTTTGCAAGTTAGCAAGTCCCGTGAGCAACCCATCCCATATCCCCTCACCCTTACTTTTCGGTACACCCAGGCCTGACTTCCAACTGCCGACATCTGGATCTCTTTGCCTGCAGGCTTCTTCTGGCCACTGAAGCCCTCTGTGCCCACAGGGAACTGCTGGAGAATTAATAGACCCTAGAAACAGCTCTCATCCATTGATAGATGGGTATTGGTGTATAAATACCCCAGCTCCTCTACTTAGGTAGGATAACTCTGAGTCTCTTGTTCTATGCTACATTCATTATTTTTTGGTGCAAAACAATTTACGCCCAAAATATGGCAGCTTAATATAACAATAACTTCACTATTTTACACTTTCCTTGGGTCAGAAATTAAGGAGCAACTTAATTTGGTGGTTCTGGGTCCAGATTGCTCATGAGATTGTAGTCAAGATGTCTTCTGGGGCTGCAGCCAACCAAAGACTTGACGGCACTGAACGATCTGCTTCCAAGATGGCTTATTCACGTATCTGGCAAGTTGGTGCTGGCTGTTGGCAAGAGGCCTCAGCTCATGACCACATGGACCTCTCCATAGGACATTTTGAGTCTCCTCATGATCTGTGACTGGCTTCCCCCAGGGCTGGTAATCCAAGAGAAAGAGAGATCGAAGTGGGAAGAGCAATGTCTTTTATGACCTAGCCTCAAAAGTCAGATACTGCATTGATTATCTATTGCTACAAAACAAATTACCCCAAGACTTGGCAGCTTTAAAAAATGATTAACTCATAATTTCTAGGGGTCAGGAAATCTGGAGACAGCTTATCTAGGTGCCTCTGATTCAAGGTTTCTCTTGAGGCTGCAGGCTCTCTCTCAAGGTGCTGGCTGAGGCTGCAGGCATCTCAAGGCTCAACTAAGGGAGGATCTACTTCTAGGCTCACTCCCCTGGCTGTTGGCAGCCTCACTTCCTCCACCACATGGGTCTCTCCATAGGGCAGTTCACAAAACGGTGGCTGGTTTTTCCTCGGATCCAGTGAGGAAAAGACCAAGAGAGCACAAACAAGAAGAAAACCAGGGTCTTTCTGTAACCTAATCTCACAATTGACATTTATTACCTTGACCATATTCTATCGGCTAGAAGTGACTCGCTTATTATTGGTTATAAGTGGCCCATGTTCTTGGGGAAGGGATTATACAAGGGTATGACTACCAGGAGATAGGGATAACTGGGGCCATCTCAAGGACTGCTGACCACAGACAGCATGTTCTATTGGCCAAACAAGGCACACACATGGTTCGTGTGGGAGGGGATTAAACAAGGGTATGAATACAGTAGGCGAGGATTGCTGGGGCCAACTTGAAGGCTGGTTCCCACAAAACTATTTCCCAGTGTTTCCCAGGGAAATTAAGCAACTGTTGATAATGCACCCTTTAATGTCCCCCTTTCCTTTCCAGGTTCACTTCTCTTCTTCCCTGGTCTTTCCTGGCATCATCTCCCAAATAAACCACTTGCATATGAGCCCTTGTCTCAAGGTCTACCTCTAGGAGAACATAGAGTAAAACTTTAAACTAGACTTATATAAAAATGTGTGGAACTAATACACCAAATTCATTTCTTACCCTGGAACACAGCAAAAATTTGAAAGCCATTGTAGTAAGCGCTGCATAATTTCAGAGCAAGAGTGGTTTTACTTAATCTGATGAAATCTAGGAAGACTAGGTCTTAAAGGAGATTTGGAAATAGGAAAAATCAGAGTACATTGTATATCCACAAACAACAATGTTCAAAACTGGGGCTGTTAGTTCTTGAGTGAATTCTCAACTCGTCTTTTGGAATTACATCTTTATTTCTACCTGCTCATCACTCTATTCAAATTAGTAAGGGCCTTGTGTCAAGATGCCCGTACTCTGCCTGAGCTCCAGCCAAGCCTTATGCCCAGCCAGTACTCTATAGTTTCATGAGGTCAAATTGCTCTGTGACAAAATGGTAGAGATGAAATGCAAAAACGTTCATAGCACTGGGGAGGGGTTTGGGATCCCAGGAGTAGGCCAAGTTGCTTGAAACAATGGCATATTTTTCAAAACTCACTTTGAAACTCACTTTAGATAGGCAGGTACCAAATGGACTCTTGACCTCTAAGCACCAAAAAAATGCCGAGGAGAAATCAATGCCTTCCAATGCACTCAATCTTGGGTCTATCAAGGGCTGGCTAGAGAAGCTTAAATCCAAATTAATTACTCAGAAATCTCTAGTTCAGAAGTTGGGCCACAGACATGCTCATCAGCATGCAACGGCAGTGCCATCCCCACAGCAAGAAGAAAAGAAACCAGGATAATGAGGACACTAGATAAAAGGGAGACCATGGAGGAGGATCTTAATTGTATCTTAATTGAGTCACACACTTTCTCCTTCATGCAGATCCTGTCCCTGAAGTCAAAAAGAGAGTGGCTTCTCTGCTGGGGCGCTTCCTGTGCCCCAGCCATGGCTGGCATCCAAGGTCAATATACTGTGGCAATCTACTAAAAAACAAATGTATCAGTTAATTGTTGCTGCAATAATGCTATATAACAAATCACCCCAAACCTTAGTAACAATCATGCATTTTCATTTATGCATCCACAGATCTGTGGGCCTATGTGTCTAGGGGTCAGCAGGAGGTTGGCTGATGAGACTGGGTTTGGCTGAGTGGCTCTGCCTCAAACTGTGAGTGTAGCTGGTCTTGGCTCTCATTGAGGTTTGGCTCATATCTACTCCACAAGTATCCACTCCCAGGACCAGACTAAGGGGAATGTTGTTACCCAGGGGTGCCTCTCTGAGGCACAGAGAAAAAGCAGGAACATCCAAGGCCTCTTAAGGCCTAGGCTTGGAAGTGACACATCCTCGCTTCTGCCCATGTATCATTGGTCAAAGTCAAGGGGTGGGGAACTACCCACAAAGAGGCTATGTCAAGGGTGAGGAGGTAGAATAGGGTAAAGGATTTGGGGCCAATAATCCCTTGGACCAAAGCCTGAGTCTCACCTCCCAACCCAAACAGAAGCCATGCCTATAGGGACTCCGGAGTTCCAATCTATTTGTTAGATTTCTGATAAGTGGGCAGGACGAAGGTGAGAATGACACCTTGTGACCTCATCTGGCCACCACAAAAACTGTAGGACAGTGATGGAGCACACTGCCCACTTCCTCTACACTGCAGAACCAGTCAATGCGGACCATGGCACTCAGGAGCCTCCTGCATGGTCAGACTCAGTTATTACTGTTATGTGAAGAGGTGTGGCATTTCCTCTGACGTTAGAAGGCGAGGGTAATTGCAGGTTATGTGGTCATTCCCAGGGAAAGAAGAACAGGGCCTTTCTTCAAAGACATGTGTGCTACTCTACAATTAGGGAGGTTCCACAGCCATCAGTTTCTTCTACATTAGCTTTGGCCTATGTGGTTGACAGGCAAGGTGACTTTTGAAAAGGAAAAAATTCCCATTTCTTCTCTAAAAGTGAAGTAAAAAATAATAATAATAATAAGCCTTTTAACTTGGGTCTATCAAAAAAAAACAAAAACAAAAACAAAAACAACAACAACAAAAAAGCTATCCCAGACTGCTCCAACCTGCATAGCTTAGAGTCAGTCATGACAAAGGTACTTTCCTAGGCCCTATAAACCACTGGCTGGGTGTGCACAGGGTCACAGCACACAGACTGCAGCATCCCCTGCACTACGTGACCCACCCAGGGAGCAAGTGGAGGCTGAGTTCCAGACTGTACTCTGCTTGCCAAGCCAAACACCCAGACTAGGGACTGTGTTATTCTAAAGGAAGGGGCACCTTTGATAATTAACCTGCCACAAAAGACATCTTTTGGTAATTCACAGAAAGATGATTCACCACCAAGGGTAATTTATCTCTTTAACAGTCAGATGTTTGGCTGTCCCAGGCTGCCCAGAGGCTGCCCAGACCATGGGGCCTGGCATAGTGTGGTAAGTTGGATTACCTTTCCAACTCTTCCCTGACCCCATCACGTCCTTTGCCACATGACTCTGCAGTGCCCCATGTGACTCTGCAGTGTCTAAAAGAAGCAGAGTGTACGTCTTCACACCACTGACAATGCATTAGCTGTGTGACTTGCTTTGCCCAGTGGAATGTCAGTGGATATGAAGTGAGCAGGGGCTTTATTTTTTTTATTTCAATAGGTTTTTGGGGAACAGGTGACGTTTGGTTACATTAATAAGTTCTTTAGTGGTGATTTCTGAGATTTTGGTGCACCCATCACCCAAACAGTGTGTACACTACACCCAATGTGTAGCTTTTTATCCCTCACACCCCTCTCACCCTTTCCTCCAAGTCCCCAAAATCCATTGTATCATACTTATGCCTTTGCATCCTCATAGTTTAGCTCCCACTTATGAGTGAGAATATATGATGTTTGGTTTTCCATTCCTGAGTTACTTCACTTAGAATAATGGTCTCCAATTCCATCCAGGTTGCTGCAAATATCATTATTTCATTCCTTTTTATGGCTGAGTAGTATTACATGGTATACATATATACCACAATTTCTTTATCCACTGATTGATTGATGGACATTTGGGCTGGTTCCATATTTTTGCAATTGCGAATTGTGCTGCTATAAACATGCATGTGCAAGTATCTTTTTTGTATAATGATTTCTTTTCTCCTGGGTAGATACCCTGGAGTGAGATTGCTGGATTAAATGGTAGTTCTACTTTTAGTTCTTTAAGGAATCTCCACACTGTTTTCCATAGTGGTTGTAGTAGTTTACATTCCCACCAACAGTGTAAAAGTGTTCCCTTTTCACCACATCCACGCCACCATCTATTATTTTTTTATTATGACCATTCTTGCAGGAGTGAGGTGGTATCACATTGTGGTTTTGATTTACATTTCCCTGATCATTAGTGATGTTGAGCATTTTTTCGTATGTTTATTGGCCATTTGTTTATCTTCTTTTGAGAATTGTCTATTCATGTCAAGGTTTGCTCTTGCTGATTTGTTTGAGTTCCTTGTAGATTCTGGATATTAGTCCTTTGTCAGATATATATTGCAAAGATTTTCTCCCACTCTGTGGGTTGTCTGTTGACTCAGCTAATTGTCTCTTTTGCTGTGCAGAAGCTTTCTAGTTTGATTAAGTTCCATCTATTTATCTTCATTTTTGCTTTTGGGTTCTTGGTCATGAAGTCTTTGCCTAAGCCAATGTCTAGAAGTGTTTTTCCAATGTTATCTTCTAGAATTTGTATGGTTTCAGGTCTTAGATTTAAGGTTTTTATCCATCTTGAGTTGATTTTTGTATAAGGCGAGAGATGAGGATCCAGTTTCACTCTTCTACATATGGCTTGCCAATTATCCCAGCACCATTTGTTGAACAGGGTGTCCTTTCCCCACTTTATGCTTTTGTTTGCTTGGTCAAAGATCAGTCAGCTGTAAGCATTTGGCTTTATTTCTGGATTCCGTATTCTGTTCCATTGGTCTATGTGCCTATTTCTGTACCAGTACCATGCTGTTTTGGTGACTATGGCCTTGTAGTATAGTTTGAAATCAGATAATGTGATGTTTCCAGCTTTGTACTTTTTGCTTCGTCTTGCTTTGGCTATGTGGGCTCTTTTTTGGTTCCATATGCATTTTATAATTGTTTTTTCTAACCCTGCAAAGAATTATGGTGGTATTTAGATGGGAATTGCATTGAATTTGTAGACTGCTTTCAGCAGTCTGTTCATTTTCACAATATTGATGCTACCCATCCTTGCACATGGGATGTGTTTCCATTTGTTTGTGTTATCCATGATTTCCTTCAGCAATGTTTTGTAGTTTTCATTGTAGAGTTATTTTACCTACTTGGTTAGGTATATCCTAAGTCTTTTATTTATTTATTTATTTACAGGGATTGTAAAGGGGGTTGAGTTCTTGATTTGATTCTCAGTTTGATCACTGTTGGCATATAGCAGAGCTACTGATTTGTGTACATTAATTTTGTATCCTGAAACTTTGCAGAATTGATTAATCAGTTCTAGGAGCTTTTAGGAAGAGTCTTCAGGGTTTTTTAGGTATATGATCATATCATCAGCCAACAGCAATAACTTGACTTCCTCTTTAAGGATTTGGATGCCCTTTATTTCTTTCTTTTGTCTGATTGCTCTGGCTAGGACTTCCAGTACTATGTTGAATAGAAGTGGTGAAAGTGGGCATCATTGTTTTGGTTCCACTTCTCAGAGATAATGCTTTTAACTTTTCCCTGTTCAGTATAGTGTTGGCTGTGGGTTTGTCATAGATGGCTTTTATCATCTTGAGGTATGTCCCTTCTAAGCCAATTTTGCTGAGGGTTTTAATCATAAAAGGATGCTGGATTTTGTCAAATGCATTTTCTGTGTCCATTGAGATGATCATTTGATTTTTGTTTTTAATTCTGTTTATGTGGTGTATCACATTTATTGATTTGCCACTGTGGTTTGTTTGTTTGTTTGTTTGTTTGTTTTGTTTTTGACAGAGTCTCACTCTGTAGCCCAGGCTGGAATGCAATGGTGCGATCTCGGCTGACTGCAATTTCCGCCTCTCAGGTTCAAGCAATTCTCCTGCCTCAGCCTCCTGAGTAGCTGGGATTACAGGTGCCCACCACCATGCCCAGCTAATTTTTTGTATTTTTAGTAGAGATGGGGTTTCAATATGTTGGCCAGGCTGGTCTCGAACTCCTGACCTCAGGTAATCCACCCACCTCGGCCTCCCAAAGGGCTGGGATTACAGGCATGAGCCACCGTGCCTGACCTGATTTGCATATGGTAAACCATCCCTGCATCCCTGGTATGAAACCCATTTGATCATGGTGGGTTATCTTTTTGATATGCTGTTGGATTCATTTAGCTAGTGTTTTGTTAAGGATTTTTACATCTATGTTTATCAGGAATATTGGTCTGTAGTTTTCTTTTTTTGTTATGTCTTTTCCTGGTTTTGTTATTAGGGTGTTGCTGGCTTCATAGAATGATTTAGGGAGGATTCCCTCTTTCTCTATCTTGTGGAATAGTGTCAATAGGATTGGTACCAATTCTTTGAATGTCAGATAAAATTCAGCTGTGAATCTGTCTGGTCCTGGACTTTTTTTGTTGGCAATATTTTTTATTACCATTTCAAGTTTTTACTTTTTCCTGGTTTAAACTAGGAGGGTTGTATATTTCCAGGAATTTATCCATCTCCTCCATGTTTTCTAGTTTATGCATGTAAAGGTGTTCATGGTAGCCTTGAATAATCTTTTGTATTTCTGTGGTATTAGTTGTAATATCTCCTGTTTCTTTTCTAATCGAGCTTATTTGGATCTTCTCTCTTCCTTTCTTGCTTAATCTTGCTAATGGTCTACCAATTTTGTTTATCTTTTCACAGAACCAGCTTTGTGATTTATTTATCTTTTGTATTTTTTTGTTTTAATTTCATTTAGTTCTGCTCTGATCTTCATTATTTCTTTTCTTCTGCTGGGCTTGGGTTTGGTTTGTTCTCATTTCTCTAGTTCCTTGAGGTGTGACCTTAGATTGTCCACTTGAGCTCTTTCAGACTTTTTGATATAGGCATTTAAGGCTATGAACTTTCCTGTTAGCACTGCCTTTGCTGTATCCCAGAGGTTTTGATAGGTTGTGTCACTATCATCATTCAGTTCAAAGAAATTTTTAAATTTCCATCTTGATTTCATTGTTGACCCAAAGATCATTCAGAAGCGGATTATTTAATTTCCATGTATTTGCATGGTTTTCAGGGTTCCTTTAGGTGGGGTTGATTTCCAGTTTTATCCCACTGTGGTCTGGGAGAGTACTTGATATAATTTCAATTTTCTTAAATTTATTGAAACCTGTTTTGTGGCCTGTTATATGGTCTATCTTGGAGAATGTTCCATGTGCTGATGAATAGAACATATATTCTGCAGTTGTTGGGTAGAATGTTCTGTAAATATCTGTTAAGTCCATTTGTTCTAGGGTAGTGTTTAAATTCATTGTTTCTTTGTTGACTTTCTTTCTTGATGACATGTCAAGTGCTGTCAGTAGAGTATTGAAGTCTCCCACTATTATTGTGTTGCCATCTATCTCATTTCTTAGGCCTAGTAGTAATCGTTTTATAAATTTGGGAGCTCCAGTGTTAAATACATATATATTTAGGATTGTGATATTTTCCTGTTGGGCAAGTCCTTTTATCATTATATAATGTCCCTCTTTGTCTTCTTTAACTGCTCTTGCTTTAAAGTTTGTTTTGTCCGATATAAAAATAACTACACCTGCTCACTTTTGGTGTCTATTTGCATGGAATATCTTTTTCCACTCCTTTACCTTAAGTTTATGTGAGTCCTTATGTGTTAGGTGAGTCTCTTGAAGACAGCAGATACTTGGTTGGTGAATTCTTATCCATTCTGACATTCTGTACCTTTTAAGTGGAGCATTTAGGCCACTTACATTCAATGTTAGTATTGAGATGTGTGGTACTATCCCATTTATCATGCTATTAGTTGCCTGAATGCCTTGGGTTTTTTTTTTAATTATGTTTTTGTTTTACAGGTCCTGTGAGATTTATGCTTTAAGGAGGTTTTATTTTGGTGTATTTAGAGAATTAGTTTCAAGATTTAGAGGCTCTTTTAGTAGTTCTTGTAGTGCTGGCTTGGTAGTGGCAAACCCTCTCAGCATTTGTTTGTCTGAAAAAGACTGTATCTTCCCTTTATTTATGAAACTTAGTTTCACTAGAAACTAAATTCTCGACTGATAATTATTTTGTTTAAGGAGGCTAAAGATATGGCCCCAATCCCTTCTAGCTTGTAGGGTTTCTGCTGATAAATCTTCTGTTAATCTGATAGATTTTCCTTTATAGGTTACCTGGTGCTTTTGCCTCACAGCTCTTAAGATTCTTTCCTTCGTCTTCACTTTAGAAGCGTGATGACTACGTGCCTAGGTGATAAACTTTTTGCAATAAGTTTCCCAGATGTTCTTTGAGCTTCTTGTATTTGGATGTCTAGATCTCTAGCAAAGCCAGGGAAGTCTTCCTCAATTATTCCCTCAAATATGTTTTCCAAACTTTTAGATTTTTCTTCTTCCTCAAGAACACCATTATTCTTAGGTTTGGTCATTTAACATAATTCCAAACTTCTTGGAGGCTTTGTTCTTTTATTTTTATTCCTTTTTTTCTTTGTCTTTGTTGGATTGAGTTAATTCAAAAGCCTTGTCTTTAAGCTCTGAAGTTCCTTCTTCTACTTGTTTTATTCTATTGCTGAGACTTTCCAGTGTATTTGGCATTTCTCTAAGTGTGTCTTTCATTTCCAGAAGCTGTGATTGTTTTTTATTTATGCTATTTCACTGAAGATTTTTCCCTTCATATCTTGTATCTTTTTTTATTTCATTAAGTTGGACTTCACCTTTCTCTTGTGCCTCCTTGATCAGCTATATAATTAACCTTCCTGAATTATTTTTCTGGCAATTCAGAGAATTCTTCTTGGTTTGGATCCATTGCTGGTGAGCTAGTATAATCTTTTGGGGGTGTTAAAGAACTTTGTTTTGTCATATTACCAGAATTTTTCTGGTAGTGTCTCTTTTAGGTAGACTAGGTCAGAGGGAAGATCTGGTACACAAGGGTTGCTGTTAAGATTCTTTTGTCCCATGAGGTTTTCCCTTGATAAGGTGTTCTCCCTCTTCCCCTAGGGATGTGGCTTCCTGAGAGCTGAACTGCAGTGATTGTTATTTCTCTTCTGGATCTAGATATTCAGAGGAGCTACAGGGTTCTGGGCTGGTACTGGGGAGTGTCTGTGCAGAGTCCTGTGATGTGAACCATCTTCAGGTCTCTCAGCTGTGGATACCAGCACCTGGTCCATTGGAGGTAACAGGGGAGTGAAGTGGACTCTGTGAGGGTCCTTCATTGTAGTTTTGTTTATTGCACTAGTTTTGTGTTGGTTGGCCTCCATTTAGGAAGTGGTGCTTTCAGGAGAGCATGAGCTGCAGTAGTATAGGAAGGATCAGGCAGTGGGCAGAGCCATAGAGCTCCCAAGAGATTATGTCCCTTGTCTTTGGCTACCAGAGCAGGTAGAAAAAGTCTGTCAGATGGGGGCAGGGTTAGGCATGTCTGAACTCAGACACTCCTTGGGTGGGGTTTGCTGCAGCTGCTGTGGGAGATGGGGGTGTGGTTCACAGGCCAATGGAGTTATATTCCCAGAGGATTATGGCTGCCTCTGCTGTGTCATGCAGGTTGCCAGGGAAGTGGGGGGGAACAGCAGTTACAGGCCTCACCCAGCTCCCACACAGCCCAAAAGGCTGGTCTTACTCCCACCACGTCCCCCCAACAGCACTGAGTTTATTTCCCGGCAGCAGATAATCAGGGCTGAGAACTTGCCTTAGGCTACCAGCCTCCCAGCTGAGAAAGCAAACAGGGCTTTCAGGTTTTACACTTCCACTCCTGCTGCAGCTTCTATGTTGTGTCTACACTCCTGGTTCACCATGTCCCTGAGATTCTGTCCAGAAAACTTTGCGTTGCATTGAAATTGTTACAAAGTTCAGCTGGAAGTTTTCTTCTCCTTGTGGTCTTTTCCCAGTTCCTCTGGCAGCCTTCCCCAAGGATCGCGGTGAGATAAAGTCAGAAATGGCTTTCCTGGGGAGCAAGAGTGCCCACAGGGATCTTCTTGTTGCTTCTTCTACCCCTACATTTCACTCAGCTTTCTAAATTTGTCTCAGCTCCAGGTAAGTTCAAATCCTTATCCCATGATCTGGACCTTCAGGTACCCCATTGAGTGTGTGTGCTCAGGGACGGGTGATCCCCCTTTCACACTTTCACACTTTGAGCACTCACAGTTTTTCAGCTGTCTCCTGGGGCCTGCAGCAGCAATCTGCTTTCTTCAAAGGGTCTATGGATTCTCCGGCTTTCCTGTATGTTCCTGCAGTAGTTCTTGGAGCAAAAGTTCTTGATGTGAGTCTCCACACGCTGCTCTGTCAATCCAAGTGGAAGCTGCAAGTTAGTCCTGCCTCCTATCTGCCTATCTGTCGTTTTCTTTGTATGACTATGAAGTGAGCAGGGACTTTAAATGTGCTTGCTTTGCCTGGCTTGGCTTCTTGAGCCTCTGCCATCTGACATGAGAAGGAGATGTTTCCAGGAGCCTCTAGTATCAGAAGGAGGAGCCCCCAGCAACCCACAGTCAGAAACAGGGACACATTCACCGTCCCACAGAGCAATAAGCAAAAACAATCAATGTGTGCTGTTTCTTATGCTGTATCATTGTCATTAAAACTGGCTGGTATACATTGTGATTGACAGAGTGAGATAAACTCTGCCCTCAAAACAAAAAGCCTAGGTAGTCCAGCTAAGAAAAAGCATCTAAAGGTGAAAAGAAACTCTAAAAGCCAAATAGATATTTCACCAGAGAACTGAGCAGAGAGGCAAGCTCAAGGTGGAATGAAAACTGAGGACAACAGACCAGGGTAATTGGGCTAAGAAGATAAGTAAGAAATTAGGTGTTTTCACACTGCTATAAAGATACCACCTGAGACTGGATAACTTATAAAGAAAAGAGATTTAATTGATCCACAGTTCTGCATGGCTGGGGAGACCTCAGGAAACTTACAATCACGGTGGAATGCAAAGGAGAAGCAAGGACCTTCTTCACAAGGCAGCAGGAGGTGGGGCACAGGGAAGAGCCACACACTTACCAAACAATGAAATCTCGTGAGAACTCTATCACAAGAACAGCATAGTGGAAATCGCCCCCACGATCCAATCACCTATCCCCATGTTCCTCCCTTGACATGTGGAAATTACAATTGGAGATGAGATTTGGGTTGGGACACAGAGCCAAACCATATCATTCCACCCTCGGCCCCTCCAAAATTTCATGTCCTTTTCACATTTTAAAACCAGTCATGTCTTCCCAATAGTCCCCCAAAGTTTTAACTCATTCCAGCATTAACTCAAAAGTCCAAATCCAAAGTCTCATCTGAGACAAGGCAAGTCCCTTTCGCCTATGAGCCTGTAAAATCAAAAACAAAGTTAGTTACTTCCAAGATACAATGGGGGTACAGGCATTGGATAAATGTTTCCATTCCAAATGGGAGAAATTGGCCAAAACAAGAAGCCACAGGTTCCATGCAAATCCAAAACCTAGCCAGGCAGTCATTAAATCTTAAAGCTCCAAACTAATCTCCTTTGACTTCATGTCTCACATTCAGGGCACACTGATACAAGAGGTGGGCTCCAAAGGCCTTGGACAGCTCCACCCCTGTGGCTCTACAGGGTACAGTGCCCACAATTGCTTTCATGGGCTGATGTTGAGTGCCTGCCACTTTTCCAGGCACACAGTACAAGCTGTCAGTGAATCTGCCATTCTGGGGTCTGGAGGATGGTGGCCCTCTTCTCACAGCTCCACTAGGCAGCACCCCAGTGGGGACTCTGTGTGGAGGGTCCAACCCCACATTTCCCCTTTGCATTGCCCTAGTAGAAGATCTCCATGAAGACTTTGCCCCTGCAGCAGACTTCTTCTTGGACATCCAGGCATTTCCATACATCCTCTGAAATCTAGGCAGAGGCTCCCAAAGCTCAACTCTTGTCTTCTGTGCACCTGCAGGACCAACACCACACGGAAGCCACCAAGACTTGGGGCTTGCACCCTCTGAAGCCACAGCCCAAGCTGTACCTAGGCCCCTTTAAGTCATGACTAGAGCTGGAGAAGCTAGGATGCAGGGCACCATGTCCCAAGGCTGCACAGAGCAGCCCTGGGCCCAACTCAAGAAACCATTTTTCCCTCCTAGGCCTCTGGGCCTGTGATAGGAGAGGCTGCTGTGAAGATCTCTGAAATGTTCTGAAGACATTTTCCCCATTGTCTCAGCTATTAACATTTGTCTTCTCGTTACTTATGCAAATTTCTGCAGCAGACTTGAATTTCTCCCAAGAAAATGCGTTTTTCTTTTCTACCACAAGGTCAGGCTACAAATTTTCCAAACTTTTATGCTCTACTTCCCTTTTAAACGTAAGTTACCATTTCAAACCATCTCTTTGTGAGCACATACAACTGTACACTTTCAGGAAAAGCCAGGTCACATCTTGAATGCCTTGCTACCTAGGAATTTCATATGCCAGATGCCCTAAGTCATCTCTCTCAAGTTCAAAGTTCAACAGATCTCTAGAGCAGGGGCAAAATGCCACCATTCTCTTTGCTAAAGCATACCATGAGTCACCTTTGCTTCAGTTCCCAATAAGTTCCTCATCTCCATCTGAGACCACCTCAGCCTGGACTTCATTGTCCATATCACTATCAGCAATTCAGTCAAAACCATTCAACAAGTCTCTAGGAAGTTCTAAACTTTCCCACATCTTCCTATCTTCTTCTGAGCCCTCCAAACTGTTCCTACCTCTGCCTGTTACCCAGTTCCAAAGTTGCTTCCACATTTTTAGGTATCTTTATAGCAGTGCCCCGGGTACCAATTCTCTGTATTAGTCCATTTTCACACTGTTATAAAGATACTTGATAATTTATAAATAAAAGAGGTTCAATTGATCCAGTTTTGTATGGCTGAGGAGGCCTCAGGAAACTTATAATCATGGTGGAAGGTGAAGGAGAAGCAAGCACCTACTTCACAAGGCAGAAAGAGGGGGAGGCTAGGGAGGAGCCACACAC
Source organism: Homo sapiens (assembly GCF_000001405.40). NCBI lineage: Eukaryota > Metazoa > Chordata > Mammalia > Primates > Hominidae > Homo > Homo sapiens. The sequence goes on along the minus strand of NC_000003.12, from coordinate 40,628,307 downwards.
TTATCAAACAACCAGATTTCATGAGAACTCTATTAGGAGGACAGCAGGGGGGAAACTGTGCCTATAATCCAATCAACTCCCCGCAGGTCCTCCCTAGGCACATAGGGATTATAATTCCAGATGAGATTTGGGTGGGGACACAGAGCCAAACCATATCAGATGCCTAGCCAGGTTTAGGACCTGAGCCTTGAGGACTTTCCATAGCATGCCTGAGGCTTGCAATGTGAGTGAAGAGGGGCCATTGAGGATTCCAAGTGTGCTCAGATACTGAAATGTCAATCTGGGGGTCCCAAAGTGGGTGCTGCCCACTGCAGCAAAGACCACTTTGCTGGGAACCTCGGGAGAAAAAGGGAGTCTAGAGCAGCATCATGTGCTCCACAGTCCATACCTTCCTTCAAGCTCAGAGAACTGCAATGTGCTCCAGTTTAGCCCTCTGAGGAGGGCAGACATTTTGTCTGCAGGAGTCTCCACTGAGTCCATTGGTTTTCAAGGACAACTGCACACCAGGCAGCGCTGCTACCTCACTGCTTTGTATATCCTCCATTGAAGCTGTATCATTTGGCATTTGCAAATACTGATGCTTTTCTCACCACTTGTAGCAATGAACTGAAAAACATTCAGACTTTAGTGACTTGTGGTAGGGGACGTTGGAAAGGAGAAAGGAAGAGAATTTCTCTACTATACTGCTTCCAACCCAAAAACAAGTAGCAAAGTAAGATGCTTAATTTGCAAAGGTGATTTAGGAAAATGAGCCCATGTGCAATATGTGTCATGCTTGGAGAGAAAAATAACAAAATGCTAGTCTCTGAGTGGCCAGGTACAGCTGTCCCAGGCTCCAGGGCCCTGAAGACAATGTCACCTGGGTTCACCCCCATTTAAATCTGTTTACAACAGAAGAAATAGCTTTACTAAGAACTTTTTGAATGACAATATTCTCTTAATAGTGAGTGGACCTATACCATATAAAGGAAACTAACTAAGGTTTAGTAAAATGATGCATATGAACTCATCACTGGGACTTTCACGAGTCACTGTTAACCCCTCAGCAAACTTCTTGGTTTGACACATGCAGGATCAGAAATCAGAGAGGTGACATGATAAACCCACAGTCACCCAGCTAGTAAGTGACAGAATCTGAATTCAAATCCAATGCTGGTCTGACTCTAAAATGTATATTCATCCCATTATATGGAACTGACATTAGTCTTAATATTTTTTATAAAGCAAACATAAAATCTCAATTTAGAAACACAGATGTGTCACAAATATAACTTTCTTTAGTTTTCTTTTACCCCATTTAATTTATCTTCCAAGCTCATTCCACCATGGTGATGATAACTTAAACTCAGGCAATGGCTTGACTCTGCCCTTCCCAGGGTTGTGCAATAGGCTCTTGGGATGCTCCACACCAAGGCCCCTCAAGCATCTGGTTTCAGCCCAGTTGTGGAAGACAGGCATGCTGTTTGCACCTAAGTCAAGCACATGCTGCCATGCATCTGTGCTTTGCTGCCTCAGTGACAATGTATCCTAGCCTCCTTATTCTCTGGGAGGACAATTTTTGAGGCTCATTCTTCAGAGGATTCCCAGAGAAACTGAGCTCCAGTTGCTCACAGTGATAACTTCCTCATGAATGCCTCCTTTATTGACTTATCCTCCTTCCCTCAGTCCCTCATCCCACTCCCTGACTCCTCCTTGGAACTCCTCCTGGGAACTCCTCCCAAATAAACTACTTGCACATGAATGCTTGTCTCAGACTCTGCTTTCAGGGAAACTGTAACTAGTACAGTTTAAATTCCTAAGAACATCCAGAGGTCCAAGGCATAGCAAGGGCAGGATGGGACTGAACAACTGATCAGCAAGTCACCTGTCCCCTTAGGTATCAGATAAGAAGTCCTCATCCCATCGTCCCCATTCACCAGTCTGTATAAGTTGTTTTTTTGAGTTGTTCCTTGTTCCTGTCCTATAACTCCCTCAGACCCCCAAACCTGTTTCTATTCCCTATTTCTATGCCATGCTACATGGAATGGGAAGGACAACAGAATCTCTCTGTCAGGTTGTTTCCACATGCCACATGCCCCACCTCCCCAGGACTCCACAGAGGAAACAGCATAGAACTCCACTCTCAGATCTCACCAGCCTGTGTTGGCTTCAGCTGCCTCCCTGATGCTCCATTGATTGAGAAGCTACAACTGGGATCTCTCTCTCTAGGGCCACAAGAACCTGTGCTTTCATACTTTCTGTCTGGCTCTCCTCCTCCCCAACCCTGGGAGAAGCCTCTTCTCCTCAAACACTCTACTCTCCTTCGTGGTATGTCTCCTAAGCATTCTGTCTATGCCCAGGGTCCTTTTCCTCTTCTGAGAACTCCAGTTTCAGGGCCCAAATTCAGGAAGAAACTTTCAGGCTACATTCCACTTTCTGGCTGTCACTTTTTCTCCTGAAACAATTTTCTCAGGATTGCCTCCTAGTTTCTTGAAAAGTAGGGGGGCAGGAGAGACACGATGGTAAAAATGAGGGAACTAAAAATATAAACATCAGTTTACATTTTTGAAAAATTATCCTTCCACATTTATGCAACATATAAAAATAATCCATAGTACGTTGTGGTCCTAGTGTGAGATCCCAGGTTTTCTTCACCAACTGGACATCCTCCAGATGTCTCCTGTGTCCCCCACCATTCTGGGCTGCTGTAGTCATTTCTTGATGTCAGCAGAGAAACACAAAAAAAGGCGGAGGCGTGGTAATCTAAGGTAGCAGTTCAGGGCTCATTGATGCCCCCAAGTTGCATTTTTCAGATATCTTTCTACTTTATTTTCCCTATGCTCCACTTAGACTGGTGATTTATTGTCTCTTGGTCAAGATATGGTTGCGGCAGCTGCAAGCATCACCTCTCCATTCAAGGTAGGAAGAACATAGAAGCAAGGCACTCCTTTGGGTCCACCCAGCCTAGCCTGGGGGACCACATAGATCCTTGCCTACTGGTTCCCACACAAGTGCCCCAGCCCAGAAAGGCTAAATTAGACTGTAGTTGTCCCTGGCTTACTTTTTTCTCTTGGAAAAAAAAAACCCCTATTTTATCTCACAGGCCCACCTCACTTCCTTCTCTTTGCATTGCTCCCTTAGCCTGCCTAGACCCTATGTCCTGCCTCCCACCTTCCCCACACAGGCCTCATCCATGACTTCACTCTGGAATGTCTCCTTCAACAACAGAACTTCTCTTTTTGCTATTTCTTGATGCTTTCACACACACACACACGCAGGCACATATACCTGCAGAGACCCATACGCATACAGACACCCACAAAACACACACACAGACAAACACACACATACACCCCTTGAGCTCTTATGGAGAATCAGAGATTCCTATCCCTATCCCCCATATCCCAGTGGGCCCCTTTCCTGTGTGCCTTCTTGTCCTTTCTCCCTTTTCCATAATGCTGTTTATGCCTTTTTACTGCTCTCCCTGGGAGTAGTCACTTGTACCAACCCACAAGCACCAGCCAATGTCAGATAAATATGGTATGAAATAATCACTTTATTGACATCCATGTACCACACAGAACCAAAACATGCACATTTAATTTTATTTTACCGGTTTTCCTAGGAATGCCTGGGTCAAACCATTTTCAACCTGCTGGTCACTGCTGAGGGTAGAGCCCCCACCTACCTCACTTTGCCAAACCCCAGTGATTGCTTTCAATGACAGCTCCTGCCAGATTGGGACACTGTTAGAAGTGTTGTGATGCCACAACGATGACATCACCTTAGCTGGCAAGTTGGGTCTGCCCAGAAGATTCAGGAAGATAAAATGTAATCATTTTTCCCCTTTTCTATACATATTCACCACCCTCCTGTTTAAAGAAATGAGACTTTCTCTCTCCCCATCTCTTTTTCTTTATTGTGAGATTTCAGAATTACTATGGACCAGTGACTATTATGTCTCTCTTTTTCCTCCCCTTTTTAAACAGGAATGTCTGTTGTGATCATCCTGTCCTTGTCTCCCCAGTCTAAGTCCAGGGCCTAGCACTGTAACTCTAGCCTTTGTTATCACTTGCTGAGGTGGGCACCCTGGGCAAGATACACCTGCACCTGAAACACCTTTGCCACCTGATCTTTCCCTACATCCCAGCTAGCTCATGATCCTCCCTGTCAGTGGCAATCATACCTTGTATTTGTGCAAGGTTTGTCATGCAGAGCCTTGAACAGCATCCAGTAAGTCTTCTCACTTGCTCAGGATTCAAGTTCCAAAAACAAGTCTGCAGCATGCACCAAAATAATCCATGCAGGGACAGGATATGGAGATACAAAAGAACTAACACAAAGAAGCCCCATGTGTGCCTTTTTTAATCATTTAAGGAGCAAAATGATGTTTCTAGTTCCAAAGATCAGCCAGTAGCCAACCTGTCCTGCAGCAGAAATAAAATGAGGAACTGTGCATGGTTGCCAACCATGAGAGGGTGTGGTCAGACCACCACTGACTGTGGTTCAGTTGCTAGGGAGACTGGCTTTGGTTTGGGTGTGTCAGCACCAAGGGATGACGTGGTACTCAAAGGCAAGGGCTTTGAGTGAGGAGATAATGAAGGGAAGCTATTTATAGCCAATATCTACATGCCACATGGTTTATTGCTTCATCAGGTGGATACTGGTCTCCTGCCAGCCAATTCATTTCTCTTGTGAGCCAGAAGAGGAGCAGGCCAATGTGTGTGTTCAGGTTTTGAACCATATGTGGGAGCCAGAGAGGAAAGGGGTGATCAAGAAGAGAGAAAGGACCAAACAGGCAACTGAGCACCTACTATACACCATCAGTTAAACTACAAGCCAGACCTTCCCATGAGGTGTTGGGCTGCCAGAAAACAGAAAATGTGTGTTAATGATCCTGGTATCTCCCACATTGTGAGTATTTTTAAAGTATTAGTGAAATTAGTATCTGTTGAGGAGGATAAAATCTTTGATCTACGCCTAAGAATTATTTTACTTAATCATCAAAGACATGAATTTTTTACAGATGAGAAAAAAAGACTCAGAGGGATTAAAAATATTGGTTGACTACAGAATAGGAGACAATATTTGCAAACTATGCATCTGACAAAGGTCTAATATCCAGCATCTATGAGAAACCTAAACAGATTTACTAGCAAAAAACAAACAACCCCATTAAAAAGTGGGCAAAGGACATGAACAGACACTTTTCAAAAGAAGACATGCATGCAGCCAACAAGCATATTTTTAAAAGCTCAATGTCACTGTTCACTAAAGAAATGCAAATCAAAACTACAGTGAGATACCATCACTGTAGAATCAGAATGGCTATTATTAAAAAGTCAAAAAATAACAGATGCTGGTGAGGTGGTGGAGAAAAGGACACATTTATACACTGTTGGTGGGAGTGTAAATTAGTTCAACCATTGATGGAAAGCAGTGTGGCAATTCCTCAAAGAGCTAAAAATAGAACTACCATTCAACCCAGCAATTCCATTTCTGGGTATATATGCAGAGGAATAGAAATCATTCTACCATAAAGACACATGCACGTGAATGTTCATTACAGCATTATTCACAATAGCAAAGAGATGGAATCAACCTAAATGTCCGTCAACGACAGACTGGATAAAGAAAATGTGGTATGTATATATCATGGAATACTATGCAGTCATTAAAACGAATGAGATCATGTCTTTTGCAGGAACATGAATGGAGCTGGGGGCCATTATCCTTAGCAAACTAACACAGGAACAGAAAGTCAAATACTACATGTTCACACTTATAAGTGGGAGCTAAATGATGAGAACTCATGGACACAAAGACAGGAACAACAGACACTGGGACCTACTTGAGAGTGGATGGTGGAAGGAGGGAGAGGATCAGCAAAAATAACTACTGAGTGCTGGGCTTAGTACCTGGGTGACAAAATAATCTGTACAACAAACCCCCATGACACAGTTTATCAATATAACAAACCTGCATGTGTACCTCTGAACCTAAAATAAAAGTTTATATATATATATATATAAACTATATATATATGGATGTATATATTGGATATATATATGTGTGTGTGTGTGTATATATAGATGTATACATATGGATATACATATGGATGTATATATTGAAGTTACACAGCCAGAAATTGGTAGCCTTGGAATTAGAATTCAGGTCTTTCTGACTCCCAAAAACTCCATGGGAAAAGAAATGGGCCTAGGTTCTCTATTTGACAAGGTAGGATATGACCAAAAGCCGCTAGCATAAGTGGCTCCTGGGAAGATCCGGTCATAAAAGAGGTTAGGAAGCCAGAGTGAAAGTCCAGAGGTTCTCAGGACAGCCAGGAATCAGTGGTTTATGGGGTAGCTGACACAAGAAGAAATCTCAAAAAATGAGTGTGCCACCCTGAACTTGTCCCTCCCTGATTAAAACTTTCATCAACTACCCTCAGGATAAAGTCTAAACTCCTCAGCCCCACACTTGACTCTTTACAAACTGCCCCCAATTTTCTTGACCAGCCTCATCTTCCCAATACTCTTACCCCAACCATCCCTCCCTGTGGCCAGCCACACTTGATTCAGCGAACACTTGCTGTCCCTAAATGTGCCATGTGTGTCCATGCCTATGCCACTGCCTGAATTCCCCAATGCCTGAGAGGCAAAGCCTCAGAGGCTCCACGTGGCACAGTGCTCAGCAGGCATGCACTGAATTGAGATGTTGAACCTCTGCTGTGGCACTAAACACCTGTGTGCTCTGTCCCCACCACAGCTGAACATGGGTGAGCCTCGCAGTGGACTTAGGCAGAGAACACTCTGAAGACAAGCTGCCAGGGCTGGAAGGTTTAGGTCCAGTTGGCGTCGAGCCAGCAGGGGTTAGGTATTTCTAGGGGTCCTATAGCCTCCCTGGGCCTTTTAACCAGGATCTCTAGTCTCTGCTGCCCTGCTTCCCTCACAGTTAACCTTCTGTGATCTTTCTACACCCTCTCTCAGCCCTCTTCCCACTGCTGCCCAAGTGGCTGTGCATCTTAGTTTGGGTTCCACTGAAACCAGTCTGTGAAACAAGGACTTGGATACAGGTAGTTTATTTGGGAGGAGACCCCCAGGAAATAGGGATGAGGGAAAAAGGGGAAAGTGAGGCAGGGAAGGGAGAAAAGCCAGTAAAGTACACATTAATAAGCAGCTTACTGGGGCCTGATGCTGCCAGGGAACCTCTAAGATACCAAGGAGGACATACTCAGAATCTTCCCACTGGAGCATGGGAAGCCTGTTTTCCAGTGGGCCGTTGGACTCCCATCCCCCATCCACTGACTCCCATCCCCATTGCTGGTGGGCATGCGAAAGAACAGCTCTCACCAGGCAGAGTGAGCTTCCCTGAAGAAGCAGGTGCTTTCAACCCACCATGCCAGGCTCCCTATGAGGCTGGTGTTCAGCCTCAGTAACGTCATACCTCCACAGCCATCAACAAAGTACAATAATAAAACAATTTCTTCCAGTTCTGCAGCCTTTCCTATTTCCAAAGTCCTTTCACATATGTCATTCTATGTAGTATTCAAAGCAACTCAAGAGGGAAGGTGTCACAGTGCCAATTTCACAGACGAGAAAACTGAGGCTCCAGGGGTCCACTTGCCAGGAAATGAGTTACAACAGAAAGATCAGTGTTGTTCTTGCCAACCCACATGACAACATCCAACCCCATTTCCAACTGTTCCTTCCTGGAGAAACGATATGCTCATTAGTAATCAAGAATCTGCCCTTCTCCAGTGCCATTTGGCTGATTGCTGGAGTGGAGACAGGGCCTCCTTAGAAGAGGCTAATCTGGGTAAGAAGAAAGGCAAAACAGAAGATGCCTGAAAACTGTGGCTTAAAAACTTCTCAGAATCACATGTGGTCCAAAGAGCTCTGCACCAGCTTGACTACACTAGGCGAGTCACCTCATCTTTCTGGGCATCTTGCCCCCTCTCCTAAGCAGAAGGCTTGGCAGGAGGGAGATGAGCCGAGCAGTACAATGCCTCCAGGCCAGGTAGGAAGTAGGAATCTCTGTTGGTCTATGTGCCAGAGAGCAAAGGGTAATGGGGGAAGGAGCATGCTCAGCTAGACAGGAAATGAGTTGACAAGCTCCTGGTGCCAGACTGGAAGCTTAGGAGAGGGGTTAAAGGGGATCAGAGGCAAAAGGACCCAAAAACCTATCCTTAAAGCACAGAATCAGAGCAATGGGGGGAGGTCGCCACCAGTTTCATCCTCTCCAAGATGGGGGTCTTACAGCCCTGACAAGGATTTTTCACCCTACCAAAGTGCCTTGGCCTGGGTTCCCTGTACCCATTTAAAGAAGCCCCAGCATGAAGTCACCATGTGCCCTATCTCTTCTTCTGTTCATTGAAAAGGGATGTACCAGACAAGTTGTTTTTTAAACAGCACCTGCAGAGCCTGGGGGAGCCTAAGGCCTGCTGGTGTGGACAAAGGAGGAGGTGGGTGTGGCAGGATCTGAGAGAGGGCCTGGATCCCCACCAAATCACACCCAAGGAGCCCTCCACTTTTGTTAGACAAAGCTTCTGAGTATCATTCTCTTTAAAGAATGAATTTGGGCCTGGCACGGTGACTCACATCTGTAATCCCAGCACTTTGGGAGTCTGAGGTGGGCAGATCACATAGTCAGGAGATTGAGACCACCCTGGCCAACATGGTGAAACCCTGTCTGTACTAAAAATACAAAAATTAGCTGGGTGTGGTGGCAGGCGCCTGTAGTCCAGCTACTCGGGAGGCTGAGGCAGGAGAATTGCTTGAACCTGGGAGACAGAGGTTGCAGTGAGCCAAGATCGTGACACTGCACTCCAGCCTGGAGACAGAGCGAGACTCTGTCTAAAAAAAATAAGTAAATAAAAATAAACAGAAAAAAGAATGAATTTGAAGGCTAAAAATGTTTGAAACCAATGAGCCAACCAAGCTTCAAGAATCTTTCTGGCCAAGTGTGGTGGCTCACACCTGTAATCCCAGCACTTTGGGAGGCAGAGGCAAGTGGATTGCTTGAGGTCGGGAGTTCAAGACCAGCCTGGCCAATATGGTGAAACCTCATCTCTACTAAAAATACAAAGATTAGCTGAGCGTGGTGGCACATGCCACCACATAGTCCTAGCTACACAGGAGGCTGAGGCAGAAGAATTGCTTGAACCTGGGAGGCAAAGGTTGCAGTGAGCCGTGATCGCGCCACTGCACTCCAGCCTGGATGAGCAATACAGCGAGACTCCGAAGAACCTCTCTGACTCTAAAATCTAGGCTGTTTCAGAAAAGCAAACATGATGTTCCTGCTACTGCAGAATTAAAGGGTCTGTCTGCTGTGCTCTTGATGGAAGGAATGTCCCTGGGAAGCATTGTCCTCCTCTTCTTGTTGGCATCCTGGTGCCATTTAGATTGGTTTGAATTTGACTTCTGGCATTTTTGGAGAATAACTTGCATGAGTGCAGGGAATGGGGGCTCTGATCTCACCAAATGTGGTGATCTTGGGTAGGTTCTGAAGGATGTTAATGGCCTTCTTTCCTGGGTATTGGCTGCTACATAGTAGCAGTAATCACTAGCACTCAGGACTCTGAAATCTTTTTTCCAAAACTGGAAATCCTCATTTAGTCCACAAAGTTATCCTGAGAAGTGAGTGCCACTAGCCTCATATTCCAGATTATGAAAGTTAAGCTCCAAAAGCTTGAATGACTCAACTCACCCAAAGTCACCATAAGAGAAGAGCTAGGAAAACAGTCTGTGTTTCTGGCACTGCATCCATGTCCATTGCTCTTCTTAAGTATATAGATGAATCTAGAAGCTCTAGCCTCCAGCTGTGTGGTGACTGCTGTTGGTATGACAATCATAACCCTTGCCCTTACCATTTCAGTGCACAACTGCCCAACTTCCAGCTACTGGCACCTGCATCTCTTGGGCTAAGGTTTTTCTTTGGTCAATGGAGTCCCCATACCCTGTGAGGCAGGCCAGAAATGGTAGGGGAATTTAGCACCCCCACTCCCACAAGCAACCTGTCAGTCACCAGTGGCCAGCTCCACCACACTTCAGGTGGAATAACCCCAAGGCATGCTCTGCACTGCCTTGGAGTGGCCCTTGAAGAATTAAGCCCCAGTTGCCCACAGTGGTAACCTGCTTGATTACACCCCCTTTAATGACTTCCTTCCCTGTCTCACTTGCAGGTGTTACCTATGATCACCTTCCAGATTACCCCCACTGGAATCCTGGTGTCAGCTTCTACCTCTGGTGAACCCAAACCAAGACGGGCTATCCTATGGTTAAAATAGGGCCAAAAAAAAAAAAAGTCTCTCTTTTGCCAAGGGTTGTTGCAGATTTATGAGACCATATTCTTAAAGCCTAAGGAGAGAAAGGTACCTGATTAGGAGCAGACACCAGCTTTGTTCAAAACCCATAAAACATGCTACATCCCATACAAAGTGTACTGTGCAGTCATTTTTAAAAATGAGGAAGATCTTAATATGCTGGTATGAAACCATAGCCAAGATATATTGCATAGAGGGGAAAAAAAAAAAAGCAAGTGACAGAACAGTGTATTTAGGAAGCTGCCACTGTGGATTTTAAGAGAATTTATATACATATGTATGTGAGGAATATCTCTGAAAGATACACACAAAATAAAAACAGAAAAGTATAGGAGTCCCCGAGGAGACAGACCGGGGACTAGAAACCATTTTCTCTTTTCATTGTTTAAACCAGCTTTACGATATCCTTATATTACTTTTTAAAAAGGAAAAAGGACAAGGAAAAACACTACTAAATGAAACACACCAAAAAGGCTCATAAAAAAAAAAATCGATGTGCATCATGCTTAGCTGAGGAACAGTTTGTCAGGGGACCCCAAAATCTGCATTTCTAATTAGTCCTCAAGTGACTCTGATGTTAGTGGACTGTGCTCTAAGAAAACCTACCATAAAATGCCATCCCTTCACTGGGCTGCAGAACACTGCCAAAGGCTCTGGAGGAACGGGTGTACTGAAGATGGGCAGTGCTGGGGGCGTCTGCAAGGGCAGTGCTGGGGGCATCACCAAGGGCTGTACCTGAGAGGGCACATCTTTGCTCACCGCAACAGGACACTTAGTGATAAAGGTACAAACCATTTCCTTTTCCTGACTCACCTCTCAGGCAGTGGCCACCATCTCCCTGGTGAAGCTTTGAGCAAGATTATTTTGTTTGCTTTCTCCTTTCCTTCTGAAGAGGATGCTCTGCTGGCCCAAACAGTGAGAAAATTAGAAGCAACTTAATTTTTTAAAACATGAGGCAAGAATGAAAATCACATGCAGCATGAAATCTAAATTTGAGCCAAATAGACCATTGTAGCATCCTATAAAAAAAACCCAAACAGAGACAGACAAAGAAAGCAATGGCAAACAATCTCCAAATTGATTTAAAATTAACTGGACATCTGGTCATAAGGTGAAACAGCCACCAGGCACCTGAACTTGAGGTGACAGGTAGACTTTTCACGAATCTTGGAATTCACAAAATTGCAGTGAACACTGGGAATTAAGAAGTTCCCATTAAATGGTGATCATGACACAAAAGGTACCATTTGGTCCTTACAGCTGGTTTCGTGGAACCAAGTAGGCAAAAGAAACAGGTGCAGAAGGAAAGCAGAGTAGCTGATTGTCTGCAGACCAATCTGCGGTTTAATCTCACATGTCCCAGTTGCCTGGGACAACATAGTTCTCAAGTGCTGTTAAGTGTTTCACAAACTATAGCAGGCACCCTGCTACAGGACGAACACTAGGTGAAGGCACCAGGAGCCCCGCCCAGCCGTCCTCCTTTATCTGCTCCCCTAGAAGAGCACAGAAGGAAGCTGGGGTAACCAAATAAAAGACAGATGCTGGGAGTCGGTGATCCAGCTTGGAGGTGGAATCGAGACCTCGCTGGACCCCAGGCCCCAGCAAAAAAGGAGAGCAAAAGCCAACTTTGGCTCAACCTGATAATGAGCCAACCTCATTATGATATTAGCTGCCAGGATGAACAACACTCTCTTAATAATGCACACATCGCTATGACAACCGCCCACTTGGCTACCTAAAGATAACTTCATTGTGTGGCCATGCTTGCTTGTTTGAAAAGAAATGCTGTCTACTGTGAGTTTCAGCATTCTGCTCCTCTCTAACGCCTATGGTTCTGTGCAGTGTGTGTGCCTGTACATGTGTGCGAGCAGGCCAGGTGCATGTATGTGTGTGCATGCTGTGAGTGTGCCGCAGAGGGCAGGCAGGGAGCCCGAGCCCCCATGG